>NC_000009.12:42560946-42891556 GCF_000001405.40 Homo sapiens | reverse complement strand
TTCTGATTACCAGGCAGGGCTAATTACCCCTGGTAAAAATATAAAACTTGTTAATCATAAGGAATATTAGTCCAACTTTGAATTAGTTTATAGCACAATGACAATTATCTCCTGTGAAATACTGCTATAGGCGGCCAGGCATGGTGGCTCACTCCTGTAAACCCAGCACTTTGGGAGGCTGAGGTGGGCAGAACACCTGAAGTCAGGAGTTCGAGACCAGCTTGGCTAACATGGTGAAATCCTATTTTTACTAAAAATACAAAAAATTAGCTGGGCATGGTGGCACATGCCTGTAATCCCAGCTACTAGGGAGACTGAGTCAGGAGAATCGCTTGAACCCAGGAGGCAGAGGTTGCAGTGAGCTGAGATCACACCATTGCACTCCAGCTTGGGCAACAAGAGAGAAACTCCATCTCAAAAAAACAAAAACAAACAAAAAAAACCCAAAACCAAACAACAAAAAAAAAAACAACTGCTATAGGCTTACCTATCATGCTCTTCCTTCAGCTTCTTGGGAAATTGCTGAGGATACGTTTTCCCAATCTTTCTTTGTTGGGTTAATCTGCCAGCAGCAGCAGAAGATGTACTATCACATATATTTTCTGAAAGTTGTATTTTTTCACTTTTGTTTGTATTATTTCCTTCTTTGACCTTTAATAAAAGTAATATGAATAATAATTGTTATTATTTTATTCAATAAAAAGAACTTTTTCCCTGATTTTTTTTACTTGATTCAGGTTAACTATCACCACTTTAATGATAAAAGTATTTTGTGCTTACTTTAATTTTATCATTATACATAATTATTATAATTGTAAGATACTCTTATCTTATCATCGAAATTTTTGTCAAATCTGCTCATTTCTGTTTGAGGGAATAGAAGAATTTTCTAAAATTTCAAAAAGGGCTCTTCTCCATTTTGTGCTTTTATTCCCATCCACTCTTTGCTATCTGGTATAAATTTTTATGCTATCTGGCTGGCAGAAACAGAGAAATAAAAAGACACAGGCATAACATATGTCTTCTGTCTTTACTACCTGGATTTTACATGAAATAGCCAGATTAAGAGGATGTGACCTTGTAGGCCTTCAGGAACAGTAAAGAAGTTTTCCCTTTTCTGTACTGAGCTACTCTTTTCCCCACTGCCTTTTATCTCTCTTTTTTTTTTTTGAATCCTGTGATATCAAAAAAGTAAAGGTTCTCTTTGAATTATGGGAACCAACGTTTGCCACAACAAAAGAAGCAGAGTGAAACTGCTGAGTTTCTAGTGCAGAATTCTGGAAAATGAGATGCTTCCCAGATTTCACTTTCAATTACCACAAAAGTTTATAGGTGGAAAACATATGGTACAGTTACCTACTTTAACCCCATTATCTACTGATAATGGGAGTCAAACCAACCAAGACATATTAAATGTTTCATCCAGAGCTCTTGAGGTGGCATTCACTAGCATTTCATGGCACCATATAACATGATACAATTCCATATTGCTGAATTACATAAATTACCAGATAGATTTATCAAATTAGTCAGATATATTAAAAGTCTAACTTGAGCAAAGCAATTTAATGCCTCAGAGGGTGGAAAAAGGCCTCATCTGCTTTTACTTTGAAAGAAGAAAATCTCTAGATTTTTGTCTATCTTTAGAACAAAATGTACAGAACTCAACTTTCTACCAAAGAGTCAAAGGCTAAATTTTTGGCTAAGAAATTATGCTTCTTATATGATAAAATTCATACATGCCAAAACTTACCATACTTTATTAAACAACATAATGTAAGGTCTGATTCAACAGAAATATTGCAGAGTGGTGATTTTTTAAAATATGTGTAAGTATATGTTTGTTTTCAAAAATATTGGAAATAACCATGATGGGACTGTAAGTTCAAACAGTTTGAGCTAAGCAGATAAACTTGCATGCATGAAAATACATTAAACAGACTCATTTGGCTGGGAATATTCGTTGCAACTCTCAAGGCTAGACGTGTTTTTGTGGCTTGTCTCAGTCATTGCTTCCCTCCCATTGTATTCCCATTCTATCATTAAATAAATGTAAATCATCTCTAAATGAATACAGAAAAAAGAATCTAGAATCTAGAGCTTGTTTCTTTAGCAATTTCTTTATGTTGATCTGGTTCAGAAGGTCACATGGTGTATGGCTGAATTAGTTTCCCAGCTCATACGCCACTTGGAAGACTGATAGTGAGACATAGGTTGATTAATGAACAAACATTATGAGAACATTCTCCAGAACCATTATTTAGATAGCAGAACTAATCTACTTTGACACATAATTACACATTTAGATAACCCCACTGTAACTGTACACATGAGATTTTCTTGAATAGAAAATTTGACTAAATCAAATAGTTGATAAAGAGGAAAAAGAAGCAGCAAGTGAAGCTCTGTCTTTTTGAAGTTGGACTTGCTTTTCTCCAAAGCCAGGAACTCAACTTGTAACATGCCTACCTCATTCTTTTTTTTAATTATTATTATACTTTAAGTTCTGGTACATGTGCACAACATGCAGGTTTGTTACATATCTATTCATGTGCCATGTTGGTGACCTTGGAATATCTTCCCATAAGTCTTCTAGCTATATTTTTGATGTTCTCTCACTATGTGGCAAAGAATAACTCACATTTTATAATTCAAGATTCATGCTTCTGTAGTTGTTAGCACTGGGATTGCCATATAGTGGCTGCTGGAATAAACGCTGTATTGGTTTTCTGTTTTTGTAAGTATCTGTAGCAGCAGAAATACTGTGGCTTTCTATCTGAATCATATGCTTCATTTCTTTGGGGTGGGTAAACAACAAATCAAAAAGACTTTCTGGATCTCTAGACTGAGGCCAATGCCTAATGTCCAATTTCCAATTAGTGGTATCTGGGTTTACATTTTTTGCCATTTGCATGTCAAACTCTTAATCATCTTTCATTTCAATCATAATTACTGGGTTCCTTAATTTTTTGGTTTCTGTATCATTACAAAAATTTTCATCATCTGTGTTAGAAACAAGCTATGTGTCTGGTTTGCTATCATTTTTATAGTCTGATTTATTTTCATTTAAATGAAGCTTAGAAGATGACTGGTAACTGTATTTCAGGGACCTGGAGTATGAATGGAATAAAAAGACATTTGACATGGGCTTCTTCTGTTCAGGCGCTGCCTGGAATGCCACAGAGTTAGACCCTCCAGATGCATCTTCCTCCTCACAATCAGGGACCTGATTCATCAGATTAGAGGGCACTCCTTTTTTGTTCGTCCCTCTTTAGAGTTACTATGTAGGAGCTCTTCCTCAGGGCAAGCAGTAATTCTGGAGTTTTCAAAACTTTCACCAATATTCAGCTTGAACTTGTTTGTAATGAATTTTAAAGAAAGTCGTGAATATACAGATTATTCCCTTTATCACAATTCTTACCCAGTTCTGGTTCTTGAGACTTTTTTTTTTCGGCAGGTGCAAAATGGAAAACAAGTTTGCTTGTTTTATTTCTCAGATGTCTTTTCTGTCAGAGTGCATGTTTTAAAATTAGCTTTAATCAAGTATAAACAAAAATACTAGAAAATAATTAAAATTTAACTGTGAAACTTAATCTATGTGTTGCCACTCTTAAATTATGGGATTGTAACTAAAAAGTGAAAAATAATTTGCCTTGGCTTAACATAGGACAGAAATATGAACTGGCAAGCTGAACTCTTAGCATTTGTTTGGATTAAACTTAATGCATTATGTGTAAAATCTACCAGAAATGAATTCAAAGCTGATAGGTAGTATTATAAAATCTTCCTCTCTTACAAAGATTTTACCTCAGCATACCAGAAAAAGTGAGCCCCTACAGTACGTGTATATTTCTGAAGATTAACTAGAGACTAGGCAAACACTGAATTATTAAGAGCCAAACTGAACACCAATAAGAAAGGGAAGCAAAATTTTAAATTCTAATTCTAATAATATACTATGATAGTGTTATGTATCTAGATGGATTATCTGCTTATATCCACTTCTAATATATTTTAAGTTCCACTAGTGATAGTGGATGGATTTTTTAAATTTTAGTAACATTTACTATGTATTTATGTCAAAATAAAGTTATTGTTTGTACCCTGACACCAAAGGTCCCATTCCACAAGGTAGGATTCTCTTAATAGGCAACTGGGTTGACTTTTATGACCCCATTCACTCCCTGAACACAGACACAGAAGTCAAATGGTGACCACAAAACAGAATAAATCTTTAACCTCGGCACTGGTGACCAGCAATATAAAACTGCAACATTTGAACCACTGGCAATGATGACTCCTTTAACACTAGTTTAACTCAGTGGCCATTGTGGTTAAACTGTTCATAATTTCTATTCCTTAATAATATGACCCAATATTTCATGTTACCTTCTGTATTATGAGTAAGGTTATAAAAATAAAAGAGCAAGATAATTCTGAAAATGTCTTGCCTCAATTCCAAGGGTAAAGATAGCTATGAGTTACTAGAGATAGTAAGAATTACCAGAATAACGAATAGTTACTAGAGATAGTAAGAATATCTTAAGTTTCATAACTGGTTAAAATGTTTTAAAAATTAAATATAAAATTATGATCTATCGGATTCTAAAGGTATAGTCTAAAAGGTCATGTCATTTGGACTATGCTTTGTTACTAAAGCAAAAAAGCAAAACCCAATATTAAACAAGAAACTTAAATTTTCATATACCTGTGGTTGCTTCTTTTCACTTCTTTCATGCCTTTCTTGCTCTTCCTCTGAAGCCACTGGTAAGGCTTGTTCTGTTGACAAATTCATTGGTTTAGTTCAAATGAACTAAGAACAGTTAGATAAAGACTATATATAAAAATAAATAGAGAATAACATTTCTTTGTATTTTATATTTTGAGAGTTTCAATGAAGCTTAATGTTTACTGAAATATTTAGTTCTTTAAGAAATACTTCTAATCATCCAAAACTTCAACAAACCACTTGGGGAGACACTAGATATCACCAGGTTCAAGCCATATGAAATCTCAGGGTCACTCACAAATTGTTCCACCCAACATAAATCAACATAACTGTTAGAAACAAAACAAAATTTTGAAATACAGTCAAAATATACAATGTAACACTTTACTATACTTCATAACTATCTTTTTAACAAGACACTAATTGAGTTGGCAGTTACTAATAATTTGCAAAATTATTGTTGTTTATACCTTAATTAGTGTGCACCCCATTTTTTACATCGCAAATGTTTTCCCCTACTATTCTGAAAAATTTATTTTCATCTTTTAAGACTCAGAAAGTAGGCTGGGCATAATAGCTCACATCTGTAATCCCAGCACTTTGGAAGGCCAAAATGGGAGAATTGCTCAAGGCCAGGAGTTTTAAGACCAGCCTGGGAACCATAGATAACCTTGACTCTATAAAAAATTGGACAGGTATGGTGATATGTGCCTGTAGTCCCAGCTACTCAAGAAGCTTAGGTGAGAAGATCCCTCGAGCCCAGGAGTTTGAGGTTGCAGTGAGTCTCGATCACACCATCGCACTCCACCCTGGGTGATAGAGTAAGAACTTGTCTCCAACAACAAAAAAAGAAAAAAAAAAGGCTCAGAATGCTGTGTGAAGTCTTCCTTGATTCTAGCTATCTTTCTCCACACACACAGGTGTCTGCTTCATTGGAGTCCCTTAGTACTTTGTCAATTTTTCCAGTGTCACTTTACCACCTGAACTGCACATCATGTCTTTACATGTTGATCCCCTTTGCTGCTAGACTGTAGAGGACAATCTTTTGAATCATCTTTGTATAAACAGTCTTAATTTTGCTAAATAATTACTTATTGAGTTCCTGCTAAGTGTTAGGCACTGGGGTATAAGGAAGGAAAATAAAAGCTGTCAGGGATGGCTTTCCTAAAGATCATGCATGAGCTGAGACTTAGAGAGTAAGGTTAGCCAGATTAAGTGAGGCAGAGGGCAGGAAAGGGTGAGCACATGCCAGGCAGCAACAAGAGAGGGAGAGAAGCCTCCAAGAGAGTATGTATTTCTCTGCAAAAGAGGAATGGTGAGGGGGCCATTACCAGCAGCTCAGTAATTCCAGAGAAAAAGGCAGATGGGGAAAGGGCTACAGATGGAGATTTGGGCAGAAATCAGTTTCCTTTTCTTTTCTTTTTTTGGGACAACGTCTTACTCTGTCTCCCAGACTGGAGTGCAGTGGCATGATCTCGGCTCACTGCAACCCGGCCTCCCAGGTTCAAGCAATTCTCCTGCCTCAGCCTCCCAAGTAGCTGAGATTACAGGTATGTGCCATTACCACCTGCTAATTTTTGTATTCTATTAGAGATGGGGCTTCGCCTTGTTGGCCAGGCTGGTCTTGAACTCCTGACCTCAAATGATCCACCTGCCTCAGTGTCCCAAAGTGCTGGGATTATAGACACGAGCCACCATGCCCAACCCAGAAATCAGTTTCTGAAATCCTTATACAAAACTTTAAGATGCTTGGACATAGGTATTCAGGAGTGGTTCACAGATCTATTTGCATTAGAGATAATTAACTCTAATTATTGTGAGGAGCATAAAATCCTGAGGCATATAAATCAATGAAGGAAGATAAAATATAAGGCAGTGTTGCAAAGATGATGCAGGCCTGAGGAGATGTTTTCAGAAATATTTAGGATATAAGTATCAGTGGCCATTGTAAGAATGAATTTTTATTGAATGAATAAATGTATATATCTGGGTCCCTGGAGAAATACACTCTGCTCATTACTTTACAAATTTTATCAAATGAGAAGTAAAATAATATACATAAACTGTTTCAGTTACTTGTATTTACTTTACACTTTTTCTGTTTCAGTTTTACTGTGCCAAGGAAATGCATTTGGGTTTTGTGGTGGTTGTTGCTGTTGCTGTTGTTGTTGTTGTTGTTGTTGTTTGAGATGGAGTTTCACTCTTTCTGCCCAGGCTGAAGTGCAGTGGTGCAATCTCAGCTCACCACAACTGCTGCCTCCCAGGTTCAAGTGATTCTCCTGCCTCAGCCTCCCGAGTAGCTGGAATTACAGGTATGTGCCACCATGCCCAGCTAATTTTGTGTTTTTAGTAGAGATGTGTTTCTCCATGTTGGTCAGGCTGGTCTCAAACTCCCAACCTCAGGTTATCTGCCCACCTCAGCCTCCCAAAGTGCTGGGATTACAGGCACAAGCCACCGCGCCCAGCCACATATGGGGATTTTGTTTTAAAAGTTCTGTTTCCTGGATCTACCAAGCTCATGAGAAAATAGAAGCAAACAAGTCATTTGCATAGGTAAGAAACTTTGGATTTATACTTTGTCATCACTACTCTAGAAGATTATCATCATGTTTTGTAAAATAAAATGTTAATTCTAGACATAAGGGGAAAGAGAAATTAAAACTATAGGGGTGAAAAAATATTGCATAATTTATTACTGTTGACCTGACCATATGACTGATTAAGGGCACTGAATTTAACTTGTATGTGAAGTAGACCCCATATTAGCTGCAGTTAATCAATAGACCAGGTATTCTAGCAGAATTAAATTTGATGCTCCTGTGTTATCTTTAAATGATACAGCTCTTCTGAAAACCCATACTTATAGTGCACGATTATCCATTAAGACAAGGTGATGGAATGTGTGAATACAGCTGAGGAGACACCACAAGGCAAACGCTCAATGTTTCCCATTAATATTGGGGAAATCAACATTATAATACAGAAAGCCATAGGCATTATTTAATATTTGGTTTTGGAAGGTATTTTTAGTGACACTGCATACAGTTGTACCTAATAATTGCAAAATTACAGATGTAAAAATAAAACAAAGGCACATTGTGTTTGAGTAGGAAATCTGTAGACGTCTAGCTGGTTTTCTATTCCAGGCCCAAAATTCTAAATACAATCATGGTACCCGCACACAAATTTATGTTATATACCAACTTCAGTGAAATTACTCTTTCTCCTCATTCTCTTTGTTATTTATATGTTGCTTTCCTTAAGGGAAGAATACAAATGCCTTGCTAAGAAGCATTCTGTTTGGTTGTAGGCTGCATAAAGGGAGTAAACACAAAGTACATTTGACCACAAAATGACTTTTTAAAAGCCAGAACTATGGTAGCATGAAGCCAACTGAGGTAATCTAGAATAAAATTTTCTATGTTTGTTTCCCTTCTTTGCTCTCTTTCTACCCTAATAACTGTGATTCACAGAGGCAATGAAGAGTATAATTCCCTGATAAAAACACAGCTCCAAGATTAATCCTTTCTTTAACTATGAAGTTCGCGTGTCCAAAGTCTTGTAGTTGCTGTCTGATTTTTGATCATGAATGGTGATACAGATATTTATCAACTCACAACTTCCCAAATCTTTGAAAAGTCTTACTATTGATGGTTCAACTAGTAGAAACATAATCTAAAATATCTGAAAATAAAGTTTTTATTAGAACGTAAATAGTAATACAAATTGTAATAAGGTTTAAAAGTTCTTTCTTCACTGAAGCAGAACCATGATGTCCTCTACCCCACAAACACACTACTCCCTCATGGTCTAATGTATTTTAAAAGTCCTGTAATTGCTATTAACTCAGACAAGTTTACTTAACTTGTTCTAAGCTTCTGTTATTTACTACAGTTTACTTTATCACTCAACAATCTCTATTATATATGTGTTTTCCATGAGAAATTTTTTTATTAATAATTAGGATTCTTCAGGGATAAGAAAATATTTGAATAACTAAGTTTGTGCATAAACACATTAAGGTCAAATACCCATGACAATATTGTGTGTTTCTGTGTACTAGAGACAAAAACTTCAAAAAAATTTTTAATGAATATACATTAAAAACTGCTTTCATTAAACTGAGATGATCTTCCCTCAATGCATGAATACCTTCAGAATTCACATAGACCAAAGAATTGTATAAAATATAATAGCCTTAAAAATCTTATTTGTACCTGGCACAGTGGCTCCTGCCTGTAATCCCAGCATACTGGCAAGCTGAGGCAGGCAGATCACCTGAGATCAGGAGTTTGAGAGCAGCCTGGCCAACATGGTGAAACCCCATCTCTACTAAAAATAGAGAATTTAGCAGGGTATGGTAGCACATGCAGGTAGTATCAGCTACTCGAGGGGCTGAGGCAGGAGAATTGCTTGAACCCGAGAGGCAGAGGTGGTAATGAGTCAAGACCGAGCCACTGCACTGCAGCCTTGGTGACAGAGCAAGACTCTGTCTCAAAAACACAAACAAACAAAACACCTAATTGTTCCCACATCTTAAGTCTATGTTCACACAAGATCTGAAGAGTACACAACACCGTGAGACAGGACAGACATAAATTTTAAAAATTATATTCCTGGTTTCTGTAAAAATAAAACGGTTGAATTTAAGCTTTTAAGACAAGTCAAGGAAAAGAGCAAAAAATGCAAAAGTGAAACTTGAAAGGTCATTTTCCCATCAAGGGCTCATGATCCACTGGACATTCACAAACTATATTGTTCAAAACATTAGTTCTGAATTTTGATCTGAGTATCCCTGGAGTTGCAGTTTCATTCAAAGATGTCCAAGAGGTCAAATAAGACAATATCATTTGCTATTTTCAGTTTTCTTTTCTGAGAACAGCACAACAAACTTCTTCAGAGAAATGAATTGTCCTAACTTCATAGGCTAAAGGCTCATGAGTCACAGTTCTAAGAGCATTTATAAAATATGGTGGTGCATGCTTGTATTCTGAACTTTTCAACTTTAAACTCTCATATAGTAAATATTAATAGATACAAACTGATTAAAGAAAAGCCCACTTAATCTGACATTTTTATTTTTCTTTCTTTCTTCATTTGTCAGCAACAGGAGTGTCTAACTAAATGTGGTAAAGTGGTATAAGGGAATACAATGAAAAGTGTAAAATGAATTAAACCAGAGATAATCATATCAATGTGGATACATCTGGAAAATATAATACAAAATACACCAAAGAAAGTGGCAGAAAGGTATGTAAAGTGTACAACCACTCACATACCATTTTGGGACACAAATAAAAAATTCTGCATATTATTTCTGAGCATCACAATGTAGTTAAAGATTTCAAAAGGGCATTGAAATGAAAAACAACCAACTTATGATGTCAGTAGCCTCTATGCAATCATGTTTTAAAAACCTTAACACCAAAAAGTCTCAAAATCACCGTTTTAAAAGACTGTGTCTACCAGTTATAAATGAATCACTTTCCTCATTTTTAATAGTCAAAGATGCCACAAACACACACATACACACAGCTATATATACACCTACACACACAGTCTTGCTCATTAGAACATCTGATTGGCTTCAGATCATCAGTGTAGTAATACTAGCAGCAAGCCTCTAAAGTTAAAACAGAACCTGACATGTTAATAAGTAAAGCTTTCCTCTAGGTAAAGATCAGAACTCCAAGTAGCACTTAACTCACTGGAAATATCTTAGAGTCTCAAAATTCACTGCTTTGAATCCCTGACAGGTATAAAAATTTTATACTGAAAACTTCATGCTATTCAAAACATTAAAAGAGAAACATCTGAGTTAAAGCTTACATTTTTAAAATCTTTTTTATGCTTCTAAATTTATTTTTATTCAAATATGGATACCAACAATAACATTTATGTCAATGCCTTCCATTCAATTTTGAACAAATAGAATTAGGAATAAGAATAATGTGAGTACTTCCAATCATTGAATGTACTTATTTCCAGTATTCCATTAAATGTACCTGCTCTCAATGTCTGTACATCCTTTCTTTGTACTGCTCCTTTCACAGCAGGATCTTCCACTTCAGTGCTAGGCTGAATGGGTTTTAAAAGAAAATGATTCATAAATCATATATATTTTATACAACATGGAGTTAGTGATTCAAAAATATACATAATTAATTACCTTCAAGGAAGGATGTTTTGCAGGAGGCCCTACAAAGCAAAGGGGATATGTCATCAATTATATGTAAGTATGACAGGGCCAACCAAACATTCATGCAGTGGTACTATCGAGCTGAATTCTCATGCCTGGCTATAAAAATAATTACTTAAGGTTTTGAGGTTTCTTCTTGGCTTCTTTTCATTGCCTAGGATGGCAACATGACAGAAACATAATGAGGAAAATAGGAATATAGGATTCCTAAAATGCACAGTTTACATTTCAGCAGTGAGATTATGTTTCAAATGCCTATACCTAAAATAGAAAAGCATGGATATCACCGTGAACACGTGGACTGATGAGGAGAAAAGGGACCATTAAACAGAGGAGCAAATCAAACCTGAGGGAATCGACGTCAAAGCTGATGGTGAATGTACAGAGTATTTTAACTCAACACATCAGAGGCATTGCTGCCAGCATGCCACAAACAAATTCCCCTTGTCTTGTCACTGAGGAAATACACAGTTGGGATGACAGTTCAGGTGAATGTGTGATTCACCTCTCATCAAAGAAAGTGTTCTACATTGATCAGCTAGTATACACACTTATGAAATGACAGCTAATCAAACTACTCATTTTTCCCATGATCACATGGGCTACTGCAGCACCTACATTTCTCCTGTCCCCTCATTTGGCCTTGAGTTAGAGCTCCTTGATCCACTCATGCAAGGTGGTCCATAAAACACAAAAAATAAACCATGTCGAATAAGCTTCCAATATCAAAATATTTATCAAAAAAGAAAACACTGAATTACCACAGACTTGCTGGATACGAATACATATTTATATTTCAAAATCAGTGCAGTATTTATTGAAAAAGAGAATTTTGGTATTCACAGAATGAATTTTATAATATGATTGCTTCTAAAATTAACTAACTTTGGTGTATTATCTTACACTGTAAAGGACTTTTATAAAACAGCTATCATATCAAAGAACTGGCTGTCTCAAAAAAAATTAGCCAAAGCATCTATATGCAACTTAATCACATCTTATTCACTCATGTCAGTGAAACTTCTCTCTCTGAGGCCTGACAGTTATCAAGTGAAATGAGCTGCTGTGGTTTACCCCAACTCTAGCACTCCCTCCTGCCTCCAGTACTCTCCACAGCAATAACCTCTTTTGTGAGACTGGGCATATGCTGAAGCAACTGGAAGTGAGTTGTCTCAAGTTTACTTGGTTTCAACTCCCAAGACCCCAGCAAATGTCTTTCTTTCCTCCCTCCGTGTCCTTTCACAATCCCTCTTCCTTTGAAAAAGTGATTTTTAGAACTGTCATCCTGATGCTTCCCTTCCTAACTGCTTTTTATGGATAATTGTGACCACTTTTTTCATCTGTATTCAGCAGTAGTATACACCTGTAATCTCTCTGTTTTCATCTCATTCTCCTTCCCCTGTGGCTAGAATCATGCTCAGAAATAAAAGGAAATTAATGCTTTCCCTGGATTCTGTTATTTTTTAAATTGCTCTCCAATGGTTCTTTTTCCAGAGTTCTCTAAAGGAAGGCTATTCCTTTGCTATTCAGAGCTGTGTCCAAGGACCAGCACCAAAATCACCTGAGTACTCATGAGAAATGCAGACTCCCATACCTGCTGAATCAGAATGTGCACCTTCCAGAAGCTTCTCAACTCATTCATGACAATTTGAATGCCCTGTTCTACACTGATGTGCTTCCATATTGGTTTACCCTAATTGCCCTTTTGGCCTCGCCTCAATTTCTTCCCTATTATGTACCTCAATTTAATACTACATTATAAGCCATAATGTTTCTAATGAACTTTTAATCAGGCAATAACTTCTCAAATTAATTTCTTCTCCATAAATCACCCAACACTATTCAATTACGTTTATTTGGCCTATATGATACTATCCTATGAGGTTACAACATTTTCTATAAAAAAAAATTATAGCCATACATGGCTGACCATTTTTGGTGATGTTCATCTATGGTAGATAAAACACAGGTCTGTGTGGTGAGGTGCCTCAATCCTTAATGCCTCCCCAGTAGTGAGGATGACAGCAAGAGAAGGAAAATGTTACTCTAATTCTCTGGCACATTTTGGTACTGGAAGCTCACTTTATCTTCTTTCCTGTTTCTAACACCATGTTCTTCCTTCTTCTACAGATCAATTTGCCTTTACTATCCTCTATTACTTACCTCTGCATATGCTTTTTTATTTATTCCATGTACACTCCGCTCTCCTCATTCTTTCTTTCTCTTTATTCATTTCCTCTTCCCTCTCTCCTGACTTGCCTCAGGTCTTAGAGTATCTTAAAATGGAACTCACAACTCAGCTCCTTTAGTGGTACTCCCAATAGAATCAACTGCTGACCCTTGGTTACAGACACAACTTATCACCATTTCACTTCTCCTTTACTTATTATACAGTTAATAGGACACTTTCTTTAGCTATTACACTCTATTAGTGCTCATATTTTCAAAGAAACATTCCATCAGATGACTTTTTTTTTTGTTTGTTTTTTTCTGAGATGGAGTCTCGCTCTGTCGCCCAGGGTGGAACGCAGTGGTGGTATCTCTGCTCACTGTAAGCTCCGCCTCCCGGGTTCAAGCCATTCTCCTGCCTCAGCCTCCTGAGTAGCTGCGACTACAGGTGCCCACAACAACACCTGGCTAGTTTTTTGTATTTTTAGTAGAGATGGGGTTTCACCATGTTATCCAGGATGGTCTGGATCTCCTGACCTCGTGAGCCGCCTGCCTCGGCCTCCCAAAGTGCTGGGATTACAGGCGTGAGCCACCGCACCCAGCCTCCATCAAATGACTTTTTAAATAAAATATGGTTCTCACCTTCTCCTTGTCCATCGACTATTCTGTTTCCTTTTTCATGCGAAGGTCCAGGTAAAGGCTCTGACACTTTCTCGGGGACACACTGCTAAGGTAATATCAAGAATTAGTTTCCATTTTAAAATTATAATGAGTTGCATCAAGAGTTTCTTATCAATCTCTTTTTATGAAACTGGGTCTCACTCTGTCAACCCAGGGCTAGAATGCAGGAGCCTGATTATGGCTCACTGTGGTCTCAAACTCCTGACCTCAAGCAATCTTCCCACCTCAACTTCCTGAATAGCTGGAACTACAGGTGCGTACCATCATGCCATGCTAATGTTTTTATTGTTATCTTTGTAGAGACAAGCCCTCATTAAACTGCCCAGGCTGGTCTCAAACTCCTGGGCTCAAGTAAATCTTCCACTTCTGCCTCCCAAAGTGTTGAGATAAGCAGTGTGCACCACCACACCCAGCCCTAATCAATTTCTTTAAATCAATCTCAATGTTGCCCAGGCATGGTGGCTCACACCTGTAATCTCAGCCCTTTGCAAGGCCAAGGTGGGCGGATTGCTTGAGTTCAGGAGTTTGAGACCAGCCTGGGCAACATAATGAGAACACATCTCTACTCAAAAAATACCAAAAGGAGTCAGGCATGATGGTGTGTGCCTGTAGTCCCAGCTGCTTGGGAAGCTGATGTGGGAGGATCACTTGAGCCTGAGAGGTGGATACTGCAGTGAGCCAAGATCATGCCACTACACTGCAGCCTGGGCAACAGAGCAAGACCCTGACTCCCCAAAAATTTCAATTTAAAATGTGAGAACGAAGAGAGATACAAACAAAAAACAAGCCTAATTGGTCAATGAAATATGAGCTTAAACCAAGAAAGAAAAGAAACAACATGAAGTACAATAAAGTACATGGGGAAATAGATCTATAACAGAGCCTTTTGCTTTTTCATATCCCTGATAATACTAATTAATATTTATGCTACAATTAGTTTTTTGTAAGTACTTCTGTGATAGAGTTTATTACTATAAGACATTCAATTAGCTAAATATGGTCATCGACCACTACCTGAAAGAACATTATTATAACAGAGAGAAAAAACTAGAACTTTCAATCAACTTTCCACCCAGAAAAAAATTGGTCACCAGAATTCTAAAGAGTAATGTATGGCAGACACATGAAAAAATGATCATCATCACTGGCCATCAGAGAAATGCAAATCAAAACCACAATGAGATACCATCTCACACCAGTTACAATGATGATCATTAAAAAGTCAGAAACCCACAGGTGCTGGAGAGGATGTGGAGAAATAGGAGTACTTTTACACTGTTGGTGGGACTGTAAACTAGTTCATCCTTTGAGGAAGATAGTATGGTGATTCCTCAAGGATCTAGAACTAGAAATACCATTTGACCCAGCCATCCCATTACTGGGTATATACCCAAAGGATTATAAATCATGCTGCTTAAAGACACATGCACACGTATGTTTATTGCGGCACTATTTACAATAGCAAAGACTTGGAACCAACCCAAATGTCCATCAATGATAGACTGGATTAAGAAAATGTGGCACATATACACCATGGAATACTATGCAGCCATAAAAAAGGATGAGCTCATGTCCTTTGTAGGGACATGGATGAAGCTGGAAACCATCATTCTGAGCAAACTGTCACAAGGACAGAAAACCAAACACCACATATTCTCACTCATAGGTGGAAATTGAATAATGAGAACACTTGGACACAGGATGGGGAACATCACACACTGGGGCCTGTCGTGGGGTGGAGGAAGGGGGAAGGGATAGCATTAGGAGATATACCTAATGTAAATGATGAGTTAATGGGTGCAGCACACCAACATGGCACGTGTATACACATGTAACAAACCCACACATTGTGCACATGTACCCTAGAACTTACAGTATAATAATAATAAAGAGTAATGTATGGCTTGAAAAGGTATATTTAATAGAACATGAGTTGGAGCTAATAAAAAGCTTAAGAAATGTTAATCTAAAATCTCAATGTTAAGATTCCAGTTGAATGATACTAGAAAATATATTGTAACCCTCTTTGCTACTGATGACCTATTTCTATTTTATTTCCTTTTTAATTATGGCATAATTTCTCAACATAACATATCAAAACTTATACACCCTTAAATATTAAAAAAATACAATGTAAGCAATATTTTAAATACAATATTTAATTATTAGATACATTAGGTTTATTATATTACTTATAACATTCCATTATATAAAAATTCATTTGTCTATTTATTCAGATTAAACAACTGTTAAGGCTGAATGTCTTATGCCTGTAACCCAGCACTTTGAGAGGCTGAGGCAGGCAGAACACTTGAGCCCAACAGTTAAAGACCAGCCTGGGCAACAAGGCAAAACCCTGTCTCTACAAAACTCAGCTGAGCATGGTGACACAGGTCTATGGTGACATAGCTCTATTGTTTCAACTACTGGGATGGCTGAGGTGTGAGGATCACCTGAGCCCAGGAAATGGAGATCAGAGTGAGCCAAGGTCTCACCAGTGCCCTCCAGCCTGGGGGACAGAGTGAAACCCCATCTCAAAAAACAACAAGTAAAATGCTTCTTACATGGAAGACTGTATTCTAGGTACTCCAGGATACACACAAATATGTTTACTGACCTCCAGTAGCTTATGGTATGCAGGAGCTTCCAATGATTATTTAAACAACTAAATAGAAAACCTTCTGAAATTCAAAATTTCAGAATATGATATGAGGACTTTGAGTGGTTATTTTATTTTTTAAGATGTAGCCTTGCTCTGTCACCCAGGCTGGAGTGCAATGGTGCGATCTTGGCTCACTGCAACCTCTGCCTCCCGGGTTCAAGCGATTCTCCCACCTTGGCCTCCTGAGCAGCTGGGATTACAGGCATGCACCATCACGCCTGGTTAATGTTTCTGCTTTTGTTTTGTTTTGTTTTGTTTTTGGTTTTTTTTAGAAACAGGGTTTCACCACATTGGCCAGGCTGATCTTGAACTCCTGACCTCAGGTGATCTACCGACCTCGGCCTCCAAAACTGCTGGGATTACAGGTGAGTCTCCATGCCTGGTGAAGTAAATATTTTAAATAAACTACAATGACAAAATTATGATGATAAAGTCTTACCATCCATTGGTATTAAGAGTCTCTGCTTCTAGAACTGGTTATTTGCAGCAAAATACATGTTATTCAATTAGATGAAGTGCCTTATATAAACTCTTCATGGACAACTCATAAACCACACAAAAATTCCTTTGCAATACACATTTTGAGAACATAAATTTAAATTTCTATATTTCCAAAATTTATATTTTTAAATCAGATACGTTGTTGCCCAGGCTGTTCTCAAACTCCTGGGTTCAAGCAATCTTCCTGCCTCAAATTCCCAAGTAGCAGGGACTACAGGTGTATACCACCACACTCAGTTATTTTTCTACAATTTTTAATTTTTTTTGTCTTTCTACAGAACCAATAATATAAGTAGAAAAACAATCTCTCATAAAAACAATATGATACCAAAATTATAAGTTTCCAAGAACAAAAGCTATATGCTATGTGCTTAATATTTTTGCCACTAAAAATCACCAGGAGGATCCCATGATTACTGCAAATAATTTGATCCACTGAAGATTTATACAGGCATAAATATTAAGAAAGTCACACTCGTATGATTTAAAAGTCAAAGTATTAGTATTTATCCAAATAAACCTTAACCAAATTTCATATTTCCTCTATTGGAGAAAGCATTTCCTAATGTGATTTTCCTGTCACTACTAATTTTCCAGTTCATTTTTTTCAGCTCCCACCCTGTCACAGTACTTATCAATCTTTGTTAGTTACCAAAGTTAAACACATTTTTTGAATCAACTAGCCATATGTATGTTTTTCTCTGACCAACTTTCCATTACCACCATAAAACAATGATAGGTAAACCACTGCTAAATTTGAAAAGTAAATACTATGGAAAAGTACATTCAGAGTGAGAAAATTAATTTTACAAGAGACCACTTTACCTTAGTAGCAATATTCAAGTCTTTGTCATCCGATGCAGGCAATGAATCCACATGCAGTTCATGGAAAATGCTTGAGAGCGAAAATACACAACAAAAATGAGCAAGTTGATTTCTTTACAATTTTTTTAACTGCCAGTTTATATCCAGCTTCCCCTCAAAAAAGGAAACCATAATCTGGGGAAAGGTCAGCAATCTATATATTAAATAGTGATTCTTGATATAATTAAAATATGTCCTCTGTTCTAAAAATAGATTTTAGTTACCTATTTCTGCCTCCACCTGTCTAAATCTATAAAATATTCAATGAAAACTAACCTTGAGCTTTATAACAAATAGTGACAGTCAATAAATTGGCAGAGCATGACAATGATTTGCCCTCACAAATTATCTGTCCTGAAGCTGAACTTAAAATTCAATTAATGGACGACATAAATTTTGTTACCTAAACTGGAAGAAAACTGATAACCTAAAACAAGGTAGAAAGATCCACTGTCTCTTTTCCATGATCTGTCTCTGGATAAAAGACTAATCTGCATCACTTCAAAATGGCAGTCTTGATTCCTCAGCATGGAACCCACTTAGGAAGGTCCTATTGCTTTCCTTTGCCCTAAATCAGTACAGGAAAGCCCCTACAATATTTGAAATGTATGAAACCTAAATGTACAGAAGTCAAATAACAAAGGTGTATGTTCTTATTGAGAATACTTTTCCCAGAAAGATTGAAATATTAACAATTATAAAATCCCATTATTTTCACCCTATAGGTCCTACCTCATTCAGGTCCACATAAACTAGCAAGCCCTTAAAACTTTTCATAGGCATGCAGACACCCAAGGAGAGAGACTGCCAGAAAAAAACAGAGTCCTGGTAGTTGTACCTCTATTTCCCTAAGCACTCTCTAAGTATCTGTCTTCCTATGGGCTCCCACTTCCAGATTCCACTTCTGCAGGGCTCCACAGAAGTCTCCAATCTTTAAATCTTCAGTCTATGAAAGCACAGATTCCTGAAAGGATGGCCTCAAATGACCAGGAGTAGGAGCTCTCTATATCCCTGCTCCTGAAAAACAAGCTAACTGGAGTCTCCATCACCTGCCCCCAACTAGACACACTACCAACTACCCAACTGAACTCCATGACTGATTTGCCAGCCAATCATGCCCCTGAACCAGCCCACATGGACATGGGAAGGACATCAGTGAATCGGGAAAAGAGGCAGAGGTGAGGAGACACCTGTACTGGGCCACAGATCTATGTAGTTCAGCAATCTCCAGCCCCTTAGTACTCCAGGGGCTCTAAGCCACCACTTTGTAAGTCAGAATGGAAGTAGATGACACCACATTTCTATCTGCTGCAGACGCTCCTCCCAGTGTCTCAAAATGTTTTAGCATCTTTCAGTAAAAATCTTCAAGTTTGTCAGTCCTTGATTTAAAAAAAAGCAGCAAACTTTTTAGAGCTCCCTTGAACCTTCTATTTTAACATGCCTTCATAGATAATTCCCAACATCTTGTGTCCTTCATTTTTATAATTTATCTTTATCAAACTTGTCATAAACCCCAATATTTTGATCTCTTATGGAAGAGTCTGTACTCCTATCCAATCCAGTGTTGTTTATCTTCAAACTTGGACTTCCCCTGCTCATTCCATTCTTATCTACTTCCATTGGGTTCCCCAGCTAATTCCATTCTCATTCTACCCACAGACTCACTCCCGTTTGTATTATTAAAACACACGCCAATAGGATATAAAAAGAAGCAAGAGTACTGGGCTTTAACATGAGTCAAATCTCATTTCTGCCAATTCCTATGTCTAAAAAAAAGCATCCTAATCTCTTTGAGCCTCACATTCTCTATCTAGAGAATCATTTGACCAGAATGTTCAACACAGGTAAAAATACTAGAAGGTATTTTAATTCATTCCAAGATTCCTTAAAATTCTGTAATTCTATGTCCTCTTGATTCTTTCTATAGAAAAACTTAGAATACATAGCCAGCAGAGTTTGAAAAAATAATAGAACAAAAGAAATACCAAGAAAAGTAGAGAAGAAAGTTTTAAAAAATGAAGGCAAGATTATAGAAAAGTCACGGAAAAAGCAACAAGACTAAAAAATGTATTATGGAAGTAAGCAGAAATACTTGCCTAAATGGAAAACCAAACTGGGAAGTCAAATAATTTGTCTCTAAGACTTGCCTAAACTTGCTTTTGTAAAACTTACACCCCTATGGCCAAAGCTAAGTAAGATCTGCCCTAGAGCCTTTGATGGTAAAAATAAGATACTGGTTACCACTGAAATTGTCAAATTTATTAGGACAAACTCTTGGACTAACCACATTCTAATGATAAACTTAAATGAGAGTTCAAGGTATTTAAACTCTCATTAATTTAGACATTAATCAAATTAATCAATCTGACTAATCTGATTCAGACCTATACCTTGATCCAAGGGCTGCACAGATATCTGTCAATCTATGCTGAGGAGCAAGAGACAGGATTTGGAAAGCAGGCAGGCTGATGGTCAAACTGTAGGCCAGCTACTTTGTTAACTATGGGATCATGAGGCAATTAATCAGCTCTAATCCATAGTTGTTTATTTAATAAACAGTAGGTTATAGGAACACAGATGTTGTGATGGCTTTATGAGATGATAAATGCATAGAACATATTAGGATGTCTAGCCCAGAATACAACACTCAACAGATATTCGTTTCTTCCATCTATATTTTCTTAGTTAACATAATTTTTTAAATCTATAAAATCCTACCTGACTGCAGATTCATCAGAACTTCCAACATCTATTAAAGAAAAAGGTAAAATGCATTTTAAATCAATAACAAATGTACAGAATATTAAAAGCATAAGTATGCACAGTGATGCATCCCTCTAATCCAAACTACTTGGGAGGCTGAGGCAGGAGGATCACTTGAGGAACCCAGAAGTTTGAGACCAGCTTGGGAAACATAGTAAGACTCTACCTTCATAAAAAAATTGCGCACACTTGTGTGTATGCTTTAGATCCTGTTTTTTGTTGTTGTTGTTTTTGTTTTTGTTTGGTTTGGTTTTTTAAAGCATAAGACTGATGCTTTGTTACAAAGCATTCCTTTGGGAGCATGCCTGGGACCTTATTAGAATTAACATTCGTTATACATATTGGTAGGTAATTAATGCTGTAAGAACTCTTCCCTTTGTATTTATTAGATGCAAAGAAGAATAAATTTATTAAAATTTGGTATCTACAAGTGAACTGCAGTATGCAAGTCAACCTAGCCAAACCCTATGAGGTTGAGTAAAAATGGTATTGTTAGCAGAACAGGTGTGATGAGTCAACAGTGTCAAAGAGCATGATTTCTGGACCAAAATATGAGGCGCCATTAAAACAGAGTATACAGTAGTACCCCTTATCCACTATATGTGCAGAAAGACAAGCTTGACACATTTTTCTCTGCTGTCACACCACAGCAACAATCATCAACAAAGAAGGCTTCTGTGACCAAATGTGTGGAGGGTTTTTCCCCACCAACAAGCAAGCAATCATTCCGGCTGATGACACAATTCAATTCTCACACCCTATCTGCTGGTAACATCAGATTCAATTTAATTTATAAATTAAACTTTAGCATAGATATGTATGTATAGGGAAAAACAGTTTGTGATTCAGTACTATTTATGGTTTCATACATCCACTGGGGGTCTTGGAATGTATCTCCCACAGTTAAGGGGGAGCTACTGCACTTATTTTGTTATAACACAACACAGCCTCTCTAGCTCTTCAGTTCAAACTGCTCAGTTTAGAATAAAACACCCTAACACCAGATGTCAGCAAAACATAGGAATCAGACCAGAAACAGGAATCCTTGCAAAGACTTTCCAGCCGCTAGTGGAAAAGAGCTCAAAAGAGATCAATGTATTACTCTGGCTACTACTCTTTGGGGAAGGTGCTGGGTGGTTTACTTAGTTGTAGCTATTTGCTCTGCCCTACATATAGCAAGGCCCAAATTCACCTGCTATTTTACCTCCCACAGAAAACCCGCTGGAAAGATCACTCCTTTAAGAGCTTATCCGCTAGGAACCACACCTCACATTCAGAGAGAAGCTGAAGAAACACCAGGGAGGTGTGGCAGGCTGCTGGGCAGTACTATATGATGTGAAAAATATATAGAAAGAAAACCATCAATGCCCTTTTACTACCAGAATGTTCCAGTGCTTGCCCTTCTCCCTAGTAGGGGAAAAAAATTCTTTTTCACCTCACAGAAAGCAAAACTCTCTTGCTATCCCTCATGACAGAATCTAGTTGTAGGTGAGTCACATCATCATAATACAGGCTGTTGTCAACCTCATCCCTCAAAGGAAGAGGATCAGTGAGGAACCTATGTATTTACCTATAGCATTCACTGTCCGGTCTTATTTCCAACCGAAGGTAAGTATGAAAGACTTTGTGATTCCAGTTTTATAAAGTACAACCCCTTGCACTTGTCCCCTTCCATTGCTAGAGAGTCTATCTGGACCCACCTCACAGAGCAAGATGCTCCAGTTTGTGCTGTGTGGTACAGCATGGTGTCCTTTTCCACAACCCTTTCTATTATGTGCCACATATCTATACAAATCATGTTTTCTAAGTATGTAAAGCATATGTCATCAGAATATATCATTCTTTACAATGATAAAGAAGCAAAAGAAAAACAAAAGGACAAAGAAGATCTTAAATGACTACATTCAACTGCCATGGAGCTTTAATTTTTTAACTATTCAAAAAGATATCCACTGTATTATTCCAACTATGTGACTCTTCTGAAAAAATGAAACTATGAAGACAGAGTAAACATCAATGGTTGCCAAGAGTTGCTAGGGAGAAAGGGAGAGATGAACAGGCATAGCATAGAGAATTCTTAGGGCTGTGAAACTGTTCTGTTGATAATATTACAGTAATAGATACATGTCATGTCATTATACACTTGTCCAAATTCACAGAATGTACAGCATCAAGAGTGAAGCCTGATGTAAACTATGAACTTTGAATGATTATAATGTGTCAATGTAAGTTCATCAGTTGTAACAAATGTACCACTCTCTGGTGGAAAATAGTAATAATGGGGGAGGCTATGCAGGTGTGGGAGGCATGGGATATATGAAAAATCTCTGTACCTTCCTCTCAATTTTGCTGTGAACCTAAAACTGCTCTAAGAAATAAGGTTATTGATTTAAAAAAGATATTCAGCTGGGCTCAGTGGCTTATGCCTGTAATCTCAGCACTTTGGGAGGCAAAGGTGGGTGGATCACCTGAGGTCAGGAGTTCAAGACCGGCCTGGCCAACATGGCAAAACCTCGTCTCTAATAAAAATACAAAAATTAGCTGGGCATGGTGGCTGGCACCTGTAATTTCAGCTACTCAGGAGGCTGAGGCAGGAGAATCGCTTGAGCCTAGAAGGCGGAGGTTGCAGTTAACTGAGATTGCACCACTGCACTGCAGCCTGTGAGACAGAGTGAGACTCCATCTCAAAAAACAAAAAGATATTCACTGTCTATGCATCCCAGGATCTCCAGAACAACAATTAAATAAATAAATAAATAAATAAATAAATAAATGGCTGGGGGCAGTGGCTCATGCCTGTAATCCCAGCACTTTGAGAGGCCAAGGTAGGTGGATAACCTGAGGTCAGGAGTTCGAGACCAGCCTGACTAACATGGTGAAACCCCATCTCTACTAAATACAAAAAATTAGCCAGACATGATTGTGCATGCCTGTAGTTCCAGGTACCTAGGAGGCTGAGGCAGGAGAATCATTTGAAACTGGGAGGTGGAGGTTGCAATGAGCCAAGATTGTGTCATTGCCCTGCAGCCTGGGTAACAAGAGCAAAACTCCGTCTCAAAAAAATAAGTAAATAAAATAAAAAATAAAGATATTCACTGAACCTGTTACTATGATATATTTAAGCAAGACACGGTGACCCTAAAAATTAGAGATCATTGAAGACCAAAGTAACAACATGCGGTCATTACTTCTCAAATTGAACTATATAAAATATATAAAATAAATAAATTTAATTGCATGCTTAGGTAAGAAAATATTGATAAAAATAATTGAATATTTTATCTTATTTCATAATTCTAAACAGGGATTTAGCACAATATGAAAACTAGACTATTCATGTAATCAAAATAAAAGACAATTTTTATTCTAATTTTAACTCAAATTATTTTGCTTATTTAATTTAACAATTTTACTGAAAGGTTAATGAGATAAATAGGACAGATTATAATTACCTAACATTGCTATGGTAACTTATATACAAATAGCTGTTCATCACCAAAAGTCAAAAAGGTAACAAGCACTGCAACTTAAGATGGATCACACAACAGAAATTAGTACCAAGTTACCTTATCTTATAATATTATGTTATTAAAATGAAATTTTAAAACAACACCAAAAATTAAGTTGGGGTTACAAGTGTTGTGCAGAAAAGATTTCATATAGCAGGCAAGAGGCTGCCATCCTTAGAAAGGCCTGCATGCAAGGCTGGCCCTTAGCTGGTGTTTAGGAAATTGGAAATGGGAGGGTTTCCACCATTCCCTGAGAAGAGTGGCTCACTGTGTCTAAAGTGCTTATAGAAAGTGTATTACTCTAAACAGCTGCTTTCCTTGCAAGAGTCTGGAATTTGGGTACATGTGAGGGAGAGTAACCTCCATAGAAAAACTTGGGCACTTAGTCTCTAATGAGACTCTGGTACTGGTAGACATCACTGCACATATGTTGTCAAAATGTGAGCCTGGGAGAATTAAGCAGATCCCGGGAACTCCACAGGACAGAACTCCTGGAGGCTTGTGCCTTGTTTCCTCCAGAATTGACCACATGCACCTTTTTCCTCTACTAATTTTGCTTGTCCCCTTCCTTGTTATCAATTAAAGATCTGAGTATGACTATTTCCTGAGTCCTGTGAGTCCTTCTAATGAACCACCAAACCTGGGGTGGTCTTGGGAAACCTTGACACAAATTCATTGTGTAAGATTTGTATTAAGTTGATATGATACGTGTAACTGTAATCAGATGGTTATTTCACAGAATAACTTTACCTCATCTGTTTTTCTTTTCTTTTTTTGCCTTGATATTTGACTTGGAGATTCTTGTATTTCTATATCTATCCAATTGAATAAAGCCATAGAAGGAATAAATGAAAAAATAATGTCAGAAAATAATGTGAAATAAGCAGCAATCCTCTTTTATCTGAATAAAAAATAGAGAATCTGGGTGATTGGCAATATGTTCTACAATATGAAAGTTTCTAGAAACAAAAATGAAAAAGTGGTCAATTTTCTGCAACTCAACTGGGCTTCATTCCTTTTCATAATAATTTTGAAGGCCAGGTGCAGTGGCTCACACTTGTAAATCCGAGCATTTTGGGAGGTTGAGGCAGGAGGATCACTTGAGCCCAGAAGTTCCAGACCGGCCTCGGCAATATAGTGAGACCTCATCTATTAAACAAACAAACAAAAAAAACCCTTAAAAAGAAAATTAGCCAAGTGTGGTAGTACATGCCTATAGTCCCAGCTACTTGGGAGGCTAAGGTGAAAGGATCATTTAAGGCCAGCAAGCAGAAGTTGCAGTGAGCCAAGATGGCACCACTGCACACCAGTACTGACAACAGAGGGAGACCCTGTATTAAAAATAAATAAACAAATAAATAATTGTGTATCAGGCCAGATGTAACCACACAAAACTGTAGTCCCAGCTACTCAGGAGGATGAGGTAGGAGGACTGCTTGAGCCCAGGAGTTCAAGGCTACGGTGAGCTATGATTTCACCAATGAATAGACACTGTATTCTAGCCTAGGCAACATAGAGAGACACCATCTCCTATGATAATAATAATTGATTAATTGTGCATCATTCAAGTAAATTGTATAACTGGAGAAAAACATATGACTATTGAATATACTATTATAGTCTACTACTGACCATAGAGTTCCTGTTTACTTGCTTCTAATCTTTTTCTTCATTTCTCATAAAACTAAAAACATGATTTAAACCCATTAAAGGCAGTTCATCACAAAACAAGTCAAAAAGTCAAAAGAATTGAATCCAAACAGTAGGATGCATTATCCACCGCTCTCTGTGAACAGTTGGATTTGGTCATTAAGAATCAGCAGGACTTTTAACTTTGTGTCTGTGGGCACACGTGTGTGCACATGTGCACGTGTGTATGTGTATGTATGTAAACTATGACAGATAAAATCATTTTGCTTGTGTATGAATATGTAATATAACTTGTGCTCCTCACAAAGGAATTGCTTTTCCATCTTCTGTGCTCAGTAGCTGTCTTCAAAAAATAATCTCCTATTTGTATGGGTGCACACTGGTTCAGTTCTACAGTTCTTATTGCCATTTATTTATGGTACCAGAAAGGGATTGCTGAGTTCCTGGTTCTAAAGATAGTTACTTTCTTAGTGACACAAATCAATATGTAATACAGTTCACCCTTGAACAGCAAGGGTTTCAACTGCAGGGATTCACTTATATGCAGATTTTCCTCTGCCTCTGCAACAGAGAGACAGCAAGATCCACCTCTCCTCTTCCTCCTCAGCCTAATCAACCTGAAGATCATGAAGACCTTTGTCAGGACTACTTATGCTTTATGAAAAGTCAATATGTTTTTCCTGATGATTTCCTTTCTAACAGCTTCATTTCTCTAGCTTATTTTATTGTACGAACACAGTATATAATAATGCAGCACAAACAAAATAGGTGTTCATCAACTGTTTATGTTATCAGGAAGGCTTCCAGTCAATTGTGGGCTATTAGTAGCTAAGGTGAAGGAATCAAAAGTTATACTCAGATTTTCAACTGCACAGGGATCAGAGTCCCTCACCCCCACATTATTCATGGGTCAACTGTAGTTATTTGTTTACTAAATATAAACAATTTATTATAAAAATGAAATCAAAGATCCATTTGTATAACAAGTCCAATTTGTTATAATGTGACTATAGAGGAAACATACAACATACTAACTTAAAAATCTTTTTTCTTATTTATGCAAAAATATTATATAGGATTTTAGGGATCATAATTAAATAAATGAATGTTTTCAGACAATAATGTTTGAGATTATAAATTAGCTACAACTACCTTCTTAAATAAATCTGAATTTCAAACTAAAGAAGTTAAATTTTAAAAATTAATTTACATATGTATATACATATATACACATTCAATTTACACATATTTTTAAACTGGTCTTTTTTGACTGAAACTACCTTAATCTTACATCTTACTTTGTATTTTCTTATCAAGAGTAGGACCACCAAGAGAAGTAAGAAATTCGCAATCAGAAGTCTTACCTGATTTCTCCGTTTTAAGTGTCTTCTTTTTATGTTCCAAAATTTGTTGTTGAATTCTATGTATACAAAAGTAATAAATAAAATTGCTATTTTTATAATGAAATAAAAAATATTCACCAAACATATTAAATTCCAAAACACTTTCAAGCAATATCAGACCTAATATCAGAATTTTAATGTCCCATACACTTCAAATTTGTAAACCTTACAAGCTTATTAAGCTTATAATTAAAGAAGAAAAGAAAGTGAAGTACTCATAAATGGAGGAAGCACAGCTCAGTAAATGAACTCTAGTGAGCTGGATATCATGCAAAGTGTCCTGCACTCAGAGTAAGTCCTTGCTCTGTAACCAAAATACCTCGCTCTGTAGGTATTTTGTCTTCAGACAAGTTGCTTCTCTTAGGCTCCATGGTTTATTCCAAAAAATAAGGATTCTGCTACCTTACTTCACTAGGTTGTTTGGAAGATGTAATGAGATTACACGTTTAAATGTTCAGAGAAATAGTAAAGCAATGGAATAATTTATTCTTGAACTTTATTGCTGAAACCATTTTGGAATCCCAAATAATGCTCGGTGTGTGTTTTTCTGTAAGTTCTAATACTCAAATGTTGCAGTTTTCAGAAAATGTTATTAAGTGCTAATTTTGGTTATTACTTGTATTCATTGTGGCTTGTAATTCAGGGCATTTTACCTAATTCATAACTTATTACTAAATTTCTATATATATAAATTTAGTGAGCTCATCACTGAGCTCATCAATCACACCAAGGGCAGAAAACCAATAGGTGTCAAAACCTGGCTTGGACAACTACCACTCCTTCTCTACCTCCTCAAACTCTGAGCCAGCAGATCTGTGCTTGGCTGCTGGATCTCCATGGTCCTCTCCAACTAACAGACAAGACAAAACCCTGCTTTGATTGTTTTTCAGTTCCATGAAGGAAATGCAAGTTGACATTTTCTCATTTCCAAGACATGTACTAACAACATGTAACATCCCCTTATTACTCAGCTCTGTTCCCATTTCAGAGATCACCATACATCAATAGTTTCATAGCGATAATCACAATTTCAATATTGCGTGTCACCTGTTTTGGTTTTGCTCACACTGCTTCCTCGGAGCTACTCAACAAATAGTCAAATGGCCTTCCTGGGACTAGGCAAAATACGGAATGTTTTCTGAATTTGTGTGCCATCCCTAGGCAGTAGCCATGCTTATCTGCTCTGTATTGATCCAATTTTAAAATATGTGCTGTTGAAATAAGTACAAAGCCCTGTTTGATACATGGATATTCATGAGTCATGGATGAGGCTTAGCTCTATTAAATCCAACTCACTTACTTCAGATTCAGAGAATTTTATTGAATGGCTTCTTGTGAGGTAGAATTTTAAAATATATTGAAAACTTGAGGAAGAGCTGCAAGTAGCCCAGGAGATTTTCATGATTATAGAGACACATTACTTGAGGGGCCAACTGCAAGCTGGTTCCCACTACTCAGTGGAAAGATAACATGGAACATTCCGCTATCTAACCAAAGCTGCTGCACAGGATATAAAAAAGCCTCAAGGTACAGATCTGATAGCAAAAGAGACAGGGAACTCTGATCTCTTCCTGCAACATTATTTGAACATCCCTGACTATTGAGAACAATCCCAACACTGGGTAAAGGAAAGACAAACATGGCTCTCAAAGGATAACATACCATGAAGGCCTAGGCAAAGTCTAGCTAAGATGTGGGCTCCAAATAAGGTTTTTAGTGTAGGGTGAGCATCAACTTGCTCAATATTTGTGTGGATAAAGCTAAGAGGCCTAGCTGCCAGAGCAGGGTGCTGGGAACAATGACTGAGCACAAGTACATAAACTAATAAACACCATAGCTTTGACCTCTATATATGAATCACCATGAAAACTGAGGGGTCTGAATCAGTGAAGGCATCCTGGTGGCAAAGGTCAATCATTATCAGATTGCAGGACCGGTTATAATGGCAATAGTACAGCAAGTGAGTCCATGGAAACAACAGAATGATTAGAATGGCCTTTTTTCCCCTTCTTCTGACTTGTAAAGAAAGATTGCCTTCCTTGGACTTAGGAAACCCCTTAGCTTCTTGGAAAATTCAAAGAAGGAAGACACAGGAGAGAGCCCCAGGGGACAATACAAGATTTTCTGTTAAACTGGACATTACAAGACTCAATAACTAATTAGAAAAGTCAGGCCAGGCATGGTGGCTAGCACTTTCAGAGGCCGAGGCAGGGGGATTACTTGACCTCAAAAGTTCAAGACCAGCCAGGGCAACAGAGTGAGACCTTGTCTCTACAAAAAAAAAAAAAAAAAAAAAAGGAAAGGAAAGGAAAAGAAATCAAAGACATGGCTCTTTTTATCCCATGCATGGGGATTATACTTAGAATAAAATGAATAACATTGAGATCCCTAGGGATAAAGGTCTCAAAAATCCAGAAAAAATCTCGCACTCTACTTCTAACTAATCTAGACTTCTGCTTGATTTCTGGCTAAAAGGTAGACTAACTCTTCGCTATTTCAAACTATCTGAACCAAACTATGAACTCTCACCTAATGTATAAGATGGAGTAGTTGCAATTATTTTAAACTTCAATTTAGCATTAACTGGCCTTTTAACATAAACACTTACTTTGTCAAATGATGAGAAATAGCGTAATCTTCTGCATCTCGTCCACACATGTCTTGAGCGAAGATAATATTTTGCTTAAGAAGGATATTGACAATACCTGGTGAGTCATAGTATACAGCAAGTATGAGAGCTGACCTAAAATAACAAAGAAATAACTCCACTCAAGAACTTTAATAAAGACTTTTTTAAAAAGCTAGTTTGATACACTTTACCAATTTAATATCCGCCTGTCAGTGTAGATGTAATAACCATTTGCATGTACTAGCTTGGGTCTATAAGCATCTAGGATGCTCAAGTGTTCATCTTTGTAAATTGTCACCAAGGCTAAAAGAAAGGGACAACAGGGAAGCCTCTTGTCCCACTGGTGTAAGACATAATACAAGTTGCTAACTTATAGTCCTTTGATGGCCAAGAAACTGTGCTGAGGTCACTTATCTAAAGTAGGCAAAGATTTAGATGAAGATGTCCCCATTGCTTTCCTAGTCAAATCAGCTAGGGGTCAGATAAGAGTTATCTGCAGGCTGAAAACAACAACAATAATAATAATGACAATGCTAGTAGTCATAAACTAGAAGTTCACACTTTAAAAATGAATAAAACTTGTCAGGTGCAGAGTCTCATGCCTGTAATCCCAGCACTTTGGGAAGCCGGGGAGAGCAGATCACGAGGTCAAGAGATCGAGACCATCCTGGCCAACATGGTGAAATCCCATCTCTACTAAAAATACAAAAATTAGCTGGGCATGGTGGCGTGCACCTGTAGTCCCAGCTACTTGGGAGGCCGAGGCAGGAGAATCGCTTGAACCTGGGAGGTGGAGAATGCAGTGAGCTGAGATCACACCACTGCACTCCAGCCTGGCAACAGAGCAAGACTCTATCTCAAAAAAAAAAAAAATTAATAAAACTAATACAAAACCCTTTAGCTAATAAAAGATTATGGTACCAAAAACATCTCATTATAAATATCAAACACTGTATATTATAAGAGAAGATGAATCCTACTATATACTATTCTTTATGTTACTCAGTCCAAATATTTGCTGGTCTACCTGATTATTCATGGTGATATTTTTCATTATATGCCAATAATTATGTTAATCTTCTTATTAATATTTCTGACTTGAGTGACCACTCTAGAATACTCAGGTTTTATTTTTAAAAAAAGAACTACTGTACCGTCTCAGCCTATCAACGGCATTGTGCACTTGCTTTCTTTTTCAATAAAAATTCCACCATTTTCTCTTTCTTGCAAATTATAGCGAATAAAAGTGGGGTATTATTGTCCTATAAAACAGCAGAAATAAATTAATAATTCACAAAATTACATATTTCTCAACTGAACTGAAAATCTTCTCTAGGATGCTTTGAACTTCAATATACAATATAGAAAGGAAGTAAATGAAAAGCAGTCCCTTCATTCTCACTCCTCTGTGCTTTCTGATGTGCTGCACTTTGCCTTGCAAACAACCCTCCTCTGTCTTCCCGGATTAACTGTGGTCATTGCCAAAACTCACTTTAAACATTTACTAGTCCCAAGAATCCTTGCTTTGATCACAGCACTTAGCATGGTACATTGTAGTCATTTCACTGTTTCCCACTGAAACCAAGAGCTTCTTGAGGCAAGGGCCTAAAACCCTAAGACACAGTAGCAAATATTTTAAGTTTTTTACATTAATTAATGATCTAAATTACTATCTCTAAAGCAGTGTTTCTTAAACTATATTCCAAAGAATATTTGCTTTATCAGAAGTATTATACCCCAAGAGAAAGACTCCATGACCATCTGTATTTGAGAAGTATTACAAAACTGTATTTTATGTCCAATAATCAAGAAATCTCTTTAATTTTACCTAATCCCCCTTTCACAATACTATTTGTGGCAAACATTAACATTTGAGGAATTTAGAGTTTCAGAGATACAGTTGCCAGAGCTTCCCAATACAGGTGGCAGTTTCCTCTGGGTGGTACAAACTTGCTTGATTCACTTCTATCAATGGTGTCAGGATCCCAGATGCCAATGTCAGGCACTCCTGCTCCAAATGGGTCACCATGGAAATGAGCTTTGAATTAAGAGAGATTGGCTTCAAATGCATTTATTTTCCTTATTATTAAATAGTCCATGGGTTTTTCCCCTAATACAAGAGAAGAGATTTTTATCTTTACTGTTAGAAAGCTCAGTATATTCTGTGTAAGAGAGATAGATTTAAAAAACTTAAGAACAAATATTTTAAAAGCCAAAACTCAGTAAGAAATACTATTCTCAATTATAATGGTAATCCCGGGACCCTAGTGCAGCTCTACTTTTTAAATCCATTTTTACTGGCTTCCACTTAAATGGCTACTTAAAATTATTTTTTATTTTAGACAAAATATAAATTGGAAATAAAAACATAATGGCTTATCAATAAAAGTTCTCATACTGATCCATATGGATTATTTCTGGCATAATACAAGCCAATAAGTCACTTGCATCTTTAAGGAAGAGAACTGAGGAGAAAGATGTACTGTCTGCAATATTCATAAATTATCCAACTATAACCAGGAATAACCTAAAAAGGCTTCTAGGCATTCTTATGGGCAGAGAATTATTTGTGGTATATATAAAGAAAAGAGTTAAAAACTTCTAAACTCTAAAATTCAACTCCATAACTGAGGGATTTATATACTCTATAGACTATATATTATAAACAAATACATGCTGACTTAAAAACCTTGAAATTTTTATCAAAATATACTATAATATAGGAGTTGTAAACTCAGATACTTACAAAGACAAAGGAAGGTTGCCTGAGTAAGGGAAGTACCAAGGTGGGCACAGTAGCAAACTGGAGAATACCTGCCTTCTATAAAGGGGCAACTTCTGCACAGCAGACCAAAGAATGATAGAAACTCAGGGGACACCAGTTTTGATTTTTTAGGATACGGCTGAAGTCCACATTTCTTCACGAGTCTTCTAAATTTTACATGTTGATTCAACTTATAGAGGCGAACAAACAAATCTATGTACCACATTAGAATATAGCCCTTGTTTTTTTATATTTGCTATTAATATGTTACTAAATGGTTGTGTAAAATCCAAGTATTTGCATGTAAAATATTTTCTTTCTCTGGTATCATATGTTCTACCAAAAAATCAGGCTCTCATATATAATAAAAATTGCTAAAAAGACTCACAATACCTGCTTCAAGAATTTTTCCAACATGTATTCATTTAAAATGTTTGTATATAATTTTCCCAGATTGTTAACCAAATAGATAATTGGTTCACAAGACTGCTAAAACTAAATTATTAAAAGAATTCCTATCTATATTCTTATTAACTTCATGGATTTCAGTGTTTAAAACTGACATTTTGGGTATGCTAAAGTTCTATAAACTTAACAAACATACTGAGATAGTTCATAATAAAACTTCAACTAAAAAAAATAGTTTAGGATTTGCTACTATTCTAATTGAGAAAGCCCAAATTGTAATGAACATTTGTTGACACATAATCACCTGCGTTGTGACAAAGGGACATGAAATCATGAAATGGTCAGCCTCTACGTATTGAAAGATTACTCATAAGCAAATTTCTGAAGACTCTCTGAATGGTAGTGAATGATTCATGGTGGGAAGCAAAACATGTTATTCTGTAAGCTGAGAGATATTGCCAATGATATTTCCTTTCACTTCCCAGTCACGGATGTAGAGAAAGACAGATAAGTCAGGCTAATATTATTGAAAAGGAGAACTTTGAAGGAGTGGCAACTATCAAATGCCAACTCTTCTAGAGATTTCTTACATTTTTGAGATACAGAAATTTATATATTGCACTTATCTATTCTGGGGTTTTTAATCACGAGTGTATCCCAACCTTGAGGGTTTTTTTTTTTTTTGTGGTTTTTTCTTTTTGGCTATTATTGTTGTTAGAGACAAGAGTCTCACTATGTTGCTCAAGCTGGATTCAAACTCTTAGGCTCAAGCTGGGACTACAGGAATACACCACTGTGCCCAGCTTCAAGAAAACATTTTTAAACACGTTCAGGCCTTATTAGGTCTATTACATCAAAATCTTCAGGGGAAAGCCTACAATTGTAGATTTTTAACAAAATGTCCTCAGGTCACTGTAATGCACAATTCTGAGAATTAGTGCAGCAGACAATCACTTCAGTCTCACCTCTCACCCACATGGCTAATTCCTTTATCAGTTGGAGATGTGGCCAAAAAGAGAAAAGAGTAAGAGATAGTGTCATTTATTAAAACTCCAGTTAAGTTTCCTGGCTATGGGTAGAACAGGGACAAGTAAACTCAAAATCCCACTTGATTTTGCTATTTACAAGCTCCTTATCTCCCACCTTCCCACTAAGACATTCTAGATTTGAGAGGAGGCTTTAGGTTCTTATCTAAGTGGCTGTTTCTGCCAGGATGAGCAATAAGTCAGTTAATAATTTGTTCCACCTTCTGCTGAAGTGTTTCTCACTTCGTCACCACATATTCACTGCCAATCTGGTTTCCTCAGAGTCCTCCTAAAATTCATCTCTAGGCAAGTTGCAACTCATTCTTTTTCAAACCAAAAATTATTAGACCCAAAGCTAAACAGCACCTTGTCTCAACACATAAAACAAACTTAAAAACAAAAAAAAACCTCTTCCTGGCATTTTCCCTCATTATCTAATATCCAAGTGACCTGCATATTTCTGATTGCTCTCTTTCTCCCCTCCCATTTTTACCTCTTAAGCCTTGCCACTGAGAGATGATACATCAGTTTTTCAGAAAATTAGCAGCAACAGCAACATGTCCCTTTATTGTAAGTTGCTTTAGTTTTGTTTGAGTTTTAAGATAAAGCCTATTTCCAGGGAATATTTTCTTTCATGTGTTGTTTTACACTAGTTAAGAGAAAAAAAAAAAAAAAAAAAGAATAAGCCTGTGTAGAAAAAAAGTTGAAAAGGTTTTACCTTTAACAAATTCACAAATATTTTCCAAAGTGCATTTTATAAAGCTGTGCCCTTTAATGCTTCTTTAAAAGTATCAATATTTAAAATAAAATCTTAGACAATTAAGTTATTTCAAAATAACTTAATTTGTATTTGCATTCAGGGAATGGTTGAGCTTCCAAATATAAAAAATTGACCCTTACCTATGTCAATGTTAAAACAAATATTTTGGAAAGAAAGTTGATTGACCTATACCTTGTCCAGTGCTTCAATATGTGCACCATGGGAAAGCAGTTTTTCTGCCAGTGAGGTGCTGTCACTATACACAGCATAATGGAGAGCAGTGTTGCCATAGATATCCTTAAGGTTTGGATTGGCACCATGTTCCAGCAGAATAACGGCACAAGCCTCTTCCTGGCAATGGACAGCCTGTCCGTGTTAGATCAAGAAACAGATTGTAAATTCCAAGAATTCAAAATACACATTCCACAGGTTTCACCAACTAGTTATATGTAAATGAGATCAATTTATTTTAATTCTATATATGTAAATCAAATCCATGTCATGCTGAAAGAGTTGGCTCTAATATACCTGTATCAAAGGCATCCTGTTTTCTTTGTCACAGATATCAATCTGGCATTTTCTGCTAACCAGGAGATTGACCACTTGCACATGGCCACTGGCACAGGCCAAGTATAGAGCAGTTCTATGAGAGTAAGAGGATTTTTTAAGAAACTGTAGTACAATATCTCAAAACATACAATCATTCATGTAATTGTAAAAATTGAATAGCATGTTTTTCCTCTGTCTTCAAAACAAATAATTTTTTGAAGAAAGTACAATACTTAATAGCTCTTATTGCTCACTGCCTTAATGAAAACAGCAGCCTATTTGAGTAGAAAGAGCTCAGTCTTTGGATTCGGTTCAACTAGGGCTTGAGTCCTACTTTAAGCCTTGACACTTACCAACTATTGCTTAGCCTTTCTGTGCCTCAACTTCCTCATTAATAAAGATGACAATAGTAGCTATCTCATAGGACACCATCGTGATGCTTAAATGAGAAGCTATGTAAAGTATGTAGAACAGTTCCTACAACAACTCAATAATTGTAAGATTTTTGTTTTTTGAGACAAAGTCTCACTCTTTTGCCCAGGCTGGAGTGCAATGGTGTAACTATACCTGGAACTCCTGGGTCAAATGATCCTCCATCCCCAGCCTCCTGAGTAGCTGGGACTACAGATGAGCACCAGCATGCCCAGCTATTTATTTAAAAATTTTTGTAGAGTAAGAATCTCACTTTGTTGCCCAGGCTGGTCTCAAACTCCTGGCATCAAGCAATCCTCTCACCTCAGCCTCCCAAAGTTCTGGGATTACAGGTGTGAGCCACTGCACCCAGCCAGATATAATAATTATTACTATTACTACTACTTAACAAAACCATTTTAATTAGGTAGAATGATACAGTTATACCTACTTTGCAGGATGACTTAATGAGTAGGTCACATTTTAACACCTCTGACATTGGAATGCCACTTATAATTCATGATTTGTTATAACTATAATTGGTAGCATTTTAAAAATTATCTTATTGATATATAAAATAGCGGGGCATCACACAATCCATGAGACCTTACATTAAGTAGAATATGGTATACTCAGCAGGTCTAGGGCAGTTCTAGGCATGCAACTGAAACTTAAATACATTTTAGTTCTTAAAGGTACTATGGGGAAAGAGCACTGAAATAACAATAATGCATTTTTTAAACAAATTAATTCTTTGATTTTCAAACAACTTGAAGCCAAAGGAAACTCATGATTCAAATGAATACATATGGCTCACTGTATTCAATATTTATACTTAGAGAATATATGCAAATAAGACTTTCCAATGATTAATATTAGTATTTAAGACTGATAAACTTTCGAAAGAGCAGTTAAAGGTTATCTTCTACTATTTTCTAACTTCAGAAATGCTTTTGTTTGAAAGGTGGGAGATAAAGTTTCAAGGAGATTAAGTCCCAATATTCCTATTTTAAATCTCTCAGCTTGTGCAGGCGGGGCAGGTAAACATGAAGTGTTTAAGGATGGACGGGTCCTGAGAGATGGTAGAATATGTCTGCTACATAGCAGGTACTCAGGTTATGCTTGATCCATAAATGGAATGAAAGAATGGATAAATACAGTTGGGGAGTTCAATATTTTTAAATAAACTCCTATAAAGCAATATTTTTGCAATAATAATAATTTATATGTGTTATTTTATTTTTAAAGAATACAATTAAATTGAAATGATTAATCTATCTTTGCATAAATGAATGAGTATATAAGAAAAACATATGTACATAATATATAGATAATAAAATCTGGAAACAGATAAAAACATTCCCTTTTTACTTCTGAAGAGGCTAAAAGCTCAAAGAAGATAACAACACACACAATAATGATAAAAAATAGAAAGTGAGAAATTATTTTCATCAGCGCAAGATTCATATTCCTCTCTTCCCAAGGATTATTCCATTAATAATAAACTTTTACTAGAAGTTTTGTACTCACTGCAGCAATCACAGATAAGAAAAAGGAAAAAAACTTTACTTAAAATACAAATGCTCAGAAATTACAAATTTTATATTTTGTACATATTTTTGCTAAAACAAGACCATAGTATGTTTGTGTATGTATAATTTAACTAATTTTTTCTCCTTGCTAGCTATAACAAAATACATCTTTGCACATCAACGTACTTCTGTATCTATTGCTACCTTCAGTGGTCACATATTATTCCATCCTATGGATGTAACTGAAATTTATTTATAGGATCCATTCTATGGGTTCTTTTTAAAGTAAGTACTGTGAAAAATAAAGTGCATGTATCTTTATTTCCTAAGGGTATTTTAGTATAATGGAATTCGTGGGTAAAGGGCATACACATTTTTTAAATGTAGTACTTACCATTTTCAAATGAGTACTTTGAAAAGTAATCAGCAACTTAAACTTTAAGCAGCAGTATAAAACATCCTCACAAATATTGTGGATAGAAAACTGTTTCATTCCTCTTTTAGTTTAAATTCTTATACCAGAAATGCGAAGGATTTTTTCCTATGTATATAAGTAACTTGTAGATCTGGAAAAAGGTACTTTGCCCACTTTTAGAGTGTTTGAAGATTTGATTTGAAAGAATTCCCTGTAAAATGAAGATGTACTTTTCATCTCATGTGTATATATAACTGATATATATAACATATTATATGTTATATATGTATACATATCAGTAATATATATATATATCTTATGATATATAATAAACAACATAGGCCAGGCGCGGTGGCTCAAACCTGTAATCCCAGCGCTTTGGGAGGCGGAGGCGGGCAGATGACTTGAGGTCAGGAGTTCGAGACCAGCCTGGCCAACGTGGTGAAACTAAATATACAAAAATTAGCCAGGCATGCTGGCACCTGCCTGCAATCCCAGCTACTTGGGAGGCTGAGGTAGGAAAATTGCTTGAACCCGGCAGGCAGAGGTTGCAGTGAGCCAAGATTGTGCCATTGGACACCAGCCTGGGCAAAGAAGCGAGACTCCGACTCAAAAAAAAAAAAAAAGAATATAATGAATTCCCTATGAAATGAAAACATACTTTTCATCTGAAAAAAAAAAATATATATATAATATAGTAAATATTTTTCAAGTAAGCTCTCTTATCTGAGAACTTCTCGCCCACTGAAATAACTCACGGTATTTTTGATAGGGGAACGAGTTCTCTCATTAGGCACCCCCTATAATGTATATAAACCATGTTTTAAACGTGTACGTTAAAAATAACAACGCTGTATATGCTTAACTTTGTGAGTTAAATCACTCAAATTCTCCAACTGCTCCAGCCAGGGAATTATGAGGGATGGAAAACAGCTGAGAGTCCATTTGGCTCCGCCCCTCCGAGGGTGCCCAGCGCCCTGCAAGGCCCCGTCCCAGGGTCTGCGGGGAAGCCGGGCCTGGGGGCCCCCTCCCACCCCAGGCTGAGCCCCCCGCTACCTGTGCTGCTTGTCCAGGGCGTGCAGGTCTCCGCTCCTGTGCGCCAGGCAGCGCTCCACCTCCGCGGCGTCGCCTTTGACAGCTGCCCTGTGGATCTTCTGCAGTTCGGAGTCGCGGATTCGGTATCCGGAACCCGTGTAGACGTGGTCTATGGAGCCCTGGGCCGTCTGGCCCCTGCGGCTCCCGAAGCCGAATAACTTCATAGTGGTGACTTCTTCTCAGACCCCCAACCACCGGCTCTTGAGCGAGGGCAGCTGCCTGTCACCTTTTCACCACCCGCCTCCCCGACCCCGGCCGACCCAGCCCCAAATCCCCTATCCAACCCCAAAGCCCCGATACAACCCCAAATCCGCTATTTCAAATCTATGATCTACTCCACAATCCTCGATCCAGCCCAGTCCACCACAGCCTTCAGCAGCAACACTCGCAGCCTCCGACCTCTCAGACCGAGTGAGCCTCGCAAAGCCGTTGGGCGCGCGCCTGCACGGCGGTTGCTGCCAGGCTCCCGGAAGACGCTCCCTGGTGGCGCGCGCCTGCACCGCGGTTGCTGCCCGGCTCCCGGAAACCGCTCCCTGGCGGCGCGCGCCGGCAGGTGGGGCTGCAGCTCTGGGCAGGCGCCGATGGGCTCGCCAGTTCTCCTGGGATCGCCCGGGCGGCCCCAGGATCGCAGGCGCGCAGCCAGCCAGGCCTGAGAAGGAGGGCCTGTCTGGCCTTGCAGCCCACCCCGCTCCTCCTCGGAAGGGAGATAGGGTGCTGGCAAGGGCACTCCGCGGCCACCTGAGTGGCTTCGCGGATTGTCTGGCTGAACGCTGAGGCTCTGGCCCTGGAGTCTGTGTGGCTAGTGTCAGGTAGCTGGAGAGGGATGGAGGCAGAGTCAGGGGCTGCTCCTTCCCCCACCCGCCCTCACTGCTGCCAGTGCCACACGCGCGGTTTGCAGCTGCAGATCTGGCACTGGCGCAGGATGGCGGAGCTTCCCTTGGATGGCCTCAGGGCCGCCGAGCGCACAGCCCACCTGGCCTCAACGTCCGCTCCTCTTGGACATCTTTCTGGATCCTGGGCCCTGGCGTTGGGCACTCTGTATCCACACGGATGAAACAGCGGCTGCTGGCGGGGCCGGTTGCCTGATTTTGCCGCCTGGGGGTCTGGCCTCAGGATCCACGCTACTGCGGGGCGGGCCTGGTCTGGAGTGTCCAGTCACTTGCTGCCAGTGCACCACGTCTAGACTGCAGCTGCGGCTCCGATGCCGGCGTGAGCTGGCGGGCCTGGTACCTGATGTCCTCAGGGTCAAGTGCATCGCCCGCCCACTTGAGGGGTTGCTCTGACTTGGCCTCCTCCAAGAACGCAAGGGCCGCCGGGGCTGGCTCTTCGTGGTAACCGGGATGGTACTGAGCAGCAGGTTTTCACCCTGGTGCCGCTGCTGTGCGGACTGCCTGACTTGGGCGCCCAGGCACCCGCCCCAGGGTCCGCGTGGCAGGTGTGCAGGTAGGGTGAGTGGCGCGGAGGGTCGGGGGTTGCTCCGTCATCTCTGCCCGTGTGCAACTTGCAGTTTTGCAGTTTTCTGCAGCAGCTGAGGCGCTGGTGCGGGAAGGCGGAGCTCCCCTGGATGGCGTCAGGTTTGCGGGCACAGAGCACAGCCCACCAGGCCTGAAGGTCCGCTCAGGGGCCATAGTGGTTGAGTTCTCTGTGGAACTGGGATGGGGTGAACGGCCAGTTCCCGTCCTTTGGCCGCCTGGCCAACTGCCAGACTTAACCGCTGCCGCCCGGGCATCTGTCTTTAGCATTGCCGCTACTTGGGTAGAAGTGGGGGTCGGGGTGGGGCGTGGAGCGTCACCGGTTGCCAGGCCAGCACTGTCTTTGCAACATATTCAGATGGCGGCGGGCAGCTTGGGCGCCAGCATGGGCTGGCGGGGCTCCCCTGGACGGCCCTCAGGTCGCTTACAGCATTGTCCCAGGACTTCCTCGGCCTGTGCCAGGTGGGCAAGGTACGGGGGGAGCTTCCAAGGCTTCTATCCCAACTCTACCTATTTCTACCTATTTTCTCTTGAGTTATTTTGTCTTTATCTGTTTTATTTGCAAAAATAGTATACGCAAAATACATCAAGTGAATGCACATCAGGCATATAGAAGATCTGGCAGAAACACGTTTTCTCATGCCCATTTCCACTCAGTATTTGAACACAGAGGCTTCCACGGTTTTGATTCTTTCCACCAAAGGTTAGTTTTGACTGTTTTCACCATTTATGTAAGTGAAACTATAAATTATATAATTTTTATGTTCACTCACTAAACATGCTTGTGACACATCATTTTGCTCCTATTGATTATTCATTAATTTTATTTTGTAATACTCAATTTTATGACTATACCACAGGTTTGAGGCCTTTGCTTGTTTTGTTTTTAATCCATTCCACTATTGATAGACACAAAAGCAGTTTCTGATTTGAGGCTATCATGAATAAACCTGCTACGAACAAATCAGATATACACATTTTTTTCTGTAATAATATTTTCACTTTTCTTGAGTTTAAGTACATAAGAGTGGATTTTCTGGGTTACAAAATAAGTATATATTTGGCATTGTATGAAATGGGGAGACATTTTCCTAAGTGGTTATGCCATCTTAAACTACAATGAAAATGTTTGAGAGAATCAGTTCCACTTTCTAACCAATACTTGATGCTGTCAGTTGTTTTAGTGTTATCCATCCTTATGGGATATAACTGCTGAGTAGCTGTCTGCCTTCTCCCATAACACAGAAAATTGAGGGCCCAGAGGACAGTTTTATTTTCGTATTTGACATCTTCTATTATTTTTTATAGAAGGATGATTTGAGTAGTAAAATTTTCTTTCAATTTTCTAGGTTGTGTCTGAATCTTACTGGGGTTCCTTGTCCTAAACCACATTCAGAAATTTTCACGACCGACTTCTTATCTTTGTCATACCAGGCCAATGAGGGACAGCATTCCTGAGACTTTTTAAGTACTTTGTATGTGTGTGATGGTCTAATAATCATAGCCTTAAAACTTTCTGGCTGGGCATGGTGGCTCACACCTGTAATCCCAGCACTTCGAGAGGCCGAGGCGGGTGGATCACCTGAGGTCGGGAGTTCGAGACCAGCCTGACCAACGTGGAGAAACCCCAACTCTACTAAAAATAAAAAATTAGCTGAGCATGGTGGCACATGCCTGTAATCCCAGCTACTTGGGAGGCAGGAGCTACTTGGGCTGATGCAGGAGAATTGCTTGAACCCATGAAGTGGACGTTGCAGTTAGCCAAGATCACACCATTGCACTCCAGCCTGGGTAACAAGAGTGAAATTCTGTCTCAAAAAAAAAAAAAAAAAAAAAAAGAATCTCAGACTTCTGGGAGACACTGAATTTGTGAATGTGTACAGCATATCACAATAACTTTTCTTTGAGACCAAGTCTCACTCTGCTGCCCAAGCTGGAGTGCAGTGGCCCATCTCAGCTCACTGCAACCTCTGCCTCCCGGATTCAAGCAATTCTCCTGTCTTCCCGAGTAGCTGGGATTACAGGTGCTGCAACCATGCCTGGCTAATTTTTGTATTTTTAGTAGAGACAGAGTTTCACATATTGGCCAGGCTGGTCTCGAACTCCTCACCTCAGATGATCCACCTGCCTCGGCCTCTCGAAGTGCTGGGATTACAGGTGTGAGCCACCATACCCAGCCAGAAAGTTTTAAGGCTATGATTATTAGACCATCACACACACACAAAGTACTTAAAAAGTCTCAGGAATGCTGTCCCTCATTGGGACCACAACACCCAGATAATTTTTTTTTTTTTTTTGTAGAAAGAGGAGCCTTGCTATGTTGCCCAAGCTGGCCTCAAACTCCCACCCTCAAGAGATCTGCCCACCTCGACAACCAGAGTAACTGGTTCTACAGGAAAATACCACTATCCCATGATAATTATATTTTATTAATTTTTATTTGCATAGACAGGAGGTCTTGCTATGTTGCCCAGGGTGGTCTCAGGCTCCTGGACTCGAACAATTCTCCCATCTGTGCCATCTGTGCCTCCCAAAGTGCTCCCAAAGTGCTGACGCCACAGGCATAAGCCACTGCACCTGGCCCGACTTAAGATGTCTTTAATCTAGCATCCCATACTTCATATAATCAGGAAAAGCAGTAGTGTTTTTTTTTTTAATTACTTAGTATCTCAACAAGAATCAACCATCTCTCACCATTGCCAGGACCCTGGTCAGAACCACTATCATCTCATACCTGGATGTTGCCACAGCTTGGCCTCCGTGCTTCTACCCAAATCTTCCCACAATCTTTCTCAACTCAGCCACCATGGGATGCTTTTAAATCAATAGACAGTTCATGTCACCTCTCTGCTCAGAACCCTTCCGCATCTCCCATCTCAGCATAAAAGCCAAAGCCCCAGCAATAGCCTCCCAGGGCTTGCACAATCTGTACTGATCTGAGTCCCACAACTCCCTGGCCTCCTCCCCTACCTTCTCTCCCTCTCTCTACTCGACAGACCTCTTTCCTGAGCTTCAGACACACCACGGAGTTCCCTCTTAGCACCTTTATTCTGTTGTTTCTGCCTACAATGCTCTTCCCTCAGTACCTTGGCCAGCTCCTTCCCCTCCTTCAAGTCTTTGCTCAATTTTCACTTAGGAGGCCAACCCTGACCACTCTATTTAATATTGGTATGTGTCCCCATTCCTGCCATGCTCACTCATTTCTTTTTACTTTTTTTTTAAGATATAATCTCGCTGTGTCACTCAGGCTGGGGCACCATGGCACGATCACAACACACTGAGACCTGGAACTCCTAGGTCAAAAAATCGTCCTGCCTCAGCGCCTCTAGTAGCTAAGACTACAAGTGCATGCCACTACACCCGCTAATTTTTTTTTCCCACGTAGACAGGGTATCACTTTGTTGCCCAGGCTTATCTTGAACTCCTGGGCCAAAGCAACCATCCTGCCTCAGCCTCCTAAATAGCTGGAATTATAGGTGTGGGCCACTACCCCTGGCTTCATGTTCATTTCTTCTTGCTGCTGTTACAAACTACCCTACATTGAGTGGCTTAATACACCACAAATCTACTACCTAACAGGTCTGGGGGCCAGAAGTCCAAAATAGGTCTATTAAGGCTAAAGTCAAGGTGTCAGCAGGACTGCATCCCTTCTGGAGGTTCCAGAGAGAACGTGTTCCCTTGCCTTTCCCAGTTCCGAAAGCCACCCCTATTCTTTGGCTCATGGCCCCTAACTGCATCTCCAAAGCCAGAAGCAAAGCATATTCAAATCTCCCTCTGTTACCTGTGCTTACATCATCAAATCTTCAATTCTGACTCTCTTACCTCCCTCTTTCACTTATAAAGACCTCTTGTGATTGCTGGACACAGAGGCCGGGGCTCACAACCATAATCCCAACAGTTTAGGAGGTCAAAGCAGGAGAAATGCTTGAGGCCAGAAGTTCAGGACCAGCCTGGGAAACACAGTGAGACCCCCCCCCTCAATTAAACAACAAAAAGAAATAAGAGAAAATTAGCTGGGCATGGTGGTATGCATCTGTAGTTTCAGCTACTTGAGAGGCTATGGTGAAAGGATTCCTTTAGCCCCAGAGTTCAAGACCAGCCTCGGCAATATAACAAGATCCCATCTCTACAAAAAAAATACAAAAATCAGCTGGGCATGGATGGTGTGCACCTGTAGTCCCAGATGCTTGGAAGGCTGAGGCGGGAGAATTGCTTGAGCCCAGGTGGTTGAGGCTGCAGTTAGCTACGACTGCATCATTGCACTCCAGATTGGGTGAAACAGAGACTCTGTGTTCAAAAGAAAAAGAAAAGAAATACACATTTGGTTTCTGCCCCTCGTCCTGGCACAGAGCTTCTCAAGTTCTTATAAAGGCCTTGGTGATAAATGTGATAGGAGCATCTTTTGTTTGAATATTTGGTCGTAGTCCCAGGTTTCTAACACAAGAGCCTCTAAGACCTTTGGGATCACCATAGTAAGAATGCATTTGGTGATGTTACTGAGATGACTGGGTGACTGAAAGCTCCTAGACAGCTTCAGAAAAAGGGCTGGTTGCCAGAAGGACAAACCATGTGATTAGAGGCTTGGAACTGTCAGCCTCACCCACTGGGCTCCAGGAAGAAATAGTGGCCGAAGACTGACTTAATCACCAATGGTCAATGATTTCATCTATCATGCCTGCTTAAAGAAGCCTTCATAAACGACCTCAACAACCAGATTTGGAGAATGCCTGGGTTGCTGAACACAAGGGAGATAGCAGGAAGGTAACATGCGCAATAGAGAGCATGGAAGTTCTGTACCCCTCCCGACACAGCTTGCCCTGTGTTTTTTTTTTTTTTTTTTTGAGACAGGGTCTGGCTCTGTCCCCCAGCCTAGAGTGCCGTGGCACAATCGTGGCTCACTGCAACCTATGCCTCCCTAGCTCAAGCCCCATCTCTCATCCTCTCACCTCAGCCTCCTAACTAGAATTATAGGCACTGAGTAGCTAGAACTATAGATCACTGCACCTGGCTAATTTTTAGAAAATCCTTTTTGTAGAGATGCGTTTTCACCGTGTTACCCACGCTGGTCTTAATCTCCTGAGCACTTAAGCGATGCTCCCACCTCAGTCTCCCAAAGAGCTGAAATTACAGGCATGAGCCACTGTGCCCAGCATGTACATCTCTTTCACCGGCTGTTTCTGAGATACAGCCTTTAAAATGAACCAGTAAAAGAAAGTAAATTGGTGAGATGCAGTGGCTCACACCCATAATCCCAGCATTTTGTGAAGTTGAGGTGGGAGGATCATGTGAGCCCAGAAATTTGAGACCAGCCTGGGCAACATAACAAGACCCCTTCTCTACAAAAAATAAAAAAACTTAGCCAGATATGCTGGTGCGGGCCTGTAGTCTCAGCTATTTGGGAGGCTGAGGTGGGAGGATCACTTGAGCCCAGGAGTCCCATGCTACAGTGAGCTTTGATCACACCACTGCATTCCAGCCTGGCAACAGACTGAGACCCTGTATCTCAGAAAAAAAAGAAAACAATCTGTTTTTCTGAGTTCTGCAAGCTGTCCGAGCAAATGATTCCACCCAGCAACGGGGTCATGAAACCCTGTTTTCTAACTGGTCGGTCAAAACTACATGCAACAACCCAAGACTTGCAATTGGCATGTGGAGTGAGGGTAGACTCCTGGGACTGAGCCCCCATCCTGCGGGGTCTGCACTAACTCCAGGGAGTGTCAGGATGGAATTGTGGGATACCCAGTTGGGATCCAGATTGTCTGAAAATCAGTGTAGAAACTCCACATGCACATTTGGTTAGAGGTGTTTAACCATAACTACTATTCACGAAAAAGGTCTACTCATTAGAACTGAAAATCATAAAATTGTAAGTTCTACAAAAATAAATCAACCTTATCTATTGCCCAGTCCTACCAAACTACAGAATGTGAGAACAGAAGGTCTGACCGTGGACTCAAGAGCTGACATTAGGAATGTCACCACCATCCTGCTCTCCAATGTCTCCTCATCTTCAGCAGACTCCTCATCTTCAATGGGCAGAGTGGAAACTGCAACTTGTGCCATGATCCTTGCACAAGAAAAGTAGTAAGAAAGTGAGTGGTAGAAATCCAGTGTCCTAAACTCACATCCAGAGCTGTGCGAGTTTTTCACCGGCTGGGTAATTCACAGTTTTCTTGAATCAGGGGAAAAATAAGACTCAGAAACTAGGAATTCGTTTTACCCAAAACTCTCATCAGATAGAGAATCCATCCACTAACTTTCTATCTAGTATTATTTCCATAAGTTAGATCAGTATCACTCCCAAAACAAATGCACATGGCACCCAGAATCTGTGCATTTCTCCCAAGTAAAAGAGGAGGTGGATGGGCTCAGTGTCTCATGCCTGTAACCCCAGCACTTTCGGAGGCCAAGGTGGGCAGATCACTTGAGGTCAGGAGTTCAACACCAGCCTGGTCAACATGGTGATACCGTCTCTACTAAAAATAAAAAAAATTAGCCAGGTGTGGAGGCACGTGCCTATAGTCCAGCTTCTTGGGAGGCTGAGACAGGAGAATTGCTTGAACCCAGGAGGCTGAGGTTGCAGTGAGCAGAGATCTCAGCACTGCATCTGAGCCTCGGTGACAGAGTGAGACTCTGTCTCAAAAAAAAAGGGGGGGGGAAGGAGGCAATGCACTTTACAACCCAGTGATGGGCTACCACAACTCAACACAGCAAAGAGGTGCCAAGCTCCCTTTCTCCCCTGCACAACCCGACACAGAAGAGTTGGTGCAGTGGAATGAGGTTGGATGGAGAGAAGTTCCTCTTCTTTCCTTTTTTTTTTTTTGAGATGGAGTCTCACTCTATCACACAGGCTGGGTGCAGTGGTGCAATCTCGGTCACTGCAATCTCCGCCTCCCAGGTTCAACCAATTCGCTGCCTCAGCCTTCCGAGTAGCTGGGATTAGAGGTGCCCGCCACCACACCCAGCCAATTTTTGTTTGTATGTTTGTTTAGTAGAGACTGGGTTTCACTATGTTGGCCAGGCTGGTCTTGAACTCCTGACCTTGTGATCCATCTGCCTTGGCCTCCCAAAGTGCTGGGATTACAGGCATGAGCTGCTGCGCCCAGCCGAGAAGTTCCTCTTCTTACTGAGAAAATAGATCACAGGGCATCAAGTAACACATAAAATTCTTTATAATACGCAGTATTATTTTTGGAAAACCTTTCCTAATATTTTGGTATCAGCAAAAACCCTCAGATTAATTTCAAACACTATAAAAATACAGTACATAAACAGAAAACATTAACTGTCAGCAATGCTATAGAGAAATTGGAAGCTGTATGCATTGCCTTTTGGAACGTAAAATGGTACAGCCCACTGTGGAAAATGGTTTAGCAGCTCCTTAAAAATATTAAGCACAGAATTATATGATCCACCAACACCCTTTAAGTGTATATACCCAAAATAACTGAGAGCAGGGACTCAAACAGGTATTTGCACACCCGTTTAACAGCAGCATTATTCACAGTGGCCAAAAGGTAGAACCAACAATGGATAAAGAAAATGTAATATATACATACACAGAGTATTATTCAGCCATACAAAGAAAAATATCTGGCCAGATTCAGGGGCTTACACCTGTAATCCCAGTATTTTGGGAGGCCAAGGTGGGCAGGTCTCTTGAGCCCCGAATTTTGAGACCAGGCTGGACAACATGGCACATTTGGTCAGAAGTGTTTGACCATAACTACTATTCAAGAAAAAGATCTACTCATTAGAACTATAAATCATAAAATTATAAATTCTACAAAAACAAATCAACCTTATCTACCACCCAGTACTACCCAATTACAGAATGTTAGAACAGAAGGTCTCACCATGGACTCAAGAGCTGATATGAGCAATGTCACCACCATCCTGCTCTCTGCGGACTCATCTTCAACAGACTCATCTTCAACGGACTCCTCATCTTCCATGGACTCCTCATCTTCAATGGGCAGGGTGGAAACTGCAGCTTGTGCCATGATCCCTGTGCAAGAAAAGTAGTAAGAAATTGAATGGTAGAAATCCAGTATCCTAAACTCACATCCAGAGCTGTGAGAGTTTTTCACCGGCTGGCAAATTGTTTTTTGCATCAGAGAAAAAAACAAAACTTGGTAACTTGGTATTCGATTTGCCCAAAACTCTCATCAGATAGAGAATTCATCCACTAACTTTCTATCTAGTATTATTTCCATGAAGTTAGATGAATATCACTCCCAAAATAAATCCACGTGGCAACCAGAATCAGTGCATTTCTCCCAAGAGGAGGTGGCCAAGCGACCACATCTGTAATCCCAGCATGTTGGGAGGCCGAGGTGGGTGGATCAGGAGGTCAAAAGATTGAGACCATCCTGGCCAACATGGTGAAACCCTGGTCTCTACCAAAAATACAAAAAATAGCTGGATGTGGTGGTGTGTGCCTATAATCCCAGCTACTTAGGAGGCTGAGGCAGGAGAATCACTTGAACCAGGGAGTCAGAGGTTGCAGTGAGCCGAGATCATGTCACTGCACTCTAGCCTGGTGACAGAGCAAGACTCCGTCTAAAAGAAAAAAACAGTAAAATACAAAATGTCTTTTTCTCCTAACCTTCTTAGCCTTCTGCTGGTACTTCAATTTCTGCTGGTACTGTTTGGTCATTGCCCTCTAAAGAATGATAGCTTCCTAAAAAAAAACAAACAACATATAAACCAATAAAAACTCACATTGAAAGATAAAAAATAATCTAGGTGACGATGCAAGCACTTTTAAGACATAATAGGCCAGGTGCAGTGGCTCACACCTGTAAACCCAGCAGTTTGGGAGGCTGAGGAGGGTGGATCACCTGAGTTCAGGAGTTCGAGACCAGCCTGGGCCAACATTGTGAAACCTCATATCTACTAAAATACAAGAAATCAGCCAGGCGTGGTGGCGGGTGCCTGTAAGCCCACCTACTCGGGAGGCTGAGGCAGGAGAATCACTTGAACCCAGGAGATGGAGGTTGCAGTGAGCTGAGATTACACCGCTGCACTCCAGCCTGGGTGACGAGAGTGAAACTCCATCTCATGAAAAAAAGAAAGACATAATAAACATAAAATATGATTCTATTAACTCTATTAATCCAAATAATGTTTTCTAATTCAGAAGAAATATATAACATGTCTATTTGGTAGCTTAAAAACATTCTTTTAAAATACAAATACAGTAGACCCAAGTAGGCTTGGGGACTTAATATTAGTTACTCTAGCTACATGATAAAATTACTGGATATATCGGAATCTTAAGCAGCACAATTATGCTTCAAGTACCATGCTCATCTGTCACTGACACACACACAAGTGTGAATGCTTGCTTTGCTCAATTAACTCTGTAAATAAGCTCAGGATTTGCTGTGGAATGTTCCCTGCTTTCCATTTTCACTATGGTGAAAGTTATGGAAACTCAATCCCCATAATTTAAGCAAAGTTGTACTTAAAGTAACTCATATGTAAAAATTTAAGATACTGCCTTTAGTGTCAAAAACATTTTAATCCAGGTAATGTAATCTGCCTGCTTCTAAAAACTGGCATATAAAGCAACAGATCTGTTAGGCAGTCACAAGGTAAACAGGCTCATCCTACTGGAGCAGAAGTTTTACTCACAAATATGAAAGAAATAATCTAAAATATCAGAGTGCCACTTAGGATTAAGACCACAAACTGCCCCCAGTACACATCCTCTGTCCTTAAAGATCTGAGCTACTAACATGGAAAAGATTGAAAAACACTGTCTTCAAGTATAAATAAAAATATATTACATTTCGGTAAGAATACATTGTTTAGGGGGAAGGGAAGCAGATGCTCATCTATTTTGTCCTATCTATTGATAACTCAATTCAGAAGCTGTACCAAAAGTCAAACAAAAGTTATAAATACATCTCTTAATTTTTAAAGAGCAATGATTACAGTCAGAAAAACTCATTTGGTGGCTAGTATTCTTGAATTAAAAGTGCCATACCAAAGTGAAATCTTTTTGGTTTTCAACATCTAGTTTTTTCATGTCACAATTATTTTGGGATTCTTTTCCACTTACTGCATATTGTGAAAACTCACCTGAACTCAAAACTCTAGGTAAATCTATAAACCTGTATCTCAGAATCCATCTTTAATTCATTTGTAAAATACACTTTCTCTGCACACATTTCCTCTCTCTTCTTTTAACCGTAATATTTGGATTTAGGGAGCATCAAGTTCCTTGACTGTAAAGTCAATGAAAAAAGAGATATGAGGTCAAAAGAATGGGAGATAATGAACAAGAGGCCAGTAGTTAAAAAGTAAAATTTCAATAAAGAATAACAGTTAAGATGGTCATTCATGTTATTACCCAAACACCAGGGGTTTTGTCCAGGTCCTCCTGCTCATCGGAGAAAAAGCCAGTCACTGAGGTGACAAGTACTGCCAAGGAAGAAAGCTTTAACCTGGTGCTGCAGCCCAGGAGCTGGGAGCTCAGTCTTAAATCCATGGGCTTGACTAATAGGGGCAGGAAAGAAATTTAACAATGTATAAGAGAACAGAAATTAGGGAGGGGCAGGAGGCATGTGGTGCTGTGATCTGGTATGTTTCAGTTATCTGATACTTCCTGAAGGTCTTTTTTTTGAGGAGAGAACTCAGATACAACAGATCCAAGTTTCAAGCTTTAACAGCAGGGTCAATTTTGACATTGATCCAAAAAAAAACCCATCCATTGGGACAATAGGGCCGGTGTCAATGTAAGCAATGATTCTGTAGTTCCTCTTTGTTCTTTCAAAATCTGAAATAAACAATTGAATTTATATTATATGCTAAATCTAAAGAAAATACATCTTGTGTACTTGAGGCCACAAGAGATAGAAGTAAAACCTATTACTAATAGCCTATGAGAGAGTCAAGTTTGGGAACATTATAAAAAATTCAAAAAAAGTAATAAATGCATAAAACTTACAGAGTAACAAGTGCTATTTCAGAATTCTTCTAAATACTAAGTATTGACATGACCTTATCAATATTTGCATTACTAACCATACAATAAGAACCTGACTTCTGACTATTCTGAGATAAGGGATAAATGTGTACTTTACCTTAAATGGGAAAGTGCATCATGTACCCACTTCGAGATTCACAACAGGGAAAACTGATTTGAAAAATTGTTGCTTGTGAAGTTCATTTATATGTTAAAAAAAGGCCAATACATTTTCCCTTTTCCACATAGAAAAGGAACACTATACTTATAAATACTAAAACACAGTCTGTGGAATACAAGGAACCAATAGAAACAGTATGTAGGAAAATGGAAGTGAAAAGATTATACATTGCAAAGACTTCAGTAGAAGGAGTTTTTCATCAACATCATCAGTTTCAGAAGGGCCTTCTTTGGGATACAAAGACAATACTTCAACAGTAACTCCCCCAAGCCAGACGCAGTGACTTATGCCTGTAATCCCAGCAATTTGGGAGGCCAAGGCAGGCAGATCTCTTGAGGTCTGAAGTTCGAGACAAACCTGGCCAACAGGGTGATACACCATCTCTACCAAAAAATACAAAAATTAACCAGGTGTAGTGGCATGCACCTATACAGTCCCAGCTACATGGGAGGCTGAGGCAAATGTACTCATTTTTTCATTCCTGCACCCAAGAAACTGCAACCAATCTACTCTGTTAAGAGCAGAGACAAAGGGTTTCGACTCCATATTACATGTGAAATAGAAGAAATGAATCAGTTTAGTATGAACTTGTATGCACTTTTGGAGAAGAAAGTAGGTCAAGAAGCCATTAAGATACATGAAGGAAGGTCAAATCTTAAAGAAAACTAGAAATTCAGATTTATTTATGTAGCTCTAGAAGGAAGAACCAGGAATAGTGGAGAATGAATGTAGAAAACATTTTTAGTGAATGAAAGCATGAGATGATAACACAAGCAGCCACCAATGGAACAAACTGATGTGCAACAGCGGATTTGCCATCACTGAAGCTATCGAGTCTCCAACTGTTGCAGGTATTACAGAGCTATCAAGAGTTTTAGTAGGCGGCTGGGGTTCCTTTCAGATCTGACATGGCATGATGCCAAAATGCTGTACATGCTCTCATCTTTTTCTGGCTCATTTTTTTTTCTCTCTTCAGGTTTCTTAATCTTTTATCTACTTCCCTCTATTAATAATCACCTGAACCATACACTCAGTCTTCTGAAGTAAATTTCTTTATCTTTCACTTCACAAATAAACATCTTTGATGGATGAAAACACCGCAGGAAAGCCACCTAAGCAGATATGACTTCTCAACTTTTTTTTTTAAGTGATTTCCATTCATCACTAATTCCAAACAAAACAATTACAAACTATCATAAAATTATTAGAAAGTGAAAATGGGAAGCATTGGTTAAATATGTGTTTAGTATGCTTCACCATGTCCTCAAACATATTTAAAAAGTTAATCCACACTTCTTTAAGTGCATTGGGGGACTTGCTTTAGATTAAGAAATATGTTAACTATTTCAGGACACTAAGGACCTTACATATCTGAATTAGCTCAGATTGGCTGCTATCTCCTCAATTATTTTCTGATAAATAAGAAACAAACAGTAAATAGCAACTTCCAGAAAATCTACCAGTAGTACACAAGGGCAGCCAAACTTCAAAATTCTTGCCACTCAAACTCTAGACGGTTACTATTTACTAAAATGTAAATAATAAAAAGACTTTTCTCAATCTTGTCCTCCAGAAAGAAAAGCCGTAAAGTTCAAACACTAACCAAAAAAAGGGTAAGGAGAAACGTTTATATATTGGCGTTCCTTTTATTAGTGTCTTCACATACAACACTCCTCAATTTTAAACACCGCTTTCTTTCAGAAGACAAAACCAAGACAAAATGGTAGAAATCAAAGGGTTACAGACTTTGATTTAAAAGGCATAACCTTTTCAAAAATGAGAGCTATCGATGGATCACTTCTGAGAAGAAATTCCCTGGCACTAGGATAGAGGTTGGAAAACCATCTTTCCAGGTGCTCTAAAATAGAATCCTCTCATAGTGCAAGAGTCCTTCTAATTCTAGGGGTCTAGGACTATTTTTATTATTATTGTTACCTTTCCCGTTCTGGAAAATCCTCAAGACTCTGTCTTGTAAATGTCACCAACCCAGTAGGTTCTACAGAAGCAATAAAAGAAAAACATACCCAAAATAAGTTTCAATTTTGAAAACATTACACACACACACGTGAATGTGCGCGCACACACACTCGATAAAAGAATAGGTCTAACATTGAATATAAAACCAACCAGGAAATACAAAGCCTAGCATTGGAAAATAACAGAATATTGATTGAAAATATTATCCTTACAGTAGAAACTCCTATAAAACAGTAAGACTTCACTAAACGAAACTATACAAATAACAGCACAACAGTAGGATTTGAGTGCTGGTACTTTTTGGTAAAGTTTTGAAGCTGAATACACTTCAAAAAAAAACCATTGGAAAAAAGGATGTATAACTGGTACAGCTTATGCAGTAAAGACAAAACTGAATTCAAATTTGTAGACTCCTTTACAAAGAAAGGACTTAACCCTACATTCAAAGACTGGTGAATAAAGACACATCTATGTACTTTATAGTAAAGTGAAATGCCACAGCTTTAAAAAGAAAATCATTTGCACATCCTCTGAAGTTAGTAAAGCTAAGTTTCAGGCTTAGATAGTGGGCAATCACTCTACTTGTTAGTAGCAGTCTTAGCCAGAGAAGAAATTACTGGTTCTAAGAGTTTACAGAATAAAGATGACATATTTTTCAAGAAGCAATAAATTTGGGAGGATCAAAATAGAGTAGTATTAATGTAGTCAATAATTTTAAGAGGATGAGATCCTTTTCTAGTCAGATTTATTTATTTTTTAAAGCTAGTAGCAAAAGAAACAAATATATCAACTGGCCAGAAGTAATTTGTCTGATTCAAATCAAAGAGCAAACTAAAAAGGCCATGCCATTTCTGTTTTCTTGAATAGAAAAAAGCTCTTAAGGAAAGAGAGAGATGTCAGGAACTATTACTGATGACAGTGTATAACCCAGTGAAAGCCTGGCCATCATTTCATTCCTGTGCACAATTCCACATTTCCTTGTTCTCAGTCAAAAGCAGGAACCACTCAAAAACCATATGGAGCAGTTGCAGAAGAAAACAAAATTTTTTGTTAACATGGGTCTTACATTCTTTAGATATCTAACTTTAACATAAACGGATAACGTATTTAAAACTCACAAGTAAGTGGTCAAACAACTCTAACACTAGAAACACAATTCCATGAATATAATAGAAAACATCTCTCTTGTCATTCGGTATTAGCAGAGAAGTAAGAACATCAAATGTCCTTTATATATACTAAGAGATGCTAAGAGAAATTCATAAACACTGCTGGCAAAGCAAGAAAAAGCAGAAGAACATGGTTTCTTAGATTAAGAAAAAATGCCTTGAGAGCACGTCTGTTAGCTTTCTTTTTCATAACAAGGCAACTTTCATCTCAGAATAGGATACTCTGATTAATCAAATACTTCCCATAATAAAATCACAATATATACTACATACAGGTCATAAATTTTCAAAAATCTGATCTATAAGATACTTTATCTAAAACTATATAAAAAGTAATTTAATTCGGAAGGCTTTTTAAAATATTTCAGTCTCAAGATCCTCATCAAATATAAAATACACGTTTAACAACACTGAAAAGTTGGTCCTGATGGAATTCTATTCTATCAATTCTAAAAGGCAGGTTTTTCCACATACTACATTTCTGAAACTGGAATACATCTTTTATAATGGAGGTATCTTACCATAGGTCTAGACTAGAGGAGAATTTTCCCAGAGAAGATGTGCATCTGCTTCTGCTGTCATCTGGGAACACTATCAGCCCAACACCATCTGAATTAATCCTTTGTGGACCACACTGGTGGTAAGGCTGCACACCCAAAGCTTAGGGCTTGTGGTTCAAATTCTCAGAGAAATGTTTTTTTCTTTCTCTATTTAGTGTCAAGGTTGAGACTTGCACGCTTCTTTATGGTCCCTTTTCTGGATGGTCAAGTTAATTTCTCATTTATCCCTAGGTGTACCAGCCTTGTGGGTTAGGTCTCCTACTAAACTCCCTGTCCTGAGTGTTTTTTCCTTCTTAGAGGTATATAATGTAATAGCACTTTTTAAAAATAATCTATGACATCTTAGATTAGATTTGATGAAATATGGTACCTTAAATAAGCTTCTCAAGTCTATTGAGTAGGCTCCAGAACTTCTACACAATGACTCATTACACTGCAACCTCTTTTATTCTCTTTAGGATTTCCTCTTTAAACCATTAGCTTTACATACTGCACACCAAGAGCAATGTTGTACTGTATTTCTACAAAGAACTTAATTAACATGTACAGTAAAAAAGTCAGAAAATAAAATGTCTAGTTATAATTTATTTCTTCAAATTCCAAATACTTATAATGGCATATACATTTCTAGTTGAAAAAACAAACTTTTAGCTTTTTCCTTAAAGTATCTGAAATCCTAAAATTTAGAAAGCCAGGTTAGTTTTTAGAGAAGACATACATGATTTGACTCCCAGGACAAAAAAGTAAACTCTGTACTACTTAGTTATAACAATTCTACTTAAAATGGCAACTCAAAGTACTGTAAAAACAAAACAAAAAAGACCAACAGTAATAATTCTACTTAGACCTAGAATAGCCAAAAAAAGTAGTCATTTTTTTTTTTTAGACATAATCTTGCTCTTTGTCACCCAGGCTAGAGTGTAGTGGCACAATCTCAGCTCACTGCAACCTCCACTTCCCAGGTTCAAATGATTCTTGTGCCTCAACCTCCCGAGTAGCTGGGATTACAGGCTCCTGCCACCGCGCCTGGCTAATTTTTGTATTTTTTTAGTAGAGACGGGGTTTCACCATCTTGACTAAGCTGGTCTGGAACTCCTGACCTCGTGATCCACCACGCCTGGCCTTACGTAGTCATCTTTTTAACAAGTCATTACAAATTCTAATTTAATTTTGTGTCTCATAGGTCCAAATGATTCTGCATTTTAATATTTCATTCAGTACAGGGCACAAAACTGAAATTCAATAAGCTATGAGATAAATAATTCCATATCAGAGAAGCATATAATTTTCCCTTAAATATCAAAATCCTGATAATTGATTTCATTCTAAAAATTTAACAGTGTCCAATAGCAATACATTCAAGGGGGAAGATGCCAAGTACACTGTAATGCAAGAGTAAAAGTAGGATATGAGAAAAATGACCTTAAAATTATTCAAAGACATGTTTTAAGACAATCCTACAACCCAGAACTGAAAAAAAGCCATTTCACTTGAGCAGGTTGACATTACCTACTTAGTACAAAGAAACTTTTAAGGTGTTCTGGTTTACATCCACTTGTAGGAAAGGCTACCCATTGATAATAGCTTACATTTATTAAGCATGTATCTCCTTGTTTAATATCTATAACTACCCTGTAAGGTAATAACCATTATTATATTATTTCATAGGTGATAAAACTGAAGCTTAGAGGTGTCAAGAAACTTGACCACGGTCATTCAGCTTCTGAGATAAGAGTGGCAATACCACTCTATTATCAGCTGGTCATTACCAGTATTTGTTGGACATTTACTATTACTGCCTCAGCTGCTATCAGGTTTTGGGGAAGCAAGAATGTTAAGGTTTAATAGAGGAAGATGGATATAAAACTCAGTACAAAACAGTTTTATGAGAACTCCACAAAGGGCTTAGGGGGGCACAAAAGAGAGGAATGGGTAGAAAAGCAATGCGTTAGTTGACTTATACAAATAAACTAGTGAATGCCTCTTTAAATAAAGAGCATCCAAAATTTATTTCCTGGTCAATATACTTTCTCTGGTTTTTATTCATGAAAATGTTTTGAGGTATATTACAGATTTCAGAGAATATGTGTCCGATTTCAGAGTATGTAAACCCCGCCCCCCTACATTTATAGCACACATTTATGCTTATACACAAGCATAAAACCGAAGTTATCTTGTCGCATCATTACTGTTTCAATGTGGTTGGGACAGGAAGGTTTACGTTAAACACAAAATGTTCCTCACATGTCACTTGACTTGAACTGTTCCCATCAGCAAGAAAAATTACTGCAAGAATGAAAGGAGTTCACTTTTCTCTGTGACTGTTCCAAAGAAGTGGAAGAGCGTTTTAAGTTTATCCGGTTTCCTTGATGAATGTCCCTCAAACAACCTAAAGGACTTAAAAAATAAGAGAATGGAAGATAAGTTAAAATGCCTTAATGATTCAGAAAACTACATCCATATTGCTACCAAGTAACAAAAAGAAATAATTGTTCCAGAAGACAATTCTGTAATGATAAGAACTAGAAAATTGGTTTAGATTCAAATGGCATCTGGAGAGAACTGAAATCAACTAGAACCAGCCTTCTTTAAAGCTGTTCAAATCAGACAGCATTTGCTACCAACCACATTTCTCCAACCTATCTTCCACCACAGAGAAGGCACCATCTAGCCCTCCCAGTCAATTGGGGTCAGTCAGTGCACAGCTACTTTCTCAATGGCTAATAACATTTATAATTCATAATGTTACTACGTAGTTGGATAAGTAACAAAAACAGTATCTGAAAAAAATCCTTATCTGAGTGTTTGTGAGGAAATGAGAGTGGAGGGGAATGGGGGAAGGACACAGGCAGGTGTAACAAGATATCAGGGCTCAACAATCCTTGTTAATTAAACAACTAGTTTCTTTTATGGACTGAATGTTTGTGCCTCTCAAAATTTATATGTTGAATCTTTAATCCCTAATATAGCTAAATTTGGAGACAGGGCCTGTGAGGAGGTACTAACAGTTAAATGAGGTCATGGGGTGTGACTCTCATCTGATAGAACTGGTGTCGTTATAAGACAAGGTGAGACTACAGTACTCTCCCCTTTGGCATGTGAGGACAAGATGCCAGCCAACCTATAAGCCAGGAAGAAAGCCCTCATCAGGAACCGAAGCAGCAGCACCCTGATCTACAGCTTCTAGCCTCCAGAACTGTGAGAAAATTAAGCCACCCAGTTCTATGGTATTTTATTATGGCAGCCCAAGCTGACTAATAGAGATCCTTTGCACGGTAACCAAAACAATGCCTACCCTGTGTCATCTAGTTTTCAGCAACCCGGACTTGGATTACTTAATTCAGTTTCCTTTGAAATGATGTGGCATTGTTATTGGTAACATGTAATTCAGTTTATTCTGAGGAAAGAAAAGCAGGGCTTTAAAAGCATTATGACCTGAGTAAGTAGTTCACTAAAAGATTTGTAACACAAAAGCATGCTTTTGAGCATGAGATCTAGCTTTCCAAAGGCATTTAGAAATTATAGAGACTCAGTGGCTATGAATGATGAGGTACTCTTCATCTGCCTCTAGCCATGTGCTCTGACTTTAAAACCAGAGACCCTTCAAGTAAAGTCCACGTTAGTAAGTGCTGAAATGGGTAATTATTTTTCATGATTACAACAGCAAGCTTATGTAACTATGCTGAGAGGGAAAAGTTAATTCCATGAGAAAATCCTATTGAGCGACTGAAATAAATTAGGAAAAGGAAAGGAAATGCAGATTTCAAATGGTTCCGTTTTCAACGATCTGAAATCTGTATTCAAGGCCAATTTCTGGAAAAACAATTTATGTGAATATTTATTTCCTAGAAAGAATACTAATGTAGGCTAGTATTTTAACCAAATCTAAAATCAGATCTCTTTTTTAAAAGTTTAAGACAGCCTGTGTGATAATTTTTATTTAAAAGAATCTGTCTTCTAAAATATTTAATACACATACTCATAATCCAGTTGCTAGCTGAAACAGGGTACAGGTTAAATAAGATAGTATTTCTAAATGGATTCTGAATGGATTAAAACTCAATAAAATGGACATTTTATTGAGTGAATGGAGAGATCTAATCCATCTGGCAAGTCAGTTAAGAGAGCTTCTGCTGCCATTTTTATTGACATGTAATAGTGTAATAAACTCACATGTAATACTGTAAAGCTCTGTAAAAAAATTTTAACCTAGCCTATTTGTTTAAAGGAGATGTTAACAATTCATGCTCCCTTCAACCACTTCATTTTTGCTTTTAGGACAGGACTGTTCATTAACACACACAATCAATTACTAAACACAATTACTGAAATAAATATTATCAAGCAGTAACCAAAAAATTCAACGTAAGGCTATCATACCCAAACTCCAATATCCAGAAGCCAATTTAAGTAACCCATGCCTCCTTGGCAAAAGTGTATGGATAATACCTTTTCCTTGTGATAGTAAAACCTATCCATTTTCTTACATCACCCAAGTATCAGCTTTTACGCTTCTACAAATAAAGCAGACAATGAACATACTGTGTAGAAATCCTGAGCTCTTAATTAAAAGGTACTCACAGAGTTGTATCTAAATCATTGGCTACAATGATCTAAAACACACACAGAGTTATATCTAGGTCATTTGCTACAATGATCTAAACCACTTCATTTACATCTTAGTATTAATCACAGGACAAAAACGCTAATATTTTCAGAACTACAATCAGTGTTGCTATCTGGCACAGGCAACGTGTCTTCAAAACCCCATGACACTATGTGTTTGCCCCCAAGTAAACAGGAGGGAGATCCAGGCGCCCCTTCCAAAAGCAACAGCTTAGAGGAGAGAAGGAAAATCAAAGATACTGAGATGATTCATTTTAGCAAAAAGCGAACCTGCCACCCCAAAGAGCAGAAAACAAAATCTGAAAACTAAGATGTATATTATTATATGTTATTCACAGAACTTATTTACAATATTTTTAAAGAAAAAATTACAAAACCGTGTTTCTGAAAATGTTACAATAAAATTATATGTGTGTAAAGTCTATCTATTTTACGTGTACATTTGTGTGTGTGTAAGAGAGAGGGGATTATGAATTAGGAAGCGTATGTACCAAAACATTAGAAGCAGTTATCCTCGGGTAATGAGATTATGATTTTCACTTTCCTCTTTATACCTTAATATATCATCTCCAAATTTACAATCAGAATTCACTATAAAACTATTGCATTTTTATTTATTTATTTATTTTGTGAGACATGGTCTCACTCTGTCACCCAGGCTGGAGAGTGCAGTGGCGCAATTTCAGCTCACTGCAACCTCGGCCTCCCAGGCTCAAGCAGTCCTCCCACCTCCCACCTGAGCCTCCTGAGTAGCTGAGACCCATCAAAGTTAAGTTTTCTTCGATTTAAAGTACTTGTTATAATTATGTTGTTTAGCCTCATGGTAACCAGAAAACAAAAATCAATAGACACTCTAAACATAAAAAGCAAGGAATTAAAACACTACCAGAAAAAATTACTTCACTACAAATAAAGACAGGAAGAAAGGCAAGGAGGAAAGAGAAGAAGTAAAAAGAGATCAGAAAGAAAAGAGGAAGGGAGAAAGAACAAAAGAAAAAGTAGCAAAACAATCAAAAAAGTAAAAAATGGCAGTAGTATGTTTTTATCTATAATAATCTTGAATGTAAATTAAATTAAGACAGAGTGACTGAATGGATTAAAAGACCCAATTATGTCCTGCCTACAAGGAACTCAGTTCACCTATAAAGACATACACAGACAAAGTCAAGGGATGATAAGAGATATCCCATACAAATGGAAACAAAAAAAGCAGGAGTAGCTATACTTAGATAAAATAGCCTTTAACTCAAAAAAAGAAAAAATAAAGATAATTATATAAATGAGAAACAAGTAAACAGCCGTTAAGTGCATATGCAACCAACACTCAAGCACCTAAATATAGATGCAAATATTAACAGGCTTTAAAGGACAGATGGACTGCAATACAATAATAGATTACCTCAACACTCCACCGTAATCAACACCCCACTATCGCGAACGGACAGATCATCCAGGCAACAAAACATCATCAGTTAAACTGTACTCTATACAGAATGGACCTAACAGACATTTACACAGCTTTTCACTGTGCAACTGCACAATGCTCATTCTACTGAGTGGCACATCGATTATTCTACAGGGCAGACTGTGTTAGGCCAAAAAACAAGTCACAACACTTTTTTTTTTTTTGAGGTGGAGTCTCTCTCTGTCTCCCAGGCTGGAGTGCAGTGGCACTATCTCGGCTCACTGCAAGCTCCGCCTCCTGGGTTAATGCCTTTCTCCTGCTTCAGCCTCCGGAGGAGCCCGCCACCACGCCTGGCTAATTTTTTGTATTTTTGGTAGAGACGGAGTTTTTCCGTGTTAGCCAGGATGGTCTCAATCTCCTGACCTCGTGATCCCGCCTCGGTCATCCAACACATTTTTAAAAACTGAATTCATATCAAGTATCTTTTGTGACCACAGTCGAATAGTATTAGAAATCAATAACAGATAGAACTTTAAAAACTGTACAAATACATGGAAATTAAAATACACACCCATGAGCAACCAATAAAAGAAATGAAGAAAACACAAGGGAAATTAAATATTTATTGAAACAAGTAAGAATAGAAACACAACATAACAAATCCTGTGGGATGCACCAAAGGCAATTCTAAGAGGAAAAGTGTATAGCTATAAATGCCTGCATCAGAAAAGTAGGAAGATCTCAAATAGCCTGACGGTACACCTCCAGTAATGAGAAAAACAGGAACAATCAAATGCTAGAATTCGCAGAAAAAATACCATAAAGATTAGAGAAGAAATTTTAAAAATAGAAACAAAAAATACAAAAAGTCAATGAAACAAAAGCTGGGGTGTTTTTAAAAAAAAATCAAAATTGACGAGTTTTAACTAGATGAAGTTAGATAAGAAAAAGAAAACAAAGTCATAAAGAAGGCATTACAACTGGTAACCCAGAAATACGAAGCATTAAGAGATTACTAAAAACATCACAAACAAATTGAAAAATCTGGAAGTGAATACATTTCTAGACACATAACGAATTCCCAAGATAGAATGATAAAAAATAAAAATAAAAAACCTGAACAGACCAATAATGAGTAATGCAATTAAAGCAGTCATAAAAAGTCTCCTGGCAAAGAAAAACACAAGAATCATGGTTTTCCTGCTGAATTACCAAACATTTTTAAAAGAGCTAATATGTATTTTACTCAAAATATTCCCCATAAAATGAAGACGAAGAAAGGCTTCGAAACTTGTTCTATGAGGACAGCATGACCCTGGTACAAAAACCAGACCAGAACACAACACAAAAAGGAAACCACAGGCAAATATCCCTGATGAACAGAGGTGTAAGAAATCCTCAGCAAAATACTTGAAAATTGCATTTGACAACGCAATAAAAAGATCATCTGCCATGATCAAGTGGATTTCATTCATCCCAGGAATATGAGGATGATTCAATAAACACAAATAAATAAATATGCAACATCACATTCAGCAAATCAAGAACAAAAACCATATAATCATTTCAGTAGACGCTGAAAAAATTAAAAGTCAACATTCCTTCATGATAAAAACTCAACAACATGAGTACAGAAGGAACATATCTCAGTGCAATAAAGGCCATATATGACAAACCCACAGCTAACATAATCAATAAGGAAAAGTTAAAAGCTCTTCTCCTCTAAGATCTGGAACAAGTGTGGCTACTTTTACACCACTTTTGTTCATCATAATACTGGAAGTCCTAGCTAGAGCAATTAGGAGAATGCAATAAAAGGCATCCAAATTGGAAAAAAGGAGTCAAATTGTCTGTTTCCAGGTGACATGAACATATATAGAGAGAACCCTAAAGATTCCACAAAAAACCTACTAGAAATAATAAATTAGTCAAGTTCCAAGATACAGTATCAAAATATAAAAATGAATACTACACCCATGGACCAATAGTGAAATATCTAAGAAAGAAATCAAGAAAGCTATTTCATTACCAAAAAAAAAAATGATATCTAGGAATAAACTTAACCAAAAAGGCAAGAGATCCCAAAATGAAAACTTCATAAAACATAGATGAAAGATACTAAAGCAGACACAAGTAAATGGAAAGATATCCCATCTCTATGCACTAGAAGAATGTTAAAATATGTGTATCACCCAATGTGATCTACAGAATCAATGCAATCCATGTTCAATTACAAGACATTCTTCACTGAAATGGAAAAAGAATCTTAAAATTCACATGGAAGTTCAAAATACCTCAGATAGACAAAAGAATGTGGAATAAAAAGAAAAGCTGGAGGCATCACACTACCTGATTTCAAAATATACTACAAATTTATAGTAAGGATGGTACTATCAAAACAGCATGGTACTATCAATAAAAGGGGCGGGGGAGAGACAAGAGAGATGAACGAATGAGACAGACAGACATAGACAAGTGAAACAGAATAGAGAAATCATAAATAAATTCACGCGTTTACGGTCAATTCATTTTTAACAAAGGCCCCAAGAACACACCTTCGGGAAAGACAATCTCTTCAATAAACTGTACTAGGAAAACCCAACACCCACATGTACAAGAATACATCCAGGCCATTACCTTACCATATACAAAAATCTACTCAAAATAAAGATTTAAATACAGGACCTGAAACTATGAAACTACCAGAGAAGAAAACATAGGATAAATGCTTCATGAAATTGGTTAGGACAAGGAATTTTCAAATAGACATCAAAAGCACAAGCAACAAAAGCAAAGATGTAATTACATTAAACTTAAAACCTTTTCCAAAGCAGAGGAAGCAATCAGTATAATGAAGACAGAACCCGAGAATGGAAGAAAGTCTTTGCAAACTATGCATCAGGCAAGAGGTTAATACACAAAATATCTAAAGAACTCAAACTACTCAAAAGTGAAAATACAAATAATCTTATTTTTAAAAATCCACCCAAAACTTCTATCCCCCACCATTTCCCCACCTTCTTTTCCCGACCGCATTTCGCCCTCTCCCTCTCACCACCCTTTCTCTTCCTCCATCTACCCCAAACTTTTTCACCGTTATCTCCCCACCATCATTTCGTTTTCTCCCCGCCCCACCCCGCGTCATTTCGCAAAGCCTTCTCTATTCTCCCGCTCACCACGCTTTTCCCCAACCATCTACCCAAACACTTTCTCCCGTTTTTTCCCACCGTATTTTCCCCCTTCTCCCTGGCCACCCTCTTTTTTCCCCCTCCTGCTGTCATCATGCCCTTTTCCTCCTTCATCTAAGCAAAAACATTTTCCCCCCGTCTTTTCCCAAAGCCTTTTCCCCACTCCTGCTGCTCACCACCCTCTTTTCCCCCTTTATCTACCCAAAAACTGTTTTCCTCATTGTCTTTCCTCCTACTCCTCCTTGCCACTCTTTCCCTTCTCCATCTACCCAAAAACATTTCCCCACCATCTTTTCTCGAAGCCTTCTCCCCACTCCTGCTCACCTCCCTCTTCCCCCCATCTACCCCCCAAAATTTCCCCATCTTTTCACAAAGTCTGCCCCCTCTTCCCACTCGTCCTCTTCTCTCCCCTATCCTGCTTGCCACCCTTTTTTTTGCCCTGCATCTATCCCAAACTATTTTCCCGTCTTTTTCCCAACCTTCTTTCCCTGCTCCCTTCTCGCCACCCTCTTTCTCCTCCTTGTCACCCTCTTTCCCTCCTCCATCTACCCAAACACTTTTTACCTACCATCTTTTCTCCACCATCTTTCTTTTCTGCCACTGTTTTTTCGCAAAACCTTGTCTTCCTCCCGCTAGTTACCCTCTTTTTCCTTCTCCCACTTGCTATCTTCTTCTGCTCCTCTATCTACCCAAAAACTTCTCTCCCCACTGTCTTTTCACAAAACCCTCTCTCCCTACTGCTCGCCCATTTCCCCCACCTCACCACTCTCTCCTCTCCCCAATTGCCACCATCTTTTCCCCCTTCATCCACCCATAAACTTCCTATCCACCGTCTTTCTGCAAAACCTTCCCTCACTCCCGCTCCACAACCTGTCTTTCCACCTCCATCTACCCAAAACCTTTTTTCCCCACCATCTTTTCCCCATCATCTTTTTGCAATGCCTTCTCCTCCTCGCTATCCTTTTTTCCCTTTGGCAATAACCAAACTCTTTACCCACCCCTCTATCTATCCCAAAACTATTTTCCTCTTCCTACCCCTCCAGCCGCGCTGCAATCGCAATCTCCACTGCCACCACCAACCATAGCGAGGCGAGCTGCGCCTCTGTGCCGTGTCTCAAGCCTCCAGCATACGGCCGGTGACTCCTTTTCCTGGTCCTCTAAGCTGGGCACTGAGCAGCTCAACAGTAAAACACCGAACCCTAAAAAAAAAAAAAAAACCGTAACGGCTCTTCAGCATCATTTATATACGGAGGTTATGCGCATGCCGGTTCCTAGACTTCATGTTCTGATTGCATGAGAGCAAGTCTTAAGATAACCAATCACAGCATGAAAATAAAGTCCAATCAGAGTAGGCCTAGAGGTTTTTCTCTCATCCAATCAGAACATGTAGTCCAGGATCCGTAACTTCAGTATATAAAGCATGCTGAGGAAGTGGTGCGTCATTTTTGGGTCTTCTGTGTCGGTGTGTCCAGCTGCTAGGTACCTGGGTTAGAGAACTAGAAGGGTCCATTAGTTTTCACCGGCTGGAGCCTGGAGCCTGGAGCCTGGAGCCTGGGGCGCTGCCTCCCTGTTGGTGGTGTTGGTGACGGAGCGGTAGGAGGGAGGCTAGCAGCGGGAGCTTCTCCTGCCAGGCTGGAAGACGAGGAGAAGGAAGAGACACCACTGCATGCTGGAGGCTGGAGCCAGAGCCTGCGCCTCCGTGGCTTACCTCGCTGCAGTTGGTGGTGACATCAGAGACCACAGCTCGGCTACAGTGGTAGCAATGTGGTTGCAGTGAGCCAAGATTGCATCACTGCTCTGCAGCCTGGCGACAGAGCAAGACACCATCTTAAAAAAAAAAAAATTGACCCAGTGTTTTGCATGTTTCAGAAAAACAAATGATACCATTATTTAATATGCTGCAGTAACTAGAAGCCTACTTATAAAGTTGGTGGCAAATAAGTCATTGGTATATGTTAACTTCCTATAATCACTTACATGTTCCTAAGAGTCACTTTGTGTATTTATATAAGAAGGTCAGCATGTAAATGAGTATAGATAGAGAAACTTTTTGTTGAAAAGTAAGAAAGCTTGTCTCCCTTTTCCTAGTTATGAAGGAACCACCACCACAACAAAATAAAGCATATACTTTGTTTATAACCCTGAATCATGATTTATGGCCAGATTATCCTAGCATCCAACTGCCTACCTTGGCATTTATCAGTTGAAATGAGTCCAGAGAAAGGAATTATTTTTTATATATCTGCTGCTCTTGAAGGAGAAACCTTCTTTAGAGGTCACTTGTAAGAACAGGTGCCCAAATCCCCTATATCCAAGGCACTCTGGGCTGCCTGGGAACTCTACAAATCACAGTTTTGAGGGGTTCACTTTTCTGGTTGAAATTTATCATAGTTTATATGATGAAAGGATGACAGGTAGATACTCTTTAAGAGTTGAGGATGTGTTATGTTACCAAGGATTGTAAATATTTAATGAGAAAATGAGTTAGAGTTTCAATAATATTGATGGGACCTATTATCACTCACTTTCATCTAAAGCTCAGTGTTACTTCAAAGCATAAAATCAAGCAAACATCCCATGATTAATTTAGTTTCTTACACTGCTGTGCTTTGTGTTTCATTGAATTCAGAGTATGCCTGTGTACGGTCCCTGGGAACACTGTATGAAAGGATTTTTAAAGTAGTCTGTTCTGATACTGGTTTGTCAATGAAACTTTTCAAAAAGGTTAGTTGAATATCACTTAGTGTTCTTTATGTGACCCTCTTGGGTCTCCTTCCCAGTGCCAAATTCCCCCATCTCAACCTCATTTGGACATCCTATATTAAGAAAAAACAAAGCAGGTACTCATCAGCAGGAACGGAATCCTACTCTCTTGACAGAATTCCCGTGATCTATAACCTGCTGGATAAATAGTTCAAATGCTGTATCTCTGTTCCTATTCCTAGACTTTCTGGCACCTATTACCCTTCAAGTCCATGTGTCTTCCAGTAGGTTGCAGTGCTCTCCCCAGGAGATGGCAGCTACCTAGATTTGTATGTTACAGAGGTGGTCGTGTGCCTTCTCTACCTCTCTCCTATGTTCCCATGTAACCTAACCACACAGGCCATAATCAGCTCCACCCTAGGAAACATAACATTGGTACACCTGTCCCTTGAAGTTGTCCTTAGAGAGAATGGTCTGAAAACAAAGGGAGATTAAAGGTCTTTTCTGTTTCAGGGAAAGTATAGTTCTGTCAGTAGATTTCTGGTTAAAAGACACAGAAGAAGGAAAAAAGACACTCATCTGTAGGAACTCAGTTTAGCCAATGTGACTTCCACTTGGAAGCATTTTTCCTCTCCTCTTCAAGCCCAACTCTAGGGAATGTCCTGTGCAAAAATATCAGTGTAGGCGCATCTCTTTGCGGAACTGAGTTGCTCTGCTTTCAGTTTCCTCTCTCCAGTGCCCCCAAGCTCCTGCCTGGCTTCTTCTGCTGTTCAACCCAGGATCCCATGCTCTAGGACAGCCTTCTCACCATCTTTCTTCAGCTCTTAATTCAAAAGTCCCACTTCCAGTTCATGCTCAGAGAAAAAGCAAGTAGACCTAATCTTTATTAGAATGTGAATTTCTAGACAATAGTACTCTCTTTGGCTTACTTCACTGCCCTACATGCTGAACTTTCAGATAATATAAGGAAGAGAAAAAAGTCTAGATGTTGGAGAGGGAGTCGGTTTCATTTTATACGATTCAGCCTAATGGGCTTTCATTGCTAACATTAGGGGTTACAGTTGAACCAGCCAACTCAGGAGGAAATTCAGAACCTGGATTCTTATAGTGATAGTGGAAAACAAATTCATGGTTAAGATTTGAATGTGAATTTTAAAATAAATCATAGTATTTAAAAAAACCATTTTTCCTTATTAAATATGTAACTTTGGAAAAGTTACTTAACCAGTTCATAATAGTACCTATTTTATAGGGCTGCTGTGGGGATTTAATGAGAACATTTATGGAAAGCACATGGCACTGTACCACACTCATAATAAGTACTCATTAAGTGTTGGCCACAATTCTCACCAGCCTTGTTCTCTGTCCTCAGGAGATGATGACCATAATTGGAAAATTGCCCATGTGGTACTCAAAGAGGAACAGGAATTTCGCTAACTTTTCCAGGGCACAAAAGGCGACCCTCGGAACTCAACTGGGGGAATTTACCTGGATGACATCACTCTTGACAGAAACCCCCTGCCCCACAGGGGTCTGGAGAGTCCAGAATTTCTCCCAGGTCCTTGAGAACACCAGCGAAGTGGACAAGCTTCAGAGCCCTCGATTCTACAATTCAGAGGGATGCGGTTTTGGGTTAACTTTATACCCCCATGGCAGAGAAAGCTCTGGCTATTTGAGACTTGCTTTTTACATGTGCAGTGGGGAGAATGATGCTATCCTGGAGTGGCCGGTAGAAAACAGACAGGTGATAATTACCATCTTCGACCAGGACCTGATGTCAGGAACAGGATGTCCTCAAGTTTGGTGTTCACTACCTCCAAGTTGCACATATCTCCAGGTGGGTGGTGTTGGCATAAATAAGAACTGCCCCTCGAACCAGAGAGGCCCACAGATGTGATTCTGTGGTGCAAGAAAGAGTAACGTTCTCCTCACATTTTCCGCCTGGGAATACCGATAACATAGGCGTGTTGGAGTTTCAAGTTAAGATTTTCAATGCCATCACATCCTCCTTCCCTTTCCTAAATTCACTCATCAAACATCTGTTGAGGGCTTACCATGTGCCAAACTCTGTGCTAGGTACTTACAATACAAGTGAATCAGGTGATCCCTGCCTCATTGATCTCATTGTGATTGAGGAAACAGATACTGCTAATCATTTATCAAATACTCGGAACTTGCTAGGCTCTGTGCAGAGCTAATGTACTTACTCCTAAAATAGCACTCAATATCACTATGTTCATGAAATAAACTTACATCAGTAAAGAAATGGGAAAACTATATTTTTTTTTTTTGAGATGGAGTCTCGCTCTGTCACCCAGGCTGGAATGTAATGGCGCAATCTTGGCTCACTGCAACCTCCACCTCCCAGGTTCAAGCAATTCTCCTATTTCAGACTCCCGAGTAGAGAAGGGGTTTCACCCTGTTGCCCAGGCTGGTCTTGAACTCCTGAGCTCAGGCAATCAACTTGCCTCAGCCTTCCAAAGTGCTAGGATTACAGACATGAACCACCACACCTGGCACTATTTTTTTTTTTTCAAAAGAGAAGACCTAAGCCTCAGAAGAAAGAAGCCATAGCTGTCCCTCTCTTTTCGTTAAAAAAGTCACGCAGTAGCAGACAACTGATCACTCAGAGCTGTGATTCTCTGCCTCTCCCATCTTTCAATTCTGAATTGCAATTCTCCTGGAAAGAGTAAATAGCTTAATTTTTTTCCAACACTTTTTTTATTTTTATTTTTATTTTTATTTATTTATTTTTTTCTGATTCACAAATCCCTGTATCCTCATAAAAGACAAACTGGAAAGTGAAGTCTAAAGAGGTAATGTGATTTTATGTTACCTACAATTTTGCAGTGACAAATGACACTGTCATCTGGGACAGGCCGTCCAGGGTGGGAACCTATCATGCTGACTGTAATTGTTTTAGAAGCATTGACTTTGGCTGGAGTGGTTTCATCTCCCACCAAATGCTGAAAAGGAGGAGTTTCCTGAAAAATGATGACCTCATCATGTTTGTGGACTTTGAAGGTACTTTTCTTGGTCTTCCTGAGTAAATAATCCTATGCTCTTGGCACTCTACTGATTTTATCCTGATTTTAAAGCACACATGGAGGGTGGGGATGAGGTTAAAAAAAATGTGTTGTAGGAGAACCACATTTTCTTCAATTGGTCAAGGACTCACATCTTTATTTTAACTGTCCCTGAAAGAAACTGAAATTTTAGTGTCATCTTTTTGAAAATTTTATCAGAGGTAACAGTTCACTGATTTCAATTTAGTTTCCATCAGTCTATCCATGCTAACTTTATGCTTCATTTTGCAAATTCAATAAATAAAAATGTGACTGGATTACTTTAAAATAAAACTAGCTAGTACCGTGGGAATCAGCTGGATTCAAAGCCACTTTTCCATGTCACTGGGGGTGACATATCACTAGAGATAGAAGCAGGCTGGGGAACTTTCACCAGAAATGGGAGTTCACTGTAGTCAGTTACTAATCCTGGATCTTTCTCGTGACCCTCTATTTCCTGAAGATATCACCCACCTCAGCCAGACTGAAGTTCCCACTAAAGGCAAAAGACTGAGCCCCCAAGGCCTCATTCTCCAAGGCCAGAAGCAGCAGGTCTCCAAAGAAGGTTCAGGAAAGGCCATGTTAGAGGAAGCCGTACCTGTCAGCCTCAGCCAGGGGCAGCCCGGCTGACAGAAGCCGTCAGTGAAGAACACAGGCCCCCTGGAGGACCATAACTGGCCACAGTACTTCAGAGGCCCATGTGACCCAAACCCTTGCCAAAATGATGGCATCTGTGTGAACCTGAAGTGGGTGGCGAGGTGCAGGTAGGCTCTGTGGCTGGGGAGACAGGCAGGCCAGCAGACCTGGGCCGTGTGCATGCTTATGCCTGGTAAAGGCTGCTGTTTGCAGAGTAGGGCGAAGACTACCTCAGATGGTCAGCTGGATGCAGTTTTCCTTGACTCTACAAAGGTGTGCCCTGGATTCATGGGCTTACGCTGCCAGGACAGAGGCGTCCCAGGTCTCCTTGTCTCTTGACTTTCACCCCTTTTCCTCCTCTGGGGTATTGTCAACAGCATCTTGGATGTTGTTGGAATTTCTAACTCTAACAACATCCAAGATGGCTTCTAGCCTAGGGACTTTCTACTCCATGACAGTGGGTCTCAAGACCAAGCTTAAATCTTTGCTGACTACACAGATGTTATTATTAGCTCCTAATGATTATTAGTTATACAGTCTGTCATTTACACTGCACTATTATTAAAGTTATGTTTTCAATAATAGTAGTAAGAACACCTGATATTTCTGACCCCTTGTTATGCATCATGTGGTCTCCTGAGCATCTTACACGCATGATCTAAATTCATTCTCACTGCCACCTGTGACATAAGGGCTCTCCTTATCCCCATTTGGTGTATCAAGAAGTTGAGGCTTAGAAAGGTTAAGTAATTTATCTAAAATGTACCCAGATGGAAAATGCTGAAGCTGGGACTTGCATCTAGGTCTGTCTGGCAGCACAGTTTGCTATATTTAATGTTTAAATATTAAAAAGCAGTACAGTTTGCTATATTTAAATTTGAATATTTAAAAAGAACTTTAATAGTTCTTTTTATAATGTTTGCTTGCATAAAACCCTGAAAACTGTTTCACAAAAGGAGGTATGTGATGACAGAAGCAACAGTTCCATTTGAACAGTAGCAGATGTAGGAGCTATTCTGCCTACCTCAAAAATTTACATTACTTCTGAGTTCTTTTTAGTCTCCTTTTTTTTCTTTTTGTAGCTTTTGCTTTGAAATAATTTTAGACTTACAGATACCTTGCGAAAATACTACAGAGGCTTTCTCTATACCATTCACCCTGCTTTCCGTAATGTTGGCATATTACACAAACCGTAGTACAATTAGCATAGCCAAGAAATGAACATTGGTAGAATGCTAGTAAATAAATTACAGGCCTTATTCGGCTCTTCCCAGTTCTCCCACTAATGTTCTTTTTCTATTTCAGGATCCAATTCCGGATCTCACGTTACATTTAGTTTTTATGTCTCCTGTCTCCTAATCCCCTCCAATCTGGGACAATTCCTCAGTTCTTTCTTGTCTTTCATTACCTTGACACTTTTGAAGATTACTGGTTAGGGATTTTTTTTTGGTTCATCTTGTTCTCTCATGATTAAATTGAGGTTTCACATTTGTGTCAAGATTAGTAAATATGTGCTGTGCCTTCTTGTTGCATCATGTGAGCAGGTACATGATGCCGATACATGTAATTACTGGTGATGTCAACCTTCATCATCTGGCCAACAGCATGTCCACCAGGCCTCTCCACTGAAGAGTTACCATTTCTCCCTCTGTAATTGATACATATCTTGGGAGAGATAGTTCAAGACCATTGAGACATCCTGCTTTTCCTCAAATCCTCACATGCTAATTTCAGCATCTATTGATACAACCTGCTGCAATATTCACCACTGGGATCTTCTAATGTTGATTTCCTATGTCCTTCACATTCATTAATTAGAATTCTTCTGTAAAGGAGAATGGCCCCTTCACCCCGTTAATTTGTTTATGCGATTATAAACATAAACATTTATTTTAGTCAGTGGGCTCTGTTGCAATGATTTCATAATTTATTTTGTTGCTTCTATTGTCCCAGCTTTGGCCTTTGGGAGCTCTTCCAGGTTGGCTCCTGTGATCTTTCAACATCAGATTTTATGAACACAATGTTACTTTCTGGCACCATAGCATGCTCTAGGCTCATCTTTTATATTTCCTGCCCCACCCATAGAATCAATCACTCTTCCAAGAAGCCCTCTGGCTCCTTTTACTGGGGAAGGCCCATCTGTTTCTGGGCTCCAAAGCCATGGGTCTTCATATCTTTGCCTGACAGGTCCTTAGATGCCAGATTCCATTGTGTGCCCCCAACACGCTTCATCCTTCCCAGGCTAAGGGAGGCCAGGGTTGCCACTTGTATGTCAGCCTCTACTCAGCCAAACTATTCCTCTCCTAGAAACCTGCAGCTGAGAGTTGGCAGAATAAGTTTTTCTAAGATAACAGTAGGGGATATTACGAAGTTGTGTTTGGAGGGGACTGGGTCAGAAAAAAAATGAAATAAACTTGCTATTACTCACTGATTTCTAAGAAGTCAATTCTCAGGATAGAGATGAGGACTTGGAAGTTAAAATCATTCAGGATTAGTAAAAGAAAATGCTGACTTCTTTTTTTTTTTTTTTTTGAGACACAGTTTTGCTCTTGTCACCCAGGCTGGAGTGCAATGGCACAATTTCAGCTCACTGCAACTTCGACCTCCCGGGTTCAAGCAATTCTCCTGCCTCAGCCTCCCGAGTAGCTGGGATTACAGGTGCCCACCACCATGTCTGGCTATTTTTGTTGTTGTTGTTGTTATTTTTAATAGAGATGAGACCATGTTGGCCAGTCTGGTATTGCCATTTTGGCCAGGCTGGTCTCAAACTCCTGACCTCAGGTGATCCACCTGGCCTCCCAAAGTGCTGGGATTACAGGCGTGTGCCACCATGCCCAGCCAGAAAATGCTGACTTCTGATTGTTTCACTCTGCCTTGTAGAATTCTGCTGAGTAGACCTTCTAGTGGGAATGTTTGAAACAAAGGCTGGAATTTTTACAAAGGTATGGATGAGACACTACAAGTTATATGCCTTGGTTATGAGATTAATTCATCTTTATACCAGATAACATTAAGAAACAAAACTAAGGGCTGGCCATTATGTGCTTACTCTGTGTCAAATACCTTGATAGGTACAGTGTCCTCATTATCTCAGGTGAACTTCAGGGCAACCTTGTGAGATAGTGACAGTACACACTAACCTTACAGTAACATTTTATTTAATATTATTTAGACGTTTTCAAGCTACCACTGATGCTCTAAGTCAGACTGTATCTGGGGAATTTCCTTTGTAGCTTGTATTCTTAGCCAGTGTCAGGCAATGTATTCCTTTAAGTGTCTCAGACCGTCCTCCTGAATCCTAGGTGGCTGAGAAGCCTGGATCTGGAGGCATACCTTTTGGGATTAGATTTCAAGTGTGAAATGCTTACTAACAATGGGACCTTGAGCAAATTATTTAACCTTCCTGTAAGATGAAGATGATGAGAATGGCCAAGTAATAGCCTCCACCTCAAAAGTTGTTGCAGGGTTAAATTAGTTGGTCCATATACAGCACTTGAAATGGGACCAGGCACCACGTGGACCCGCTCAGTGAGCGTTTGCCATTTTTATTGCTGTGGAGATGAGTGTTGCTAGGAGGCACCTGAGGCCTGGGATTTCCCACACTCTCTTCATGTCCTTTTCCCTCAGATGCATCTCTGGACATGCTTTCTTCTAAATGGGAGCGCTGTCAGGCCATGCAGGTGCACGGCAGCGTCCTGGGCATGGTGATCGGAGGCACGGCTGGTGTGATCTTCTTGAGCTTCTCCATCATCGCCATCCTTTCCCAAAGGCCAAGGAAGTGACCTGCCTGCTGGCATTGGCCAGACCACAGCAGCACCTCCTCCATGCAGGCCTTACCTTCCAATGGTCAGTGCAGTTTGGGGCAGCTTTTTTATCAGCCTTGCTTTGGATAGGACCTCCAAGGTCTAAGGCCTCCAGCCCCATGTGTGACCCTTGTCATCTTTCTGCCCCACATAATTCTGTTACTCTGCTATGTGCTCCTAATGTATCTAGTGTGTCCTGTGACAACATTCATCATACTTCATTGTAAACCACTTGTTTGATTGACTGTCTTTCCTATAGACTGTAAGCCCCATGAGGGCAGGCACATGTTGTTATTGACCATGCTGGCCACGTGCCTAGATGCATGGCTGGCACATTGTGGGCACTCAACAATGGTTGAATGAATAAAACAATAAATGAATGAATAAGATATAGAAACTCTCATTTATATTGCAGATCAAATATATATGATGAAATTCTTAGGTTGAATATGTTAGAATCAAATACTCATTTTTCATTAGACACAGTAGTGTCATTACTCTTTTAAGATCTTGTTAAAGATTTCAAATAAAGGTACTTCTAGGCAGCCCGGCTTCACAGCATTTGCTTTCCTCTGAGATTCTAAGAGAAGCCCTTTAATAAATTTAATAAATATTGAGTTAGCACCTTCTTTGTATCTGGTATTGTATGTACATGTGGGTGTGCATGTGTGTGTTGAAGGTTGGGGGTGTTCAAAAGCTCTTTCCCAGATCTTTTAAGTTTAACAGTATATTTTATAGCTATTTATGTACAACATTATCATATTAACAAACAGAAGGTATCAGAGAACTTTAAAGAAGTATTTTTAGATATGCTTTCTTTCCATAGTTCCTAAGGAGATAAAAATCTAGCTGGGGCAAGGAAGTTCCAAGATAGATCAAGTGGAAAAAAAAAAAAAAGAAAAAAAAAAGCTAAAGTTTCTATACCCAATCAGCAATGAGTCAGCTCAGGAAATTTAATAAACAAAAATATTTTAGGGATTCTGAGTGGTCCTTTAAGTTATAAGGTTTCCTAAGTAGAGACTTTATGACAATTTTGTAGAGTTAAAATGCACTGGAAACAAAATGAGAGATTAACAAGAGTTTCTTTAATGCAAAGGTATGAGAACAATTTGTAGCAAGTGAAAACAGCACCCCTGAGGGCAATACCTCTCAAACTTGAGGTGCATCTGTATCCCAGGGAGGACTGATTAAAACAGATTACAGGGCCCCACACTTTACAAACCTCCACTTTCAGTAGAGCCTCCAGGTCCCTCCCAAGAGCTTCCGTAAGTCACCACAACCCAAGAGGACCAGGGAGATTCCCTCATGCAGATGTTCCCAGACCATGCATGTGATGGCATGTGGAGGGCTTCCCACTTTGACATCTTCCTGTCCTCTGTAGAAACTGGGTCAGTAGATCTAGGGTGAGATCTAAGAATGTGCATTCTTAAATGTGCCAGGATCTAACAAGGTATAAGAATGTGCCAGAATCTAATAAGTTCTCAGGCCATGCTGCTACTGCTACTGACTCCCCCACAACCCCCACCTCACAGACACCTTGAGAACCACTGCTCTAGTGGATAGAAAACAAGTCTGGAAGCCAAGCATCCTGGCTGCAGGCTTGGATTGCCCATCCAGCTGGCTGGGTAATTTTAGTAAGAAATCATTTAAGCTCTTGATCTTAGTTTACTAACTTGTCAAATGGAAATAATAGCTGACTATCTCCTTCCACATGACTTTACTACTTACAGAGTAGCAGAGTAATACAATGGGATAATGAATATGAACCTATCTCAGAGTTTAATATGTATGAAAATATTACTATTCAATGTTCAGACTAGATAGGAAGCTATCCTGTCACCAGCCCAGTTGTATTGTCTCCAAAGTCCAGATTGGAAATGGATTCCAGCTTTGTTTCTTGCTGTGCTTCACAGTCCTGCAAACCCTCCACTAACCTCATAGTTAGGCCTAAAGAAAGCTATGCCCTTAACACTCTGCTGAGTATCTGACCTCAGAAGTGAACTCTAGGCTTTGTTGCTGCTGCTGCTGTTATTGTCCTTTGGTTTTATTAAAAGGAACATGCTGTGGTCTGTCTCACATGGAAAGGCCCCTAGCCCAAACCAATGACAACATTTCTTAAATACATGAGTTTCTCTCTGGAAGAAGCAGAAGCTCAAATTTCAAAGATAACCTAGTATTTTCATCTAGTACTGCAAATTAAAACTGCTAGGTCAAAATAATGATAAGGAGGTACCAGAATGAGGGTAAAGCATTTTGATATTTATTTCTCTCTAGATTCTCAACCAGTACCATGCCTACTATCTATCTTTATCACTTTTGGTGATTAGTGGTCACCTCAGTTGATTAATGATCTGGCTCACCATAAATCTGACATGGTATTCAGCTTTTCTTTGAGCCCAAACCCTCAATCATTCCAGGAGGACTAGCAGATACTTTATTCTTTTGAGGTGTTGGGATGGTGATGGCAAAGTGGGCATGTAGGATGGGGAGTGGGTAGAAATTAAGCATTTCATAATCTCTAGGCAGTATGGAATTTGGGATTTAGATGAGCAACATGAAAAATGTGGGAAATCCTCCCTGAATCTGAGTGTCTGACTTCTTTAATCTTACATAGTGGGAATAAGTCATAGTGGCTTGAAATTTTGAAAATGTCTCATGCTTCCCACACCATATCCTTGATACATCCCCATCTGTATCCTTTCCTTCTGTGAACTGAGCTGAGCCAATCTGGCCATTCACAAATGTCAGGTTCTTTCAGTAATATCTGGAGCCTCTGATAATTAGAAGTGGATGGGAACTCTAACCCCCTCTCTGATTATGTTAAAATGAATCAAGATTTGAACTAAATTCTGCTACACATTCATATTTGTTAACCATTGTTGTGGGAAGTCAGGGACTCCAAACGGAGGGACCAGCTGGAGCTGCGGCAGAAGAACATCAATTGTGAAGATTTCATGGCCATGTATCAGTTCCCAAAATTACTACTTTTATAATTTCTTACACCTGTCTTTACTGCAGTCTCTGAACATAAATTGTGAAGATTTCATGGACATTTATCACTTCCCTAATAATAGTTTTATAATTTCTTATGTCTGTCTTTACTCTCTTAATCCCGTTATCTTCATAAGCTGAGAATGTATGTCACCTCAGGACCACTATTGTACAAATAGATTGTAAAACATGTGTGTTTGAACAATGTGAAATCAGTGCACCTTGAAAAAGAACAGAATAACAGCGATTTTCAGGGAACAAGGGAAGATAACCATAAGGTCTGACTGCCTGCAGGGTCAGGCAGAATAGAACTGTATTTTTCTTCTTGCAGAGAGCGTATAAACAGATGTGCAAGTAGGAGAGATATTGCTGAATTCTTTTCCCAGCAAGGAATACCTTGGGGAAGGAATGCATTCCTGGGGGGAGGTCTATAAATGGCCGCTCTGGAAGTGTCTGTCTTATGTGGTTGAGATGAGGACTGAAATATTCCCTGGTCTCCTGCAGTACCCTCAGGCTTACTAGGATTGGGAAATTCCAGCCTGGTAAATTTTGGTCAGACTGGTTCTCTGCTCTCGAACCCTGTTTTCTGTTAAGATGTTTATTAAGACAATATGTGCACAGTGGGACATAGACCCTCATCAGTAATTCTAATTTTGCCTTTGCCTTGTGATCTTTATTGCCCTTTGAAGCATGTGATCTTTGTGACCTTCTCCTTGTTCGTACACCCCCTCTGCTTTTAAAATCCTAATAAAAACTTGCCGGTTTTGTGGCTCAGGGGACATAACGGACCTACCAATATGTGATGTTACCCCCAGAGGCCCAGCTGTAAAATTCCTCCTTTGTGCTCTTTCTCTTTATTTCTCAGACCAGCCAACACTTAGGGAAAATAGAAAGAACTTACATTGAAATATTGGAGTCTGGTTCCCCCGATAAACCAACAAACCCACAAATAGCCATCCAACCTGTTTTGTATGTGTAGGGAAGTCTCTGCTCTGTCCTTTTAAGTGCTCCGCCACCAAGCCTCTTGGATTAAAGGTTCATTCTACACACATGCAGTCAAATAATCTGAAGGCCAGGATCAGTCGACTCTCTACCCTAGGGTTTCTGAACCTCAGCCCTGGTGATATTTTGAGCTGGATATTCTTTTCTGTGAGGGCTGTTCTCTGCATTGTGATATGTTTAGTGGCATCCCTGGCCTCTACTTACTTTATGCTCATAGCACACTTCCCCAGTAGTGACAACCCCAAATCTCTAAGACATTGACAAATGTCCCCTGAGGGGCAAAATCATTACTGATTGGGAATCACTGCTCTAGTTGGATGAGCCAATGAAAACTTGTATTAAGTGAGTGAAAACTAGGACCAAATAGAGTTCTAGTCTAAGGTTCTACCCCAAAAGTTAGTTCACTGGGCCTGCCAAAGTATTGTAACTATAGCTATCTTGACAATTGTATTTAACCAATGCAAAAATTATTTTAAGCATCCTTTATACTAATAACAAACCCTCTGGTATAGCTTGCTATAGAAATATTTAAAGTTTTGCAACAGATATTTCTCCAGTAGAGACTTTTGATTAGGATCTTTCAAATACTAACTAACTGCTATTGGAGTGTGTATTCCTTTTCAGAATACTTTGCATACTATTTAACCTCCCCCAGGGTGTGGATTATAGTCCCCCTGCAGGCTGTATACAGTGTAATACCTATATGGAGGCATTTACAAGCAAATTACAGATGATCTCACACCTTCCCTTCTTGAGCTCCTCCTTTCTCATGAATTATATCATCTGTTTTATGGCTTGATGAAATTTTTAGAGATTCTGAAGTCCACCTCTTGTATTTGGGTAAACTGAGGCAATTCTGGAGAGGCTAAGTGCCTTAGGCAGGTCACAGAACCACTTAATAGCAGAATCTATTATTCTTGTTTGACTACAGAAAACCTTAATAAGATTAGAGGTTTGGAAGGTGCTATAAAATATAGGCAAATCTATATTGAACACTATGTAAAGGTCTTTTTACTTGGTTTCCCTTATTAGGGATATTAGGTTTATGGATGATTTGTCACCTACTCAAATTTCTATATGTTTATAAATATGGCTAAAACATCTTTCTTATGCCAATTTTAATATAAATATGTTTTTCAAAAGTCTCTAAGCAAAGAAAAGTTTGAAAAGATTTATAGTTATCCTGTAGCTGTGAGTGTCATTTAGCAGACTCTTGAAAACCCTAATGAATGGGGGATGGGAGATAATGGAGTCAGGTGCCAGTGACCTCTAATGAGTACTGATGTGAAAAAATATGATAGGAAAGATTTGATATGGGTAAGGCAGCCTAACAGGGTGTGTGTGTGTGTGTGTGTGTGTGTGTGTGTGTATAAGAGTTGCAGCTAACAGTGATATCAGAGTAAAGACAAGACCCATCTCTCTTTGCCTTCCACAATTTTACCAAGGACTAGTCCTGGAATCCCAGAATGGATTGAGACATGGGCCTCATCTGGGTCACAGCATCCCTTAGGGCCTGGACAAATTTAGGACAAATTGACCCATGTGTGGCTCACCAGTTCAATGAAAATCATTAAAAACATTTAAAGATCCTATCTGGTCAAGAGAATAAAAGGAGAATAGAAAAATGGGGTCATAAGAAAGGTATGAGAAGAAAGCAGGAGGCAGAGGAGATGTTCAGATATCAGCCCCCAACAAAAATGGTCACCAACATCCATTCTTCTTTTCCCAGTAATAGAATCCCCAAACTCCAACTGGTCAAATGGCTACTCAGAGTCTAGTTTACCTTCTCCTGCTTCCTTTGCAGGTAGATGGGTGATATGGTTTGTCTCTGTGTCCCCACCCAAATCTCATCTTGAATTGTAATCCCCATGTGTGGAGGGAGGGAACTGGTGAGAGGTTATTGGATCATGGGGGTGGCTTCCCCCATGCTGTTCTTGTGATAGTAAGTGAGTTCTCATGGAGCTGATGGTTTTAAAGTGTGGCACACCTCCTTGTTCTCTCACTTTTCAAGTCTTGCTACCATGTAAGATGTGCCTTGCTTCCCCTTTGCTTTCCACTATGATTGTAAGTTTCCTAAGCCTTCCCCAGCCTTGCAGAATTGCTAGTCAATTAAATCTCTTTCCTTTATAAATTACCCAGTCTCAGGTAGTTCTTTATAGCAGCGTGAAAGCAGACTGATACAGTGAGGTAGTGTGATCAAATTCAGGCCAGTGGAATGGAAGAAGGAATGTTGCATGTGAGCTTCTGGGAAACTTTCCTAAAGGAGTCTTGGTGCACACCTGTAGTCCCTTCTTCTATCCTAATGACTGATAAGGGGATGTAATGGCCAGAGTGAGAGCTGCCAAATGGGGCCATGTGGTGACCTTGGGAAAAGCAGATTAAAAAAATAGAAAGTATCTGGATTTCTGAGGACTGCACCGAGCCAGGCTGCCACACCAGTCTTGGGCTGCTTATCTGTGTTAGAGAAATAAACTTCTACTTTAAGTCGCTATTATTTTGAATGTCTGGCATTCACAGAAAACATGATCCTAATGGATATAATTATTTCTATGGGGCCAGCACATGGCTCAGACTAAGCCAATCATGATACCCTGTACTGCCACATATACATGAACATTTGGAGAAGAAAAGGGTTAGTCTTCTTTTTAAATCTCAATCTATTGGTCTGTGGACCTCATAAATTCCTCTCCTTGAAGATCTACCTTGGAATGAAATGAATACACAAAGAGAGGCAACAACACAAAAGGAAGAGCCAGAACTCTGAGAACACTGTTTGGGCACCTGAATCTAGCTGTACCTGAAGGTGTACCAATCTACTATCTTTCCCAGTTACATGGTAAGTGCCCACTTTTGTTAAACTAATTTGATTGTGGTTCTGTTACCTGTGACTGAGAAAGCCTTAATTAACACCACTGTTATAGTGCATAATTGGCTCATTTGTAAAGAAAAGAAATAATGAAATTAGTTTGAAGATTAAATAAAATTATGTAATATGTAAGATTACCAAAACTGATTTGAAATGCAGACATGGGGAAGTTAACCAGGCTCACACACTTGTTATGTGAATTACTCACCCATTCTGGCTTCATAATGAGCACGATTTAAACTCAAACCTTGATAAAGTTATGATTTAGGATGTCACATACCTTTGACATTACTCTCAAAAGCTCTTAAGCATGAATTAAATGTGACAATGTGAAAGGCATATGTAGTTTGATTCTGAATAGAACCGGCGTCTAAATCTGAGTTCTGTCAAGATCTATCAAGAATTCTGAGTGTTGGATATTATTTAGACACGTAGGAAGAAAGTATGACTTCTCAGGAATGAAGTGTGATTCTGAGGCTGTGTTTAAATATATCAGGAGGAGAATTGAAACATTTGCCCTAATAAATTTGGCTAAGTCGTGATGCATGATTTATATATGTGTGTATGATACATATCTACTATAGTTTTTATGCACACACAGTAAGATGCAAAATAATGAAGGCTAACTTTATTCAGCAATAATTGCATGCCAGATATGATTTTGTAGGCTTTATAAGAATTTTATAACAACCCATAGAGCATGTACCATTATTATTTCCTTTCACATAGTGTAAATTGAGGCAGAAAGAGTTATTTTACCAAAAATCAAACTAAGAAGTGGTGGACCTACAACTGAAAAGCACACAGTTTGGCTCGAGAACCAATGCTGTTAACCACCATACCACATTTGCCAAACTGGCTGTCAATCAATGCTGAAGAACAGCCCAATACCCCTGTCCATGCAAAATGAAGCAGAGAATGCAAAGCATTCAAGTAGCAAATCAGCTGCTGTTTCAGTCTGCATATCAGAAGGAAAATCATGACTTAGCTAAACGTATTAGGACAAATGTCCCAATTCTCCACTTGATATGTTTAAACATAGCCTCAGAATCACGCTTCATTTCTGGGAAGCCATATTGCCTTCCTACATGTCTAAATGCCATTCAACACGCCAAGAATTCTTGATAGATCTGAGATGAAAATAAAAACAACGCTGGTGATTGAGAACTTACAAGAAGCTCACTTGACTGAAGACTCAAGCTGGGGGGTCCACCAGATAACTAAGTTGAGATCTACTTTCAATAAAGCAGCACAGCAGGAATTCTTTGATGTTTCACCAGAGACTTAAAAAGGAAGTAGGCGCACTCTGAAGTTTGCCCAGAACATTGGTCATTATGTCCTGGGCTGCCCCAAGGTGGAATTATAAAGTGAGATGAAGCTTGGAGAAGCCTTAACTCCTCCAACCTCTCTGTCACTGTCGTTCTCCCTATCATTTTTTGCATTTGAAACTCTTCCTGCTACGGAAGCCTACTTTTAAGCAAGTAACTGGCATCAGGTTGCATAGAGAAGCAATATAAGGTGGTGGATTCATGCCCATGTTCTAGGTCAGACACTGCATTTAGATCCTGATTCTACTGGTCCTCAGCTGTGTGACTGTGGGTAAGTTATTTACCTCTCTGTGCTTAGCTTTTTCCTCCAAAAATGCAAAGAAAAAGAATATTTAGTTACTTTTGGTTTGCTATAGAGTTTAAATGAGATTATACGCATAAAAATCTTAGAACAGCAGCAGGTACACAGAAAGGGCTCAAAAAATGTTGGTTAATATATTTATATAGTTACCAGCCATTTCCATTCGAGGGTAAATTTAAGTTACTGTGTTTCTCACCCAGAGGTGTATTTGCATACCTTTTCTCTCCTTGAGATTAACCTGAGATTAATCTTCTTAACTTTATCTGTCTTTGAGATTTCTGTTTTTGTAAAAGGAATGTCCAACATGAAGGAGAAGGTGTGAGAGCTATTCCAAGGGTATAGGAGCAACAGGCCAAGGTGCGTGACATCCCCCCAAACTGGGAAGCTGTCTGCCTCATTACTTAAGGCCAGTTCAGCTTGTCCCTCTACACCAAGGACCAGCCCTGCCGGCAGTTGGCCCTGTTGACTTCTCCTGGGTCTTCTCGGATCACACGTTAGCAATGTGTGCTCAGAGGATAGGAACTTGCCATCCAGCCTCAGCTGCTGGCTGGACTGTCAGATTGCCCTGGGATAGCTGCAGATTCATCTGCAGATTCATGATGGATTGAAAATGAAAATCCAGGCCAGCAGTGGCTTTCAATGGATGAATTAGAAAAGGGAATAAGACCACCTATGTTAATCCTTTTGCAGCTGCCTTGATGGAAAAAGTATTGGGTTCCCATGAAACATGGAAGGCACCCATTTTTCTTCCTCAAACGACCTTCCAGCAGCCTATCTGGAATGGGTGAACCAGATCTTTTCTGGGGCTTTCAGCTTTGCTGTTAGTGCCATAAATGAGATTCAGTCAGTAAGGGGGGGACAGAGAAAGGAAGGAGCTATCTCAGCGAGTATGCCTCAGAAATGTATGCCTGCCTGCAGGTGTGCTATGCACACTTGTAAACCAGTCTCTGAGACAGGTCTCAATCAACTTAGAAGTTTATTTTACCAAGGTTAAGAACATGCCTGGAAGAATGGAACACACAATCACAGAGACAGCCTGTGGTCTGTGTCTTTCTGCAAAGATATTTTGAAGGTTTCAGTATTTAAAGGGGAAAAGTGGAGGCGAAAGAGGGAGAGTATGGTCACATGGCATAATCCATGCATTGCAGGAGAAAAGGAGCAGGTAGGAAAATAGTCAGTGATGTATTCATCTCAGTAAATCAGTACTTTACATAAAAGGTGTACCTAGTGTAGCTCTCTGTGGAGATATCTGGCCTTTCATTTGTTAGCTACTTTCTTAGCAATAGAAGGAAAAGGCTGTTTCTTGCATGGCTCAGCTTCCATCTTAATTTTTTCCTTTTTGCATAGTGATTGGGGGCCCGAAATTTCCTTTGCCTTTCACGCACTGAAACGACGTGACTGGGATTTCCCTCCCTCCACAGTCCTACGTGGCTTTCTGACTACCCTTTCCCCTGTAAGGATCATAATATGAAAGTTAGGAGGCGGGAGTGAAAGAGATTTTTTTTCATTTCTGGTTTCTGTTATCCACTATGCCTTGACCTTCGCTCTGCCCATATGATCAAATGACTTCCTGAACGTAGCCCACTGGGCGCGTCATCCGCGGGACTGACTCTGCCTCCCACGGGCTTCCTGAGGCCGGACCGCCGCGGGGACGCCTCCTCTCACGCCCACCAGGGGCGCGCGAGCCTCAGGAGACGCCAGCAGTGGTTGCGGAGCTGCGGTGCTGGAAGCCAGCTGTCACTCCAACCCAGCTGGAGATTCCTGTCGGGAATGCTTGGGATAGGATAGCTGTGAGGGAGCCCCTGGGGCATGGGAAAACCCTCACAGTTCCAGAAAAAACAGAAAACGCATGCACCGTTTTTCTCGGTTAATCAAAGTCAAATTCCTTTTCCCGCAACTGCTGGGGTGCCGGCTGGCTGGCAGGATGGAAGAACCAGGATGGCACCAATCAAAATCCGAAAAAGGCAGGGTCCAAAGTCATTCCTGGGTTTTGTTGTTTAATGTCATCGGAAGTGGGCCGTGACAGCAATCTGCCCACCACTTGCCCAATCAGGTGCTCTTGACTTTCATACTGAGAATAAAGCCATTTTTCCCCCCGGGCTCCTGGGTTTGTTCTGTTTAGGCTTCAATAGTCACCGGCATCCTTCACATGGCTCTGCATGACAGAATAAAAACCCTGGGGTGGGAACAGGCTCATGTATCTCCTAACCATGCCACCATGTGTGCAGAGGGACCTGTCATGGACACTGGTGGCCTTTCAACTTCATTTCAAAGTTTACAGGTAAAAGGGGGAAAATGGGTGTGTATAAAATTATTTAAGAATAATCTCAGCACTTTGAGAGGCCGAGGCGGGTGGATCATGAGGTCAGGAGATCGAGACCATCCTGGCTAACACGGTGAAACCCCGTCTCTACTAAAAATACAAAAAACAACAACAAAAAAAAATTAGCCGGGCGTGGTAGCGGGCGCCTGTAGTCCCAGCTACTCCGGAGGCTGAGGCAGGAGAATGGCGTGAACCCGGGAGGCGGAGCTTGCAGTGAGCTGAGATGGCGCCACTGCACTCCAGCCTGGGGGACAGAGTGAGACTCCGTCTCAAAAAAAAAAAAAAAGAATAGGATGGTTGTGTCTGAATCATAGGACACCATGACCAAGGCCCCCACGCCCACCCCGGACACATACAGATGGTATTTGGAGATCAGAACTTGTGTCTGGCATAGAGCGGACTTCGGGAGTTGGCCCATCTCCCCTCTTTTCTTCTTCTGTCCACTAAAAGTGGGAAACTTGGTTTCCGTCTAGAATGTGCTAGAGGATAAATAGAGCCCTCACATCCTTTATATTCATCTATAGGACATGAGGGCTCTATTTTCAGCTGTCAATGAAAATTTCAAGCCATCCTCACACAAATGTTGGAACAGGCTTCTGTTTGTTCGTCAGACAATTGGTTCTGAAAACTTTACTTCAAGGACCCTTGTTTAAACCTTCTATAACGTGCTGGATCTTTGCACACGGCTTGGGAATGCGGATGGTGTGAGGGAAGCCATCAGCCCTGCCAGCCAGTTGAGCTCAGGGGCGAGCTGCCGGCCTCCCCCATACCTGGAAGATGGAAAGGATCGTTCGCTGTTTGGAGAATAGAGCTGCATTCTGGGTGACATGCGGAAGCCTGAGAGGCAGCAGCACCGCATTGCAAGAAGGCAAACAATTACTACAGAGACAGTGTTGCTGGAAGTCAGGGACCCCAAACGGAGGGACCGGCTGAAGCCATGGCAGAAGAACGTGGATTGTGAAGATTTTATGGACATTTATTAGTTCCCCAAATTAATACTTTTGTAATTTCTTATGCCTGTCTTTACTGCAATCTCTAAACATAAATTGTAAAGATTTCATGGACACTTATCACTTCCCCAATCAATACCCTTGTAATTTCCTATTCCTGTCTTTAATCTCTTAATCCTGTCAGTTGAGGAGGATGTATATCGTTCCAGGACCTTGTAATAATTGCGTTAACTACACAAATTGTACAGCATGTGTGTCTGAGCAATACGAAACGTGGGCACCCTGAAAAAAGAAGAGGATAACAGCAATTGTTCAGGGAATAAGAGAGATAACCTTAAACTCTGACCGCCGGTGAGCCGGGCAGAACAGAGCCATATTTCTCTTCTTTCAAAAGCAAATGGGAGAAATATCGATGAATTCTTTTTCCCAGCATGGAACGTCCCTGAGAAAGAGAATGCACACCTAGGGGTAGGTCTCTGAACTGGCCCCCCCGGGGCGTACCTGTCTCTTATGGTCGAGATTGCACAGGTGAAATAAACTCCAGTCTCCCATAGCACTCCCAGGCTTATTAGGAAGAGGAAATTCCTGCCTAATAAATTTTGGTCAGACAGGTTGATCTCAAAACCCTGCCTCCTGATAAGATGTTATCAATGACAATGGTGCTAACTTCATTAGCAATTTTAATTTCGCCTCCATCCTGTGGTCCTGTGATCTCGCCCTGCCTCCACTTGCCTTGTGATATTCTATTACCCTGTTAAGTACTTGATGTCTGTCACCCACACATATTCGCACACACCCTCCCCTTTTGAAAATCCCTAATAAAAACTTGCTGGTTTTTGTGGCTTGTGGGGCATCACAGATCCTACCAATGTGTGATGTCTCCCCCGGACTTCCACCTTTAAAATTTCTCTCCTTTGCACTCTGTCCTTTTATTTCTCAAGCCAGTCGACGCTTAGGAAAATAGAAAAGAACCTACGTGATTATCGGGGCAGGTCCCCCGATAAGACAGGTCACGAGATCTCATTAGATATTTCATTGTTATAGTATGGAAAGGAAGCATATTTGTGTGCTGGCATACATGATGTGATTTTAAATCCCAAGTGATAATTTTAGAAACCAACAGAACCTAATATTAAAGCTAAACTACTGTCCTCTTGAAATGATGAGACGCTATTCCGGTTGCCCTTTTAAAAACACAATCAAGAGGTAAGTTCCCTGTAAGTTCCACCTTCATTTTGGACACTTGAAGAATCAGTCTTTTACTGGCCTGGGTCACTCACTGGGTTTTCTCTTTTGGATGAGGAGGGCTTATTTGACTTCACCATCACATGGCACAAAATAAACGCATTCCACCTACCTGGCATTTCTAGGACCACCTATTTCTTTTTTTCTTCATGAGTGTGACTTCCTGCTCCATTCACCTCAATAACTCGCCCACACCTCCTTCCTATACTTAGTAATTACTGTAATCTTTCTCATCTCCATGTAACTTTTTTTTTTTTTTCCTGAAGCATTCCAACATGGATCTCTTTGAAATTCTCTATACAAACCACAAAAGGCCGTGACTTCCCACAGTCTTTCTTAATTTCTGGCCTTAGCGAAAACCTGAAAATCCCACAGACGTTTATTTAACCATTTCCCCATGTAAACAATAAGAAGTGGGGGAGGAGGATAGCAGACATCTGGCTTACTCAAGAGATGATGTGTTAGTCTGGACTTAGAATATTCCCAGAGAATATTCCTATAATCTGTATTAGCTTCTCATTTGTGAATGTTCTAACCTCACAGACTCTGACTCATTAGGACAAAGCCCTTTGCAAGAAACTGACTTAATGGAAAGCTCTTAATGCAAGAAAGTTTAGGCTCAGGGAATGGACTTTATACACTGAGAGATGTCAGGAACACAGGGAAGCACTGGGCACCTTACGAACAAAGTAGATCACACAACTCCATGTGCCTTCATTCTCAGGAATCTGCTACTAATAGCCTTGTAATCATTACTGATTGAGAGATGGCAACCTCAGGGCCAAATGAGGCTCCTGCATTCATAAAATTCTCAGCTTCATAACTGCTGTTCTACAATTTTGAATTCTACTGTTCATTTTAGGATTTTCCTGGGAAAGCGTAGTGGCTGGGCTAATGTGTATTGCAGTGGGCAGAAAACCAGCAAGTGTTTCTCCAATTATTTGCTTTCATAGCTTTTCTGGAATTTGGACCCAGTGCTGTGGCTTGAAAGGGTGAAACGCATGCATGCATGTATGTGCACATGTGCACAAGTGTGCATGTGTGTATTTGTGTGTGTTGGGGATAAGGGAACATGCCCCAGTTAACAAATGGAGCAGTGGGCCAGATCCACATCCTGTGTAACTCCCACAGGCTCCTGCTATGATGAAAGTTCCCTTCACAGGGTTGAACACAGTGATTCCCCAAGGGATCCTGGCTGAAGTGGGTGGAAGTTCAGCGTTTCTTGCCCCACTGGATTTTTGAACATGACAACCACATCCTGCTCCTGACACTGTGTGCTTTCCTTGATTGATCATGTCAAGATAGCCCTGCTAACATCGTGCTCCAAGCCTGGCTCGATTCTTCTTGATATAACTCCAGGAACCAAATCAGTCAAAGGCCTTCTTTCTCTAATTCTAATTCTAATTCAAGGGATTTCCCCCAACCCAACCTCTGTCTCCATCTTCTTAGTATCAAGCTCTGCCCAAAGTTGATCATTCCTGAAGAACAAGGCATGCACTTATAGCATAACAATGATTTCCTTTAGGGACTTTCAGTAATGCACCATTCATTTGGGACAGTGATGTGACAATTCTCAGGCAAATGTGGAAGTAGATGTCTATGTAATTTGTGAATATGTAGAAATAAAGAGTTCATTTACATCAACTGTCCCACCTCTGTCCCATACCTCTCCTTCCCCATGAAGAAAAGAGAGGCAGAAGTAGAATTTAAGTAGAATTTAAAATTAAAAATAAAAAGAAGATATTTTAAAGGGTTAAAATATTAAAAGAAAACTCCTTTGAACCTCAATAAAGAAATGGCTGTTGAATCTCAGCCTCTTTTGCCCCATCTTCCTAATGGCTGGGCCCATTTCTGTTGCCACACAGCCCACATATCCTAAGTAGCCCCACATCTCTATTTTTGTCTCATTCTCCTTTTGGGATCGGACTTTTATTTGCAATGTAGGGTTGCTGTATCAATAGCACATGGTTAACTCTAATATGGATGCAATTTTCATAAGTATTTATATTTTTTAATGAAATACATACACACAAAAAGAAAGTACACATGCAGATAATTCACAAACAATCAAATCCTTGGGAAAGTCTCTGCCATTTGTTCAACAAGGTCAAGTGTCATTAGCAGCATAGAACAGCCAAATGTAAAATTTCTTTCCAGGAGTTTTCCAAGTGGTTGGAATAAACACAAGTTAGACCATGCAAAATGCTTAATGTATATTGGTGTGGGAAAGTAAAGATGGAAACAGAGAATACCTAGGGAGCTATGCAACACACCAAGGGCCATTATCCACAGTAACAATAACAGTGACAACAGCAATAATAATGTACAATGCAATAAGATTATTAAAATATATTCTATAATGCACAGAGAAGTACCTGCTTGAAGCCATTAAATATATGACAGGGTCTGTCTTCAGCGCAATATATCAAATTTGGCAATTGAAAGGTATATAAAATATATATTTTTTGCTTTCAAAATATGGAACGAACTAAAATACAAGGCTTTTCTGATAAACGATAAAAATTCAATCAGCACTTGGATCTAATGACGTATCTTTATAATACTTCCTCTGTAGATACAGTCACTTAGTTCAAACCTTAACATACAAAGTTATCCTCAGGAGAATCATATTTCCTTCCATTCATTTCTTATAAATATTATTATCCACTTGAAGTCGTTCTGATGAAGGAATTTCCTCCCTATTTTTTCAGCCTTTTTTTTCTCCTCTTAGCTAAGAAGACATCAGGAAGACACTGCCCAAAGTATTCATTCCCCATGACTTACTTTCAGTTTCCATTTTTGAGCCATTAAAAAAAATTCTCAATGTTGCACTATCTGAGTGATTATATTAGATCATTAACATGGAAATCTTAAAACGTGGCCCTTAATGTTGTTTGTCTACATTTGTTCCTATTTTCATCTTTCTCTTTTTCTTCTTTTTCCCTTTCTTCCTGTTTCCCTCCCTTCTTTCCTTCCTTTCTTCCTTCCTTCCTAGAATTCACTGAAGTATTTCCTAGGTTGTCTTTTACTTACTATTTTAATCAAAGCTTATCTTTGTGCCCAATGTGTAGAAAGTGAAAATGTCTCTTTGAAATTCTATATTACAGTATAGACAGAGAAGTTGGGCCTTCGGGGGCTTGAGTTTCACTTAAATACTATATACATGTGGTATCACACAAGGGGGAGGGGGAGGGGGAGGGAACAAACATAAACATAACAATTATTTTCAGTCTGTCTTTACAAAAGAAAGCCTCTTCTCTATGAAAGTCTTTTTGGCATCTGCTCCTGGAAACCTGCCCCAAGAACACGTTCTCCATTGCTTTGCAAGGATCTCTTTTTAAAAGTACATCCATCCACTGTCCCCAGGAGGTCACGTATGTTGGATTATCCCGTTCTTAGTTGAGCAACGAATAAGCACTGGATGAGTTTTCCAGGGATGAGCTGGTTGCTTCTGGGGTGGAAACATTATATGTTCCTGAAAAAAAGAGCAGCAACTCAGCCTTGAAGACAAGCCATCATGAACTTTGGGGTGTGAATATCTCCTAAGGGACCCAGGGGAGCAGTGGTCTAGGCACTAGGTAAACTCAGCCATGCCTGGAAACCAACCCATACCTGCCCTCCTCCCAAGACCTAGAAATGCCAGAGAACTAACAGAGTTGTCATTCTCATGCATGTGTGGCAGCCAACAAGCAGTCACTTCTTCACATCATACCAGCAGCCAGGTTTCTACAAAGGACAGGAAGATGTCAAGGTGGGAAGCCCTCCATATGCCATCACATGCATGGTCTGGGAACATCTGCATGAGGGAATCTCCCTGGTCCTCTTGGGTTGTGGTGACTTACGGAAGCTCTTGGGAGGCACCTGGAGGCTCTACTGAAAGTGGAGGTTTGTAAAGAGAGTAAAGGGAAAGAAAAGAGAAAATTATAGGGAGAGAAAAGGCAGGACCAGAAAAGAAGCAGGAGTCAGGAACGTCAACAGAACTGCTGAGAATCAGTGCAGCAAGGAAGGCAGCCTCTGAGCAACTGCACAGGCTTGTGTCTGCGTGGAGGTGGGGACTGTGCACAGGGAGTGGGTGGAGAGTGTGTGTCGGGCAAGAAAAGGGTTGAAGTGCCCACCCTACCATCAAATTGCTGAACCGCCACCGCTAACAAAGTTTCTGTCATGGCCTGGGGTGATCTTAGGGGCTGCTGACAACATAAACCAAATTATGGTACTTATGGGGCCCCCAAACATGCCCAATTGGGACTTTCATAATCAGAAGTGAAGGTCCCCCAGTTTCATGGGTAATTCATCAAATTGAAGCAGAAAAGAACCCAAGTCCTCTGGAGTTTTAACAGTTATAGGCATTCACAAAATTTGCTTGTATGTGAAAAGCCTTAATCTGGAACATTGATGCATTTCTCAACTCTGCATTTGTGAGATCTGTTGAGTTTCAAAAAGCTAGAAGAAATCCTGGGGCTTATTTTCCTGTGGGGGAGGGATGGTGGCATGGGACAGGGGTTTCAATTTGCTAGAATAGCTGAGATCTGTTGCCCAAAGTTATTAATTCCATTCATTTCATATCTCCAAGGTAGAAATTTAACTGTGAATATTTCTAATAGAATAGCTAACTAGGGGGATCCCTTATGTAATGCAAGCACACTTCTATGTGCTTCCATGTGTAACACAAGCACACTTTATAAAAAAACACAAAAGGAAAACAAACCTACATAGTGAGATCCTGTAGTAAGATTTTCTAAATGTATTCTTTGCTGCCCCTTAACCCTGAAACATGACCTATCTACTCTTATTTGACATAATTTGAGAAGAACTCTGTGTTTGACAAGGCCAGCAATTTACAGTTCTCATTTTGATGGATGATATTTTGACAGACAGCTCTCCAAATCATTGTCTAGATTCTCCAAATCTTATTCTTTATGAGTTATTATAAGTTCCCAACAAAGGCAGCTGCCCTCTGTACCCACTTTTTGGTGATTTGTGAAAATGTAAGTTCCTCTATTTAACCTCTACCCCAAAAGAGGACATTTTAGGTAAATGCCATGAGTGGGGTGAAAGAGTAGGGGTGTTGAGGCTCCCCATTTGACCAAATGTGTTCTGGGCAAGCAGGGAGAACATAGAGGCCACTACTCACCTGTTTTACCAAACAAACTGTTAAATCTCCTTGATATTGGAGAACTCATAGAAAACACAGGTGTGGATGAACCCAGGGATGTTGACTAGAAGAGAGAAAAAAAGGGAAAATCACAAAGCAAATTTGTGGGACCAAAGCTGTTTACATCACTAGGAGGATTGATTTTCCACCCTCTAGTGGTCACTGCCGGCATCTCTAGTCCCACTCCCAGAGGTCACATTAAAATACTGGAATCTTGTCATCTGTATTAGAAAAATAACTGTCAAATACAAGTTTTATTGTTTGTTAGGCTTCTAGTATTTTCTGACATGTGAAAGGCAGTCAGATATATCCAAGGGCAATAGTTATGTTCCAAAATGAGCTATAGAAAATTTTATCCATTATTATTCTTCAACTTGTTTTCTCTAATGCCTTGAATCCCCCCAGAAGACTGCTTCTCATTGAACATTTGATTTCAACCTTCAGTTTATATCATATATTATTTTAAACCCTATTTAAGTATGTGGAGTAGCATCTCAATGACAGCTCTATGGCTCTGTTTAATAGGCAGAATGACTTGAGAAGCAAAAACAATTGAATGATCTATGCCAAATATAGCTGTTGAGGGAGATGGGTTTGAGGATGCAATATATTTAGCCTAATTGATCAAAATCCTGAAGAAAAAATTTAGTACTCTGTACTTCAGAATGCTAGTGGAATACATGAGGTTATAAAATGAAAAGTCTCTGCAGAGAAAAGGTTTACCTTTGAGTGCTGTGAAGACCATCTCGACAATGAAAACTTATTCAGCAAAGCTTCCTGTACCTGCATTGTTAAAAAGAAGCTATCGTAACTTCAACATGCCAGAAGCACTTCACGCTTTTCTAGAAACATGAAACTGTCATTGCTCTTACCTTCAGATCCTAGAGGCATCCAAAGAGTAAACTGAATAATCCCTGAGAAAAAAAGATTAAAAAGAAGTGCATTTTAATTATAGTCTATTGTCCAGCAAAAGAGAAAGTACTATTAACCTGGTGTTAAATTTGTACTACTTCTTTTTCTATCTGAGTTTATGGAATGAGTCCAGTCCATGATACTGTTCAATGAGATGCAGTTGGTCCACACCAAGGGACTCTAAATGTTATGAAGTTAGGAGGATATTTTCTATTTTCCCATTTTCCTTTGGTTGAGAACTGGAGGTCCTGTTGGTTATGCTATTTATACACCTCTTGTGTCTACAATATGCCTCACATAGTTGTGATGAGAATCTTGGTTATGGGGTGGGATAACTAGTTCCTTCCAAATAAGGCATATCATGAAGGTCATTACATATGAACTTTATAGCTTGGAGACACAGGCCCAGTAGTAGAAATTAAGGTTCATATGTTCTTGGCACAAGCATCCTGAAAGCAGTATCTCAAGTGCACCTCCAGCGTCTGCCTCTTCACAAGCTCACAGTGGCCTCAATCCTTGGGCAGGTTTTTTCCTATATTACCACCTCTCCACTGGGTGAAACAGAATTAATCACTTCCTTCCTTGTGGTTTAAAGGCTTGCTATCTATACCTCTGTTATATTTCTTCTAACAAACTGGTCTGCATTGTAATTAGTTACGTGCTGCAGGAGAGCAAAGAAGATGTTTTTTCATTGTAGTACAATCAAGCAGATTGTCTGGCATTCACAGGACATTCGTTCTTTGATTTTTGATGTTTCCAGAGAAGCTGCTATGTGGTACACAGGATTTATTTCATTCAAATGATTATTGAGAACCTACTCTGTACCAAGGTCTCTATCAGGCATAGAGGTATAGTGATGAACAAGAAAAGGGCAATCCCTGTCCTCACAAAGACAGGATTTTCATTTAGGAGATAATAGACTGCATCAAGATAATCTTAGACAAATGGGGATTTTCCTTTTACTGGTGTAATCAGGGTATTTAGCAGAGACTGGGAAATGACACTAAATTATAATGTAGGTGATAAAAAGCATGAGGTTCCATAGGATCAGAAGAATGTGTTCTTTCCATCTCATTGAATTCTCATTATTACTAATCTTTAGAGCTGAGGCTTCCTCTGGGCTGAAATCCTTCCCCATTCCTACTCTTGTTTGTGTTTCTATCATTAATTTGTCCTACAGGAATAAAATCTTCCTGAAAGTCCCGCACTGTAAAACTCACCTGGAAGACATTGAGGATGGCAAATACGATATGGAACACAAGGTTGGTCCCTGGGAACACAGTGGTGAGATCAAAATCCCAAGTGAGGCCCCCAGAGTGGCGTGAGGACCCCAGTGCTCTTGCTGATCTGAAACAGGCTGCTCTTCTCCTGCTTGCATGGCTTGTCTCCAATGGAAGGCCTCAGGATCTTGGTGATGACCACAATAGTGATGGTTATGTTCACCACCACAATGATCATTGCTGGGATGGCAAAAGCCAGCAGGGCCTTGGTGTCCTCCCAGTTGAGCCAACAGACATTCTTCCTCATATAGACTTCCCAGGGCTGGGTGGCTCCCAGCACGATGACAGAGATGGCCGGTAGGGCAGCCGTAGCCAAGACAGAAGGCAATAGCTTTCTGAGTGGACCTGCTTGTTTCGTGCAGAATGAAAAGCAGGCGATAGAACAACATGAGGCCCAGTGTCAGCATCCAGAAGAAGATGCTGAGGTAGAAGAAGTGGATGAAGAAGGTGGCAGCCACACAGGCTGTCTTGCAGAGTACGTAGTGATTGTCCTGGATGGCAGCAACCACAATGAACCAGGTGTTGGCGACCAGAAGGGAGGCAGCAATATTCACTATGCAGGTGTGGTGCATATAGGAAGTCTGGTTCTTGGTCACTGATTTCCACACCACAGTTTCCACAACTAGACAGGCCGCCAAGCTGAAGATGGAAAAGCCCACCCCAACGTAAGAAATAATATCCAGTAGTATTCCCAGGAGAGAACCAGGATTTGGGGAGTCAGGGGACATGAGAATGGAGAATGATGTTAGGTGGTCACAGATACAGGTGACATTGTCCCCATCACCTTCTTCAACATAGCACCCACTGCTGTCCCACCCCCCCGTGTTGTTGGAAAGCCTGAAGTTCCAGAAGACACATGTTGTTTCGCCGCCTGAAGGGCTGTTGTTCTTAAAAGTCATTGAAATCTTGAATGGCATAGTCACATTGTGGCTGACAGTGGTCGTCATCACTAAGCTCTCTGCAAAATTATTTTCCTGGATACCCTGGGCAAGGATGGCTTGGAGAGTTGGGAAAGCCATGGTGACAATAGGTGAATCTGATGGCAAGTTTTCTAGATAGCTCTTGTCAATGACCACATTGCCCCAGAGGTCAAAGTATGGGAAAACAAACCTCTGTTGATAGGTTTTTGGGTGGCTGGACATGATTACCATGCTGCTCATCTGCACATTAGTTTGGGAGAAGGACAAAGGAGGGCTATTTCCTAATTGTAGTGCTTGGGAAAATCTTTCCACTGAATGTAGTAGCTGTGAACTCTGATTGGTCCATTGCTGTTGTAAAACCTTCCAGGTGTTCAAGACGGGCTTCCCAAGGATGACATTAACCGTAGAGAGCACGTGCTGAAAGTGAAATGGTATGGGGTCAAACTAACCGAATTCTTTCAATCATAAAAAAGAAAAAAACAACATCTTCCTAGAAACTGATTGCATAAAGGTAAGAGGAAACGAGAAAACAAAACTGAGACATCACAGGCAGTGGGGATGTATGACCTTCTTATGGCAGAGTTTAGCAGAGGATGGGTCCCCAAGACTGAAAGATGTCAGTAAGCACTTAGCAATGGTGACAGTGAGAGTCACACCCACTACACACCCTACTCTCTAAGGTCAATTCAGCAGGCTGGCAGGGATGTTTACTATTTTATTTTATTTTATTTTAAATCTTAAGCCTGTATTTTTAGTAGAGATGGGGTTTCATCATGTTAGTCAGGCAGGTCTTGAACTCCTGACCTCAGGTGATCCATCTGTCTCAGCCTCCCAAAGTGCCTGCAATCCCAGCTACTTGGGAGGCTGAAGCAGGAGAATCGCTTGAACCTGGGAGGCAGAGATACATTTTTCCTGCTGCCCACTCTTCTCCCTGCTGCAGTCCCCTTTCTCCTGAGCACATGTCTGGTTGTAGCTCTGGCCTTCCAAGATTATAGCTCCTGCTGACTGGTGACTTACAGGTGTGCATATCTCATGACCTCTGGAATAATGGCTGGCAGTCTTTTATGTCTACACCTTTGCAGAATTCAGGCTCCTCTCCTCCCAGCCTGGTGGTCTCTCATTAGCTTTGTAAAGGTGGTTGGGTTTTGGAGATGGACTATTATTATTTAAACTGTAAACTACATGTCTCCCAAAGCTAGCCCATCCTAAGCCCAGTAATAATTAAGGCAACATGAAGGTAAAATATAAGAGGGAAGTTGGCTATATTAGATCTTCCCCACTGCCATAATTTTCTCACTGTTATAATTATTGCAAATGCAGTTTCAATATGAGTTGTTTTTCAATTCAACCTCTGGCTTTCTAATTAAAAATGATTAGTTAAACACATGTGCATCTTCTTCCTATTCTACCAACATCCTATTGAAATGACCATGTGATGGACAAAAGAGAAGATATGTGTCCATGCTGAGAACAGGATGCAAAACCCTCAGCAGACTAGAGGGCAGGAGGAGATGGGAACACACTGGGATGTGTAGCCCGAACGATGCAAAGAACAGAGTTGAGGGTGAGATGGAAACCCCTCACAAAAGAAAGATTAAAACAAACCTAGAATCCCAGGCATGCCTCACAAGCAACTGCAGTGCTATTAAAACAAACCTAGAATCCCAGGCACTCATCACAAGCAACTGCAGTGCTATTAAAGGGCTGTTTATGGATCAGCTGGGCCAGTCAGCTTCCCTTCTCCCATCCTGCAACTCCTGGCAGTAGCTGGCAGCAGTTATTTAAAAGAGACCAGCCAAGCCAGTTCCTGAGTGAGTCCAACCACAGTCAGCCCAGGGCCAGCCTTGTGGCTCCCAATCTATGGTACTGAGGGTCACGTTCATTAATTACATTTCCAATGAAACAATAATTGCCTTTAGTAAACTACAGAAGCATAAGTAGAAGCGATATTGTAGTAAATGTCTCATATCATTACTTCTGCCAGAAATACCTCTGCCCTTGCATTTTCAAAAGATATTTGCTGCACCCTTTTCTGAAATATACTTTTATAATCTCGATTCCTTCAAAAACCTATTTATTTATTTATTTATTTATTTATTTATTTATTTATTGTATTTGAGACACAGTCTCGTTCTGTCACCCAGGCTGGAGTGCAATGGTGCCATCTCTCCTCACTGCAACCTCTGCCTCCCAGGTTCAAGCGATTCTCCTGCCTCAGCCTCCAGAGTAGCTGGGATTACAGGCGCCCGCCATCACACCCGGATAATTCTGGTACTTTTAGTAGAGATAGGGTTTCACTATGTTGGCCAGGCTGGTCTCGAACTCGTGACCTCAAGTGATCACCAGCCATGGTCTCCCACAGTGTTGGGATTACAGGCGTGAGCCACCTCGCCAGGACCAAAAACCTAACTTTAATTATTTCCCTAGCCACTATACGGATTATTTTATTTAGTGCTTTTTTACACCATTACATATACATATAAGGAAAACTGGCATCTTTTACATATTTATTTATTTTTATCCTGTTTTCCTCTAAAAACTATTAAGGCAACTTCCAAAATATATTCTACATAATGAGATTAATAAACAAGTAAAATAAATCAGTAAGAAAATCTAGTTTGGATTGTTATGAGTTAAAAAATGAATACACAAAATATAACATGATATTTGGTCTAATATAGGCTTCCCGTGCCCTCCCCCCTCCTCCGGCCACCGCCCCCAACCCCCGCCCCAGAGGACACGGGGACATGGATGCCCGGGTCTGAAGCCATGGCTGGGCAGCTACCCTTGCGCCTGGGACTGCAGGGCTCCCTCCCCACCAGCTCAGAAGCCGGCAGGGCTCTTTCCTTCCTGTTCTCAGCTCCCGCGGGCTCCACCAAGCGCGCGGCCCTGGGACGCCTCCCCTGCTGCAGCCAGCATCTTGGCAGCAGCCTCTCCAGATGGGCCGCTGCCATCAACACCACCCCAACCAGTAATGTGGCTCAACCAGTTCTGCCATCCCACCCAGGAACAGAAGGCAGCAAGAAAACCTCACTTTGATCCCCCTGTGATTCCATCTCCAACCTGACCAATCAGCACTCCCCGCTTCCTGAGCCCCTGCCATATTATCCTTAAAAACTCTGATCCCAAACGCTCGGGGAGACTGATTTGAGCAATAATAAAACTCCAGTTTTCCGCCCAGCTGGCTCTGCAAGAATGACTCTTTCTCTATTGCAATTCCCCTGTCTTGATAAATCAGCTCTGTCTAGGCAGCGGGCAAGGGGAACTTGTTGGGCGGCTGTGTGTGTGTGTGTGTGTGTGTGTGTGTGTATATATATATATATATATATATAAGCACTCACATACATAAATATATGTAATATTTGCAACTGGAAGTAGAACAGGACCTCCTAATCCAGAGATGAGCTCCTGTAGCATCAGGATGACTCCCTGCCAGGTGGAGCCTCCGTTGTGGTCATACTATTGAGGGGACCCCCACCTGAACGCCAGTCCTCACCCCTGATTCAGCCATTCCACAGATATTTATTCAGATGTTCCAGGAACTATTCTAAGGGCATCAAGTGCTGTTCTTGTCACAGGCAAAGGAAGTCCCAAAGGGAAAGTGTCTTTTCCGGCGGTGCCTGCCCCACCTCCAAGCCTGGCACCTTTCGAAATTTATCTTAGGACATTTCCGACAGGTGTTGCTCTTCTTCAGCTTTGTCCTGGCATAATTTTGTTTCCCAGGAGCCTTCATTTTCTTCCTTCATTGATCCTACATGTGCTGTAGCTAACAGGAATTCCTCAGAGCACGTAGCCTTTGGATAGCATGGTTTCACGGTTGTCAACTCTGATATGTTTATCTATACTTTAAGCTTCGTGTAGTTTTCATTAGGATTTTTTGAAATGCACAGGATGATGTAGGCTAGAATGGTAGGTTCGATTAGCTATGTTCCTTGATGATTTCACAGCCAGTTATATTTAAATAACAAAACTATTCAGATTTATGCTTCTACGATAAGAGATTTCAGTATTTTTGAATCAAACCATTTTAAGGGTTTTTTTTTAATGAAACACTTATTTACTTAAAATGATTACATAACTCTCCCCTTGCATGCCACATTTTAGGCAAAATTAACAGCATATTCCTAAAACCCAGCTTACTAAATTGCTTCTCTTGATAGCTTTTTTTTTTTTTAAGTCCAAGAAGAATTTCTAATTGGAAGCTTTAATTGTAGTGAGCTATGTACTAGCCAAGGAAGGCAATAAATTGAAAATATGCTGTTTAATTTTGTTGTTGTTTGTTTGGCTGGAGAACACTACAGTTTTATTTCTATTCATAAACCAGTGCTTCCCAACCAGGGCTGTTTTTGCCTCCAGGGAAGAAAATGTCTGGAGACATCTTGGGTTGTCAAAACTGGGGGTTGCTACTGGCACTTAGTGAGTACAGGCTGTGGATGCTGCTAAACATGCCATCGTGCACAGAACAGCCTGTACCCTCTCTTCTCCTCTGCAAGAAGAATTAAAAATTATCTGACTCAAAAGGTTAAGACTGCTAAGATTAAGAAACCCTGCCATCGACCAGTGGAAGTAAAAATTGTAAGGATTTATTATTTCAAATCTATACAGCTTTACCTCATGAGTTTTACTTTTTCTAATTCTCTTTAGGGAAGTTTCTCTTCCCTCTCATTTTCCAAACCAAGTTGTGATTTTGGGCGTGAACTACTACACCCCACAGCCCAGCTTCTGCGCTTGAAGTTGTTGTGGATATGGGCTCCATGCTTGTAGTGGCGAACTTCGAGGCCTATCACATGTGGCCTGTCACGAGTGGTCTGAGGCTACCCCAGACCACTCCATCACATGACCTGTGCATACACCTTACATCATTCCGAAATGCCCTTCACATATGCCCTCTTCCAGAATATAGAACATCTTCCTTGCGTAAATACTTTCAAGGAAAAGCTGGCCACACTCTGACTACTTAAACCCCTTGAAGTTTTGTTCTATGAAAAACATAAATGGTGGTTCAGCTGGCAGCATCCTCAGTAACACTCTTGATATTTTCTATCCTCTAATTTTCTCCATCTGTTTGAGAGAACACACTTTGGGTTATCTAGGGCCTATGCCAAAGGAGGCATTGTGGATAAGTGTGACTCAGCCCTCCTCAACAAAAAATTACCTTTCAATACAGGGCAGAAGCTTATGATATTAAAACTCATGTGGTTCCTCGAGAATCTCCTCAATACACTTTCCTCGTGAGCCAGGGGTGAGGGTAACTGGCAAAGCAATCAGGTCTTGGCGCCAACAAAATCCCATTTCATCCCTGAAATACAAGGCCCATCAGGACGTGACATCTGTCTGTATTACTTCCTACTGTATAATCCCCAGTAACTAGAACAAAGCAGTTAAACAATATTCAACAGTCAGAAATATATTTATCATATGCTGCTAAAAATACCCTCCATTTTCTAGCTCTCTAATCAGTTAACATGTGCACATTTAAACTACATCACAGCATTGAATTTGTTCTATCTGTCTGTATGGACACAATTGTGCTGCTGACAATTTAGTCAAGTGTTTCATCTCTATGTAGACAACCATCATGTAAGAATTAATGAGAATTTCCTAACATCATGGTGGCAACTGGCAGCTATTGTTCTGAAAATTTCTAGCTCTGAAAAATTTTAGGCCAACATGTTTACAGTAATGTTTTAGTTTAAAGAGCTTGGAAATGGGGTTTCCTGGAATATATTGGAATAAACCATGTATTTTATTCCCAGTTTTGGGAGACATCTGCTTTCCTTATGTTCCCCAGGCTACCACCATCCAAAAGCAGAAAAGCCATTTAGGGAACCAAGAGTTTTAGTCAAGCTATTTAACTGTCATCAGAAATAAAGAAAAAAAATCACCTTTACAGCCTTCTGGGTTAATTTTTATAAGGTGGTTTGTCTTCATTCAGTGGAAAAGAATAATCTTAACTTCAGGTCATTGGCAGGTCAATAAAAGCTCTAAAGCTAAATTTTCACCAAAATCTCAGTTGAGATAAGTAATATTTAAGGATTATTTGGAAGAATAGGCTCCACTGATTTCTGTAATAACCAAAGATTTAATACTGGATTAATCCAAACCATCGTATAACTCCATACACAAGCCATATTGTCTGGATTGTCCAAGAAATTGCTTTTAAGAAATTGTCATATACTTATGGTCCAAAACGTGTTTATTATAGTTTTATTGTTGAGGACAATGTCCCCTTTATCGCTTGGTGACTCCAATTAAAGACCCCAATAAACATTGCTCTCAGACTTGATTTTGACAACAAAACCTCTCACATAAAATACTGAAAGTATGAATGTTAGAATTCTTTTTTATTTCCGGGAAGCTGAGATACAAAAATTGAACCAAAATTCAGTGACATAGATCTTTATCATATCTTGCGTGGTCCTCTGAAATAGGAAGAAAACATTAAATTTTAACTTTTGACTTTAGGGTAAAAAATCACTTTTATACAAATCAAAAACAAACAAGAAAAGAACCCCATACAAATTATAGAGATAAAGGCCGAAAAAATTGACCATAATAAAATAAAATTTCTGTGCAACAAGACACTAGGAATAAGTTTGTAAGAAAAGCTAGTGGGAACAAAAAGATATTTACAACATTATTGAAGACATAAAGATTGATATCCAAAATAAAAACCTCTTATTAAAGAGGAAAGAAAAAGTAAATGAAAGTACAAACAGATTAAGAAGAGAAAACAGGGCCGGGCGCCGTGACTCATGCCTGTAATCCCAGCACTCTGGGAGGCTGAGGCAGATGGATCACGAGGTCAGGAGTTTGAGACCAGCCTGGCCAACATGGTGAAACCCCGTCTCTACTAAACATACAAAAATTAGCTGGGTGTGGTGGGGGGCACCTGTAGCCCCAGCTACTCGGGAGGCTGAGGCAGGAGAATCACTTGAACCCAGGAGGCAGAGGTTGCAGTGAGCTGAGATCATGCCACTGCACTCCAGCCTGGGCAACAGAGCAAGATTCCATCTCAAAAAACAGAAAAAAGAGAGAGAGAAAACATTAATGACTAACAAATGTATCTAAAGATTCTCAGACTCGTTAGTAGTCAAAAAAGTGTACATTATAGCAATGATGAGAGTGCAATTCTCTTTATCTGAACTGGTAAACATAAAAAAGTCAGACAAAATCAAGCATTACTGAAGTGACGATAAAGGAGTTATCTGGTGATGCTAGTGGGAAGATACAGTGGCTGTGCGAGGTGATTCTACAACATGACTTACAGGCGAGTACTCATGCGCACCCTCTGCCCCAACAACCTGACAGCTCTTCCCCTGCCATCTTCCATGGTCCACACAAACATGCATGAGTGTGTCCTGGGCAGCTGCACCCTCACCTTTGTGCATCACAGCAGGGTCCACCTGCTCTGAGTCCTTATGACATGACGCTATTCTCGGTGTTCTGATATGTTCCCGACACGTACAATGGCTCCAATCAGCCCTACTGCTGCCTGGAACAAAGAGAAACTTTGGTTATATAGTGAGTATTTGCATAAAGACCATTTTCAAAGAGCAAGAAGACTATAAAAGAAATAAATTTGTGCCTGTATATGGACTCCCTAAAGCTGTCTCTGGCCTCCAGTTTAAAAACATCTAGAATCTAGCCAGGCCCTTGCCTTTCCTTGAAGCACACTTATCTGCCTAGAATTAGGTGTAAATAATTTTGTTCTATTTCCCACCCCACGATTCTGAAGAACTGGCTCAAATGTACCCAAACTCTGGTACACATTTGTCAATGCTGCCTCTTACAGGACAAAAAAAACTGAGTATTTTCTTTCATACCCTCATACACTTTCCACATTGAAAATGTGGGATATTCTGTATTTCCACAAGCAGTTCTTTCTCTCTCCTTTATCTCTCTCCTATTTTTCTTGAAACCCCTACTCTCTCACTCTGTGATTTGTCTAAATATAATAAAGATATAGGTACAAAAAATATTTTACTTTCCTCTTAATTCTACTATGAGAAGAAAGCATCAAGTTCAACGATAAAGGGCAGCTGGTAATTGACCTTAGGTGTAGGGAGAAAGACACTGGTAGGGATGAGGCAAACAAGAAAGTCTGTTTTCCATGTAAAGTGTGGAACAGTTTCTCAGCAATTGCTGAGATCAAGGATAAGCCCTACGGGTTTGGTCAGGAAAGAGGACCCCTATTACTCTGAGAGAATGCAGAAATCCCTCCGTTTTGTTGTTGTTTGTTTTCTCTGAGCCCTTGTGATCTGGCCCCCAAGAATTCCTGTGGTGGCAGCAGTAGGTGGTGCCTAGGAGAAACAAAACACTGAGGCCAGGGCATCTTCCTCTCCAGTTGGTGCAGTAGTGATCCCAAGAGGGTGATGCAAACTTTTTAAAGTCTTTTCTCATTTTGCCACCTGTCACCTGGCTCCAAACATGGGTGCAGCCATGAAACACTGTAGCAGAGTACCGTAATCAAAGACCCAGCATTCTGGCCAGAAAACAGAAAAGAGGAGCTCCAGGGAACCAGAAAATATTGGAGACATTGTGGAGGGGAAGGAGTATGAGAAAGTGACACCATAAAGTTTTTAATGAACTGAGCGCATCCCCAAGCTGCATGTGTGTGGATCTGCTCCTAATTAGTTAACCAAAGATTTTGAGAACGAAGCTAGCAGATTATCATCCGAGTTCCACACTGACCACCAGGACATATCTGAAGAAAACTGGAAAGGCTTTGAAAACTCAACTGATTGTTGGAACCACAGCTCACAAAACACAGATTGGAACTTGCAGCTTGAATATGACAAGGTCAATTGCTTCTAAAACAAAAATAGCATCCATCCGCCTAATATTTTATGAAGATCCAGAGCCTCAAAACTTAATGTCCATGACACAATCCAAAATTACAAAAAAACAGATAAACTGTACCCCACATGAGAAAAGACAGTCAGTACTAAGTAGCTACCAATACTGAGAAGAAAAATAAATTTGAATTACATCACAAGGATTTTAAAGCAGCTTTTATAAAAATGTTCCAACAAGTGGTTGCAAACACTTTTTTTTTTTCTTGAGACCGTGTCTCACTCTGTCACCCAGGCTACAGTGCAGTGGTGCAATCTAGGCTCACTGCAACCTCAGCCTCCCGGGTTCAAACGATTCTCCTGCCTCAGCCTCCCAAGTAGCTGGAACTACAGGCATGCGCCACCACATCCAGCTAATTTTTGTATTTTTAGTAGAGAAGGGGTTTCACCATGTTGGCCAGATGGTCTCGATCTCTTGACCTCATGATCTGCCTGCCTCGGCCTCCCAAAGTGCTGGGATTACAGGCGTGAGCCACCATGCCCGGTCGCAAACACTTTTATACCAATGGAAAACTAGAAGTATCAGAAAATAAATAGAAGATGTAAAAAGGAACAAAATGAATATATTAGGACCAAAAAATCCAATAACTGACATACAAAATTCTAAGTAAGCTTTTTATTACAATAAAACTAAAGAGGTAAGAATCTGTTATTGTGAATATAAATCAACAGAAATTATCTAATCTGAACAATAGAGAGAAAGAAAGATGAAAAAGTCTCGATTAGAGCCTTAGAGACTTGAGGAACAATAATTAAAGTTCCAACATACATGTCATCTGAGTCTCAGAAGGAGAAAAGGAAAAGGAATGCAGTGCTGAAAGAATTTTGAAAACCTAACAGGAAAAATTACCCAAATTTGGCAAAAGGCAAACATTAATTGAACTAAAAGAAGAAATCAACAAATGTACAATTATGATTAGATAATTCAACACTCCTCTCTCGCTAATAATTAGTGAACATTTGAAATTAATTGATGGTAAGTTTGATTAATTCTGAGATTTTTAGCAGTATTGTTTATCACATATAATTAACAGATCATTTCTGTATAGCAAACAAAAATGCATTCTGAGCCACATGTAATAGTTCATCACACAAAATGTTGAGTTAATGCCAGTCAGAATGTCTCTCTTCTTCCAGTACAGGGATTACAAAATAATGACAAGACCTAAGGTCATGTATGCAGTGATGCACTAAGTACCTTAAATAATAGGACATGAGATTGCAAGCACAATGCAGTCACTATGAATGAGAAAATTATGTAAGAGCTCAAGTTCATGTGCTGAGGAGGCTTCTGAGAAGCCTTAAAGGATATCTGACCAATTCAGCTGTTACTGGGTTAGACTATTAATTGTCTTATTGCCTTAACTCTCATCAAAAAAAGACTGTTCTGCAGGCTTTTTTTACTGTGGGCAAGTGATTAACAACACTCCAGCTAGAAAATTCTTCCTGATGTCTGTCCTGAGTCTCTCCTGATCTAACAAGCAAGGGTATACAAGAACTTATCAGTTCCATCATCAATTACAAAAAAAAATTAAGTTGTCATAAGCATAGTATACGATTTAACGATTTACTAAAATGCAATGGTAGTCAAGCTATCAGAGGATGGAGGAACCTCCATTTCACCATCTGGTTGTTCCTCTTTGTTCCCTTTAGGTGAGTCTGAGCCAAAAGACCCAACACTAATCACAATGCTTTGTCCATTTCAGTAGGCATAATTCCTTACAACAACAAATAAAATAATCCCTAAGCATTTATTTCATAAAATAAATGTATTAGATATTTTGGCCTCACAAAAATAAGAGATAGAGTCTACTCAAAACAGTGTTTTGTTTATCATTTTCATAAATTTCAAATTAGAATGTAAAGTTTATCATATCTCTTCCATTTGTTAGGATAGTGTTAGTAACATTTATAAAATCATTTTCTTTCTCCTGTATTTATTTGACATAAAATGTGTCATTCTCTGAGAATATAAGATGAAATCATTCCACAGAAGAATTACTTATATGCAGAGTTATTTATGTGTAATAGTACTCCATAAATTCCCTTTGAGGGCCTTTTTCCATTCAGCAAGAAGAATGTCTTGATGGTAGGCAAAATTGTACGTAAGTTAAAAGTATGAAATTTGAATCAAGCTCTGCCATTGAATTGTCACGTGAACCTGGAACAACATAACCTCTCCCTGCCTTAGTTTCTCTATTTATATAATGGTAAGTATAATAAAACTATACTTCAAGGGCTTTTGCAAGCACTATATGAACCAATAGATCTAACACATTTAGAACGGTAACTTGATATTTTAGGCACCTTGTAAGTTATTGTTATTATCTGCAATTGTATCTACCCAAAAGCTAGAATCCCTCTTCTTGGCCCCCACATTCCTATGACATGTCTATAAATATCTTGTAAATATATTTATTCATTTTATGCATGCATTTACTTGTATTCTGAATGCCTTTACATGTGCCAGGCATTGTCTAGGTGTTGGAGAAACTAAGACTGATTCAAAGGAGATATTTACTTAAAAGAAATAGCTGTAATGGGTATAATTTGCAGACGGGGAGAACCCTGTGAAAAAGAGAGTAATTAGAAAACTTCATTTTGAATATAAAGAGAAAAAACTTTTCTGAGTTCATAAAAGAATTATTGATATCATCAACAATAAAGAGCATATGCTAACATTTATATTTCCTAACTATTCTACATACCTATATTTATATAGATTTCAGCTAACAACTGGGCCTTGGTTCTACTATGACGTGTTGCTAAAAGCATTGATTATATAAGTTTGTGTTATATGCAGTGATTGCATGAGATAAAACTTTAAGACAAAAAAATCTGCTCCACAAAATGCCTTGGTCTTCATAGCTTATTCAAGTCATTTATTTTATATTCTGCAGACTGTGGAACATCTGTTTATTAATGCAGCTTTATGATATGTTGTAAATTGCCTTGACATAAAATAGGAAATTGCACATTCGAGCCCAGATTTTCTTTTCATCCCCTTGTGTTCAGCTTGGCAAAAGGCTGATACTGCCAGAAAAAGAAAGAAAACTTTGTTCAAAATTGAAGTTAATACTTTCTTGGAGAAATAACTACTAACTAAAGACAAATACTTGATGAGACTATTTTAATGTATCTATTGTCCTTATTAGGTAGGATATAATTTCTTACTTTAACATGTGATGATTTTATTTCAAAGCCATTTTGACTGAATGACTTTCAAGGTTATTTTGCAAATCATAATAATTTAAATACTTAAGGAAGCTAGTCAAAAATTTGAAATTAATTGATGGTAAGTTTGATTAATTCTGAGACTTTTAGCTGTATCATTTATCACACAGAAGAGAAGATCATTTCTATATAGCAAACAAAAATGCGTTCCGAGCCATATGTAATAGTCCATCACACAAAATGTTGAGTTAATGCCAGTCAGAATGTCTCTCTTCTTCAAGTACAGAGATAACAAAATAATGGCGAGACCCAAGATCGTGTGCGCGGTGATGCACTAAAATACCTTGAATAATAACAGATGGGGCCGGACGCGGTGGCTCACGCCTGTAATCCCAACACTTTGAGAGGCCGAGAAGGGCAGATCACGAAGTCAGGAGATCGAGACCATCCTGGCCAACGTGGTGAAACCCCGTCTCCACTAAAAATACAAAAATTAGCTGGGTGTGGTGGCAGGGGCTTGTAATCCCAGCTACTTGGCAGGCTGAGGCAGGAGAATCGCTTGAACCCAGGAGGCGGAGGCTGCAATGAGCCAAGATCATGCCACTGCAGTCCAGCCTGGAGACAGAGTGAGACTCCGTTTAAAATACTATTACTACTAATAATAATAACACATGAGATTGCAGGCACAATGCAGTCTGTGAATGCGAACATTATGTAAGAGCTCAAGTCCATGTGCTGAGGAAGTCTCTGAGAAGTCTTGAAGGATATCTGGTCAATTCAGCTGTTACTGGGTTAGACTATTAATTGTCTTATTGCCTTAACTCTCATCAAAAAAAGCCTGCTCTGCAGGCTTTTTTACTGTGGGAAAGTGATTAACAACACCCCAGATAGAAAATTCTTCCCAATGTCTGTCTTTAATCTCTCCTGATCTAACATGGCGTATTCCTAGTTCAGCTTCCCTCAATGGAAACAAAGAAGAATTGCTTAAAAGGGAAATTATTCTATGGGTTTTGTTTCCACAACAAAACAGGAGATAATGTGCCCTATTTTGTAAAACAAATCATTTCATCGAAAACTCTCTTCGAAACCTCTACTCAGAGCTATGTTGTTTAGTGACCTCAAGCACCAATAGATGGACATTTCACCCATTCCCTACCACTAATAGTAGCATCAAAATGTCATTTTGTCTTTAAAAACAAATATGTGCTGAAATTAAACCCACTTCTTTGTAGATCTTCTGACTATAAAATTCTGGCTTAGTTGATTCATTTATTCTCTGCCTCTTTCTTTTCCTCCCTCCCTTAGTTCCAGCTGTATTGCTGAGCCCTACGAAGGTGCTGTCCTGGGCTGCTGAGTTCTCCTGAGCTGCAGCAAGGACGGGCCAGACTCAGGGCAGGTACTGCCGAATGACAGTGAGCCCTGCTTTCTGGGGGCTCCCTGTGTAATTAGGTGAGGCTGACTTTAGTCACATTATCACACCAGGGAACTGAGGCTCTCAGGCTGATGGAAAATAGCAGGAGTCTACAGGATGGTTATATAAAGCGGCAGGACTGAAGGGTGAGGGAAGGCTGCCCTGAGATTTAACTGTTGAGCCTTGCAAGACAGGACAAGGACAGGATCAGCATAAAGAGGTGGGTGGAGGGTGGGTAGAGAATTCTAAACCAAGGTCAACAGAGTAGTTTTTGTGAAGAGAGGAAGCAGGGAGTGAATGAACAACTGAAAGAGGGCCCACAAGACTGGGATGCCAAGCAAGGGAGAGGAACAAAGCCTGGTCCCGCACTGGAGGGCACAGTGAACCAGATTCCACTGGCCATGAGTCACTCGTGTAGGTGTCTCTGAGCTAGGAGATGTGTACTAATTCCTAACAGGCAAGAGTTTAGGCCGGCATTGGCCATCAGAGAGGATGAAAGAAAAAATGTGTCTTATTTATGGAGCTAGCATAAGAGGAAGCTAGAGCTTTACTAAATGTGAAAATTTAAGTTGATGTATATTCTACATCCTGAACACCCAGTGACAAACTGATGTTCCGATATCTGTTTATACAGTGTGTGTGTTATCATTACACTGGCAAAATGGATGATATGCTTGCCTTATTTCAAATCACTAAGTTTTGTATTATGGTGATATACTCATACTGCTTTCTTATCAACTCAGAAATCCATTATATAAAATCCATTTTTTATGGCCATCTAAATCCTTTATTCAATACCATCAGCCTGGGACATGTTAATATATTTCTGCTAGACATACCACCCAGACTTGAAATGCATAGGACACTAAGCACATAGTGGTAGCAGCATGTTTTCCTTTAATAAAAAGACATTATTTTTGGAGGCAGTTTTACATTTACAAGAAAATTGAGCAGACAATACAGAGAGTTCCTTAAACCCTCCCTAGCTCATCATGCCTATTATTAAGATATCTTGCATTCGTCTGGTATATTTGTTACAATTAACGAGCCAATATTGATACATTATTATTATTAACTAAAATTAACAGTTTCATTAAGGTGTACTGTTTGTGTTGTACATTCTATGGGTTTGGAAAATGTGTAATGTCATATATCCACCATGACATTTTACAGAATGGTTTCACTGCCCTAAAAATCTCCTGTGCTCCACCTATTGATCTCTCCTTCTCCCCGCAAATCCCTGGCAACAACTGTGCTTTTCATGGTCTTCATCGTTCTGCCTTTTAAAGAATGTCATATAGTTCGGCTTACACAGTATGTAGTCTTTTCAGATCGGCTTCTTTCACTTAGCGATGGGAATTTAAGGTTTTTTTTTTTCCATGTCTTCTCATAGTTAAATAGTGTGTACCTTTTTATCACTTAATAACATTCTATTGTATGAGTGTACCAGAGTTTGTTTATCCATTCACTTACTGAAGTTGCTTCCACCTTTGGGCAATTATGAATAAAACTCCTATAAACATCAATGTATAGAGTTTTGTGTTGACCTCAGTTTTCCATGCCTTTGGTTAAATGCCAAGACACAATTACTGGATCTTATGGTGACAGTATACTTAGTTTTGTGAGAAACCACTTCCCTTCCAAAGTGGCTGTATGGGGCTGTATGGGAAATATTTGAATTAACATCCAAATCACACAATCTTTTTGTTACACTTTAAGCATTAAGAGATTCATTGTCATAGTTACCTTGGGAGTTAATTGCTTCTGAGGAGTTGACAAGGGCTCTCGGTAATGTGGTGCATATTAACACAGGTTATATTAATGAATAAACAATGCATGAACTGTGAAATGTAAGACCATGCAGAGTATATTATTAATAAATAATAATGATTATGTACTACGTATTTATCTTTTGACAGAGAGGTGCACAACAAAAACAAATGTTGATATTCTTGAAAATTTTGAAGTCAAGTCTCAACAATTAAATATAAATTTTGTCTTTCCATGTAAGTGATAGACTAATGAATCTACAGATTTGCAAGTTTATAAGCTGAAGTGAATGAGTGCCTCCTTCTGAAAATTATTATTGGGCTTATGAGTTTATAAGTGCATGCATTTCACCCTGGTTGGCCTAAGCTGGCAATTTCCTCCAAGTGGGCATATTAGGAATACCAAATGTCATGAACAGACTGCAAAGAGAGAGAGGAAGGGAACATTTAGCTTCTGACAGCTGAACACAAGAAAAGGGTCCAACCAAGTTTCCTGGGAAAGCTGCAGGTTACAAATATCAGATGACCAATACATAACTTCTCTTGTTTATTTTAATTCTTCTGTTTTAATAGACAATATTTCATTTTGACATTTTAAGGAACATTTCTGTGTCTCTGTTCTAGCCCCTGATGTTACCTTTGGAGACTAGGAGGAAGAGAGAGGGAATAATTAATATATTTATAAGAACATATTTTTGAGTAAGAAGAATATGCATGAGTTAACATTTATTAATATATTTTTATTAATCAAAATATATTCACAAGAAATTATTTATATTTAAGAATATACTCAATAACATATATGTAAAATATGTTATTCAGGAGTGCATTCTTAATTCACATGTTCTTTGTGCCACATGTGTCCACTGATCTCTGTGGAAGATTCATAAAAACGATATGTAAGGTATCCAAATTGCTGAAAACCACAGACAGTGAGAAAAATCTTGAAGGCACCTAGAGGAAAAATTAAGCATTTACATCAAGCATTTATCAATGAGAAGAATATATTCATCGGAAGAATCGTATTAGTCCGTTCTCACGCTGCTAATAAAGGCATACCCGAGACTCGGTAATTTGTAAAAGGGAGGTTTAATTGACTCACAGTTCAGCATGGCTGGGGAGGCCTCAGGAAACTTAAAATCATGGCAGAAGGGGAAGCAAACATGTCCTTCTTCACATGATGGCAGAAAGGAGAAGTGCTGAGCAAATGGGGGAAAAGCCCCTTATAAAACCATCAGTTCTCGTGAGAACTCACTCACCATTATGAGAACAGCAGCATGGAAGTAACCGCCCCCATGATTCAATTACCTCCCAGTGGGTCCTTCCCACAACACCTGGGGATTATGGGAACCACAAGTTAAGATGAGATTTGGGTGGGGACACAGCCAAATCATATCAAGAATATATTTTAAAAATAAATCATTTTATTCAAGAATAAACTCATATAAATATGTTTATCTTTTGCACCATCAGTTTTTCCTTTTTTCTTTTAGCTTCCATCTGTCAAAGCAGAAAGCCAGGTCAGAGATAGACCAGACATCCCTTCACATTTGCTGAGACTATGACACAAGAAAAAAAGTCAACCTTAAATAGCAGAAACAAATTTAACAAAACAGTCATCAGCAAATTGGCCACTCAGCAAAGTGGCTTTGTCAGTGGACCTGGTCGAGAGAGCTAGGACCTGCTGCCACAGAAACTTCCTTGGTCAGGTGAAACAACCCCGAAGCAGAAAGTGTAGGTAGAAAATCAGGACTGAAGCAATTACACATGTTGTAATTGACCTTTCCATCTCCAGGGGATAATGCAGTGAAACCCTGCCACCTTTCCACAGGCTAACTCTCAGAGGAATAAAAAAAAAGTCATGTGCAGGTTGATTTGGGCTCATGAATACTCTTTCATCATTCAACTTTTGATGTTCAAAAGTGTATGTTATTATATTTGTGCACATGTGAAATGAAAGAGAAAGGAGCTTGGACACATGAAAACCAAGGAAAGAAAAACCTAATTTGTTTTACTAATAAAGAATAACAGAAAAAAGGGTAATACCAATTTCACTTGCTTCTATGTCTCTTTTCTATGCCCTCAGGAAGTACAATTTACCACTTTGGGAAGCTTAGGAGGGAGCATCGCTTAAGACCATGAGTTCAAGTCCAGCCTGGGCATCATATAGATGTCTCTTCTAAAAGCACTACTAATGCAATAAAATGTATTCTCGTTGAAAATTACATCTGCAGAGAATAAAACAGGAAAAAAACTGCTGTCTTTTCACACTCAATTGTTTATCTTCTGATCTGATTCATCTTGCCATTGTATGTTGCATATAAGTTGTAATAAACTAAAATTTAACATATTGTGGTACATACACACCGTGGAATAGTGGAATACTATGCAACCATAAAAAAGAACGAGATCATGTCCTTTTCAGGAACATGATGAAGCTGGAGGCCATTATCCTTAGCAAACTAACACAGAAACTGAAAACAAAATACCACATCTTCTCACCTACAAGTGGGAGATAAACGATGAGAACACATGGATACATAGAGGGGAATGACACACACTGGGGCGTACCTGAGAGTGGAGGGTGGGAGGAGGGAAAGGGGTACAAAAAATAACTATTGGTTACTAGGCTTAATACCTGAGTGATGAAATAATCTCTACAACAAACCCCTATGACACGCGTTTACCTATATAACAAACCTGCCCATGTAACCCAAACTTAAAATAAAAGTTTAATATATAAATATATATATAGTGGCATTTTGAACAGACATTTACATATAGGGATGCATGAATACATAGATCAATAGATGTATGTATTCACGGGTTATTATGAATGCAAATATGCATTTAAAAATAGGGTTTCCAGGACTGTGGGAGGCCGAGGCGGGCAGATCACGAGATCAGATCGAGACCATCCTGGCTAACACAGTGAAACCCTGTATCTATAAAAATACAAAAAAAAAAAAATAGCCAGGCATGGTGGTGGGCACTTGTAGTCCCAGCTACTCAGGAGGCTGAGGTAGGAGAACTGCTTGAACCTGGGAGGCAGAGGTTGCAGTGAGCTGAGATCACGCCACTGCACTCCAGCCTGGGTGACAGAGTGAGACTCCATCTCAAAAAAAAAAAAAAAAAAAAAAAAGGATTTCTGGGCATTTTTGGTTGTCGTTTTGTCTGTTTTTTTTTTTTTTGTTTTATTTTTATTTTTATTTATTTATTTATTTATTTTATTATACTTTAAGTTTTAGGGTACCTTCATGCTAAAAACTCTCAATAAATTAGGTATTGATGGGACTTATTTCAAAATAATAAGAGCTATCTATGACAAACCCACAGCCAATATCATACTGAATGGGCAAAAACTGGAAGCATTCCCTTTGAAAACTGGCACAAGACAGGGATGCCCTCTCTCACCACTCCTATTCAACGTAGTGTTGGAAGTTCTGGCCAGGGCGATTAGGCAGGAGAAGGAAATAAAGGGTATTCAGTTAGGAAAAGAGGAAGTCAAATTGTCCCTGTTTGCAGACGACATGATTGTATATCTAGAAAACCCCATTGTCTCAGCCCAAAATCTCCTTAAGATGATAAGCAACTTCAGCAAAGTCTCAGGATACAAAATCAATGTACAAAAATCACAAGCATTCTTATACACCAACAACAGACAAACAGAGAGCCAAATCATGAGTGAACTCCCATTCACAATTGCTTCAAAGAGAATAAAATACCTAGGAATCCAACTTACAAGGCATGTGAAGGACCTCTTCAAGGAGAACTTCAAACCACTGCTCAAGGAAATAAAAGAGGATACAAACAAATGGAAGAACATTCCATGCTCATGGGTAGGAAGAATCAATATCATGAAAATGGCCATACTGCCCAAGGTAATTTACAGATTCAATGCCATCCCCATCAAGCTACCAATGACTTTCTTCACAGAATTGGAAAAAACTACTTTAAAGTTCATATGGAACCAAAAAAGAGCCCGCATTGCCAAGGCAATCCTAAGCCAAAAGAACAAAGCTGGAGGCATCACACTACCTGACTTCAAACTATACTACAAGGCTACAGTAACCAAAACAGCATGGTACCAAAACAGAGATATAGATCAATGGAACAGAACAGAGCCCTCAGAAATAACGCTGCCTATCTACAACTATCTGATCTTTGACAAACCTGAGAAAAACAAGCAATGGGGAAAGGATTCCCTATTTAATAAACGGTGTTGGGAAAACTGGCTAGGCATATGTAGAAAGCTGAAACTGGATCCCTTCCTTACACCTTATACAAAAATCAATTCAAGATGGATTAAAGACTTACACGTTAGACCTAAAACCATAAAATCCCTAGAAGAAAACCTAGGCATTACCATTCAGGACATAGGCATGGGCAAGGACTTCATGTGTAAAACACCAAAAGCAATGGCAACAAAAGACAAAATTGACAAATGGGATCTAATTAAACTAAAGAGCTTCTGCACAGCAAAAGAAACCACCATCAGAGTGAACAGGCAACCTACAAAATGGGAGAAAATTTTTGTGACCTGTTTTGTTTTTATCTATTGACACTAGCAGGAAGGCTTACTTTTTTATAGTAGGTATATATTTCAAACCATAGCCTTAGGTCTTATGACATAGTTAAAGGAAACATCATATAAGAGCTCAGAGATGTAAAATAGAGCCATTTATGATGGTTTTGAGAAACTGTAATGGTACATCTATGTTAATTTTTTATATGTTAATTTAACTTAGGTTTTCTGCGTTTGGAACTGTGTACAGGTAAGATGCTCTAAGCTACCATATAGCAAAATTTAAATGAAAATTACCATTACATTTATTTAGCTCCAAATAATTTAATAACTATTACTGGGTTGTTACTAGAAAGAAAAACAGGTCACTGTAATGTTAACGAAGTAAAGCAGTCCCAATCAAATCTTGCATTGCTCTGACATGTGTTTTGCTAAAGGAGAGGGAGAGGCATTTTGTTGTATTTCCAGCTGGCTTCCTGGGGAAACAGAAAACATTTGGAGAATGTATTCCCCTTTGTTAATTGTGACACATGTGTCCAGTGACCCCGATGAAGAACTCTTAAAGTGACATGGAATGTGTTCAAATTGCTGAAAACCAGAGACAAAGAGAAATCAACACAAAAACTGAAAATCTCTCATTTTTCTCAAAAGAGAAACATCTTGAGGAAGCTAGAGGAAAAAAGACATTATCAAACAAGAAACAAGGTTAAGAATGGATTAAGAATGGTTTCATATCAGAAACCATGCAAGCAAGAAACGAAGTGACACTTTTGAAGTCATAAAAGACTTTTTAAAAACCTATCAACCCAGAATTCTATAACCAATGAAAAATTCATTAAATATTTGTTAATTACTCTGGCGATTTTGAATTAAGGTGAAGTTGAATTCCCCTCATGTGGCTTGCAAGTTAGTCTTGTTTTTGTGGTTTGGGTTTTTGTTTTTGAGATAAGGTCTTCCTCTGTCATCCAGGCCGAAGTGCATTGGCACAATCACAGCTCACTGCAACCCCAACATCCCAGACTCAAGTGATCCTCCCACCTCAGCCTCCCACATTGCTGAGACTACAGGTGCACTCCACCACACCTGGCTAATTTTTGTACCTTTGTAGAGATGGGGTTTCACCATGTTGTCCAGGCTGGTTTTGAACTTCTGGGCTCAAGCAATCTGCCCACCTTGGTCTCTCAAAGTCCTGGAATTACAGACATGAGCCACTGTGCCCAGTCTTGCAGGTTGGTCTTAATGACTGACTTTTAAGAAATGGAATATGGAAAAGTAAAAACTGTAATTTTGTAGTGGAGGAAACCATCAAGTCACCAACATAGCCAAGTAATCAAGGTTAACATGAACAATGAAAAGTCATATGGCTACCTCACACCACTGTGACACAATGGGAAGGTCACTTCAACTATGTGAAATTCTTCCTCAAAATTTACAACCCCACTTTAATCAAGAGGAAACATCAGATGAACCCAAATCATTTGATGCACATTGTAAAAAATATCTGGTCAGTAGTCTTCAAAGTGTCAAAGCCAGGAAAGACAGAGAGATTGTCCCTAATTGAAGTAGACTAAGGAGACATGAAGACAACACAATATAAGATCCTGGATGGTACCTGGGAACAAAGAGAAGAAATTAGTTAAAAAAAAAAAAAACTGGTGAAATGTGGGCCAGGCACAGTGGTTCACTCCTGTAATCCCAGCACTTTGGGAGGCCAAGGCAGGTGGATCACCTGAGGTCAGGAGTCTGAGACCAGCCTGGCCAACGTGGTGAAATCCCGTCTCTACTGAAAATATAAAAATTAGCTGGCTGTGGTGTTGGGCACCTGTAATCCCAGCTGCTCGGGTGGCTGAGGAATGAAAATCACTTGAAACCAGGAGGTTGAGGTTACAGTGAGCCAAGATCGCACCACTGCACTCCAGCCTAAGCATTAGAGTGAGACTTCCTCTCAAAAATGAAAAACTGGTTAAATATAGCCTGTCATTTAGGTGATAGTATTGTACAATGTTAATTTCTCGTTTTTAATAAATGTGCCATGGTAACATAAGAGGTTAACATCAGAAGAAACTAAGTGAAGAGTGTATAGAAACTGTCTTTACCATCTTTGCAACTCTATGTAAATCTAAAATTATTCCAGAGAATGACTTCACAAGGTGGCAGAATAGAATTTCTCCAGCTCCACACCCCCACATGGAAATCCAACTAGCAACTATCCACAGGCAAGAATACCTTTCTGAATATCCCAGAACTCAGGAGTGAGACTGAGACACCCAATTGTACTGCAGAACTAAGAGAAGCTGTGCTTGAACAGTAAGAGAAACAGTTCATTTTGAGAGCATGCCACCCCTCCACCAAGCTGGCACAGCACGACACACAGAGGATTTCACCGGACCCACTATTTCTACAGTGGAAAAAGAAAGTTGGAGGTGGACGTCCAGCTTTCCCACCATTCTAGAACCCTTCACAGGAGGCTCACTCTTGTCTTATACCACAGGAAACATTAGGAGTGCCATCGGGGCTAGACCACCTGGGGTCAGCTAGAAACAAATAATGGGAGTAGATCTCACAGAGACTAGCATATAGTTAGTCTGCATTCTGGATAATGGAGGCATCATATGAGAGAGACTAGCCAACAGCATTGTACTGCAGGAAGTACAGCTCACAGGTGTACCCAGCTTGAATCCCTCACCAGCTTTCCTACATAGACCTGGTGCTTTCTACAGCATTGCCCAGGCTAGAAGGCAAGTGAACGTCAGCACTTCTCTGCAGAGGGTGCATCTGGCCCCCACCCAGCACCAGCAGCTGACCAGGGACTCCACTAAGCTTTGGTGCTTTGTTTAAGCCTGCCCTAGACCAGGAGACAAGATCAAGTCCACACATATGTGTGGGGCATAATGGCTTCTAGCCCTGATCAGCCCTGTGTAGCTGAGCAACACCAGAGTCTTTAGTTGACCACAGAGCTCAGCCCAGAGGCCTGCTCAACTACAGATTCTAAACAACAATACCATCCAACTAGCAGAGACAGCCTACAATCCTGCCTGATCAGAGTGAACTGCAGAGTCCAGTTAGCAGTACCATTCAACCTTAGGGCTCAGGAAGTGACACAGTCCAACTAGAGAACCTGACACCAAGCTCTGCCCGTCCAGGGTCATTGCCAGCTAATGCATCCAAAATCCCTTCCTACGAAGTAGTAAAGCTCTGTCAAAGCCTGGAAGAGGTGGCCATCTCCTCAAACACAGAAGCATCAATGCAAGACAGAAGTATGAAAAGTCAGGGAAATATGACACCACTAAAAGAAAATAATAAAGATCCGATAATAGATCTGGAATATAAGGTGATCTATAGAATGACTGACAAAGGGTTCAGGATAATCCCCTTAAAGAGGTTCAGGGAACTCCAATTAAATAAAATTAAGTTTGAAACCAATTCATGAACAAAATGATAATTTGACAAAGAACTAGAGATGATAAAATAGAAACCAAATAGAAATCTGAGACATAAAGAATACAACAATTTAACTGAAAATGTCAATGGAAAGCTTCGACAGCAGACTTGATCAAGCAAAAGAAAGGATCACTGAATTCAAAGACAGGTATCTTGAAATTATCCAGTCTGAAGAGCAAAAAGAAAAAGAATAAAGAAGGCCTGCAGGAATTATGAGATACCATCAGGCAAACTAATATTCACATAATCGGAGATTCAGAAGAAGATAGAGAAGAAGGCCCAAAAAGGATATTTAAGAAAATGGCTGAACATTTCCCCAATCTGGGGAAAGATGACAACATCTAAATACAGGAAGCTCAAAAATCTCCAATCAAATTCCACTCAAAAAGGAATTTACCAAGATAAAACATAATCAATTTATCAAAAATCAAAGACAAAGAAACAAAACTGAAAGCAGCAAGAGATAAGAAACATATCACATTCAAGAAACCACAATATGACTTTCAGTTGACTTCTTAGCAAAAACTCTGCAGGCCAAGAGAGATTGGGGTGATACATTCAAAGGGCTGAAGAAAAAGAACTGCCAACCAGGAGTTTTTTACTTGGCAAAGTTGTCCTTAAAAAATAAGAGAGAATTGGCTGGGCGGGGTGGTTCACGCCTGTAATCCTAGCACTTTGGGAGGCCTAGGTGGGCAGATCACGAGGTCAGGAGATCGAGACCATTCTGGCCAACACGGTGAAACCCCATCTCTACTAAAAATACAAAAATTAGCTGGGTGTGGCGGCGTGCACCTGTATTCCCAGCTACTTGGGAGCCTGAGGCAGGAGAATCACTTGAACTTGGGAGGGAGAGGTTGCAGTGAGCCAAGATTGCAGCGGCAGAGCAAGACTCCATCTCAAAAAAAAAAAAGATAAAAAAAGAAATAAGAGAGAATTCCAACTTCCCCAGACAAACAAATCCTAAGGGAGTCTATTACATTATCCCTGCTTTACAGGAATGGCTAAAAGCAGTTCTTTAAGCTGGAAATGGAAGTTTTCTACTTAATAACAAAAAAAAAATGCATGTAAAAATCTCAATAACTCAATGGTATTAAGTAATACATAATCAAACTCATTCTCTAACACTGTATGGGTGATACATAAAGCAATCGTATCCTTACTGTGATGATTAAAAGGAAAAACTATTAAAAGAAACTGTAGCTGCAATTGTTAAGGAATACAAATTACAAAAACAAATTAAAAATTTTACATCAAAATTATAAAAGGGGGGAGTGAGAGTATGAGATTAAAGTTCAATTATTATCAGCTTAATGTAGCATGTTATAAAGCTCAGATATTTTATGTAAGCCTCATGGTAACCACAAAGCAAAAAGAAAACAACAAGAGAGAAATAAAGAAACAGGGACTTACAAAAAATTCAGAAAATGAATGACAAAACAGCAGTAGCAAGTGCTTACCTATCAGTAATTACTTTGAATGTAAACAGATTAAATTCTCCAACCAAGAGACTCAGGACAGCTGAATAAATTTTCTTTTTAAAGAACCATATGCTGCCTACAAGAGACTCACTCTACTAGTGAGGACACATACAGACTGAACCTGAAGGTATGGAAAAAAATACTCAATGCAAATAGACACCAACAGAGACCAGGAGTATCTATATTTATATCAATCAAAATTGTCTTTAAAGCAAAAACTGTAAAAAGAGATAAAGAAGGTCATTAAATAATGAGAAAGGGGTCAGTTCACCAAGAGGACATAACAGTTGTAATTATATATGCACCCAACATCAGAGCACCTAAATACGTAAAGCAATTATTAAATGACATGAAGGGATAAATAAATGGCAATACTACAATATTATGGAACCTCAACACCGCTCTTTCAAAAATGTCCATACAACCCAAAATGACCTACAGTGTCAATGCAATCTCTCTCAAAATTGCAATGTCATTTTTCACAGCAATAAAAAATATCCTTAAATTTGTGTGGAATTACAAAAGACCCTAAAGAGTCAAAACGATCTTGGGCAAAAGGAAAAAAGCTGGTGTCATTACACTCGCTAATTTCAAAAATCTTATGAAGTTATTGTAATGAAAATAGCATGACACTGGCATAAAAATAACCTGACTGATGAAACAGGATAGAAAGCCCAGAAATCAACCCATGCATGTATGATCAATTGATTTTTGACCAAGGTGCCAAGAACACACAATGGGGAAAGGACAATATCTTCAATAAATTGTGTGGGGAAAACTAGCTATCCACATGAAGGAGAATGAAATCAGATCCGTATTTTATACCACATACAAAAATCAACCCAAATGGATTAAAAATCTAAACATAATATCTGAAACTGTGAAACTACTAAAAGAAAACAGAAAAATCCCCACCACATTGGCTGGGGCAATGATTATTTGGATATGACCCCAAAAGCACAGGCAACAGAAGCAAAAATCAAAAAGAGAGAAATAAAATGGCATCAAACTAAAAAGCTTCTTCACAGCAAACCTTTAAAGTGAAGGGACAGCCCACAGAACGGGAAAAAATATTTGCAAACTATACAGCTAATAAAGGGTCAATATCCAAAACATAAGAAACTCAAACAACACAAATACCATCAGTCTAAGTTGGTGAGCCCTTTCAAACTGCAGCTCACTTTATTTATTTATCTATTTTTTTTGAGACGGAGTCTCGCTCTGTGGCCCAGGCTGGAGTGCAGTGGCGTGATCTTGGCTCACTGCAAGCTCCGCCTCCCAGGTTCACGCGGTTCTCTTGCTTCTGCCTCCAGAGTAGCTGGGACTACAGGTGCCCGCCACCACACCCGACTAATTTTTTGTGTTTTTAGTAGAGAGACGGGATTTCACCCTGTTAGCCAGGATGGTGTCCATCTCCTGACCTTGTGATCTGCCCGTCTCGGCCTCTGAAAGTGCTGGGATTACAGGAGTGAGCCACCGCACCCGGCCTTTTTTTTTTTTTTTTTACTTTAAGTTGTGGCGTACATGTGTAGAAAGTGCAGGTTTGTTACATAGGTATGCATGTTCCATGGTGGTTTGCTGCACCTATCAACCCGTCATCTAGATTTTTTTTTTTTTTTTTTTGAGATGGAGTCTCGCACTGTCATCCAGGCTGGGGTGCAGCGGCGTGATCTTGGCTCACTGCAAGCTCCGCCTCCCAGGTTCACGCCTTTCTCTTGCTTCTGCCTCCAGAGTAGCTGGGACTACAGGTGCCCGCCACCACGCCCGCCTAATTTTTTGTGTTTTTAGTAGAGACGGGGTTTCACCGTGTTAGCCAGGATGGTCTCGATCTCCTGACCTCGTGATCCGCCCGCCTCAGCCTCCCAAAGTGCTGGGATGACAGGCAGGAGCCCCCGCGCCCGGCCCCATCATCTAGGTTGTAATCCCCACAGGCATTAGGTATTTCTCCTAATACCCCCTCCCCTTGCCCCCCAACCCCGTAACAGGCCCCAGTGTGTGATATTCCCCTCCCTGTGTCCATGTGTTCTCATTGTTCAGCTCCCACTTAGGAGTGAGAACATGCAGTGTTTGATTTTGTGTTCCTGTGTGAGTTTGCTGAGAATGATGACTTCCAGATTCATCCATGTCCCTGCAAAGAACATGAACTCATTCTCTTTTATGGCTACATAGTATTCCATGGTGTGTATGTCCCACATTTTCTTTATCCAGTCTATCATTGGTGGGCATTTGGGTTGGTTCCAAGTCTTTGCTATTGTAAATAGTGTTGCAATAAACATACATGTGTATGTGTCTTTAGAGTAGAATGATTTATAATCCCTTGGGTATATACCCAGTAATGGGAATGTGCAGCTCACATTTTTAATTTGCTCAGAGTTTTCTTCTCTTTGGATGCATATTCATTGTCTCTGCTTCTTTTTCTTTTTCAGAATTTTCAGATTTGTGTAAATTTCCTCTATCGATTGCCACGTCACTTTCATTTTCCATCCCATCTTTGTCTCTTAGTATTTTTGCTCTGAGACTTGAAATGGTCCATCTTTTCCTTTGCCGGTCTCCAAGCCCTCCTCTAGCCCTGAGGTAGGAAAGCCCACAATAGCTCTCCTACCACTCTCAGGCCTTCATCTGCCTGCTGACGGTCCAAAAACGTCTTGCTTCAGGAGCACAGGTTGGAGTTAGAAGTGAAATTAGAGGAAAATTAGAAGATTTTAAACTATTATTTCCCCAGAACCGCACAGAATCGGCAGCTACATTAAATTTCTTACCCACAGAGCTGATTTTAGAAATACATAACTGCAGACATGTTTAATGGTGACTGTCCCGTTAAAAGGTAATAGGGATGCATGTGTCCCCATTAAAGGACTTGCCTTGTTCCATTAAAAGGTAATGGGGATGCATGTGTGTGTGTGTACATGTGTGTGTGTTATTATCCACCAAAAAGCAGCAAAAGTTTTTTATATATATTTTAAAGAAAATAATAGGAGAAGGGTTTTGTCATGCTATACTTAGAATTCTGAACATCATAACTCTTATTACAATGTATGTTTTAAGGTTAAAAACAGTATTATTTAATGTGGAAAACCTTGGTAAATGACATTCTATTTATAATATATATTTTATATTCATAATTATGTTATATTCTTATATGCAATATTCAACACTAATATAATTTGTTTTATGGTACACCTGGCACGTAATTCTCTCATATCTTGGAGATGGTTCACATAAATTTTTGTAATTCTGTCCTGACTAGTCTTCCTATTAACTGTTTAAAGAACTTTATACTCCACTATGGAAATCCTTCTTTTTAATAAATAAATGTGCTTTATGTAATATTTCCATAAATAGTTTTAAATTACACCTGGACCATGACTCATACAGAAATATGTACATACACACATATCTATATATTTATATGTATAAACATAAGTACACATATCTATATACAGAAATGTATTTCTATCTGTCTTTCCTATTGGATGTCTTGAAACTCCATCTTTGGGTTCCTTTCTTTTAACTTAAAACCTATTTTTCCTACTAAAATGTAATGAAAAAAATAAAACCAACTGGGAGTACTAATAGTTGGCATATTCTTACTAATTTATGCCTCAGTGGGACAATATTTTATCAACTCTTAGCATGGAAAAACAAATATACTTTGGTTTTCACAGAAAAAAAGGAGAAAAAACATTAAGCATCTCAGGCAAGAAAGGGATGGGAAAAGCGTGATTTGGGTGAAGCTTAGTAGTGAAGTAAATGTCACATGGTAGCCTAAGAAGCTGAGGACAATTTTCACTTGCATGACAATTTTTAGTAGAGTTGCTTAGTAACTTTAAAAACAGATTTAATACATTTTTTCTCTTAAAAAAATCTACAGCAAGAAATCCAGAAACCAATACAATTTCTATCATTTCAATCCAGAATTCTTTCAATTGTTTCAGGTTATGGAGGCATTGGCCCATAAAATATTTTGCCCGATAATGTTTTCCAAAAAGGGAAATCTTTTCTGCTCTCATCAACAACAAAATGTCTGGAAGAAAAAGGAAATATTAAGGAATAAAAATTTGGCTGAAGAGCCTCTCTACTTAAAGGAATGAAAGGTGTTTCAAAAAGTTACTAACAATAAGCACAAAAACAATTAAACATTAAATATAGAAACAAAAGAAATATTTCATGATTTTCCGTAGCTCTTATTGGCAATCAAAAACCAGAAAACAAAAGCAGCAGGGGGGAATGCAAGAATAAATGAAGTGCAGAGAAAGGGCAAACATGAGTAAATAGTAATGAAAGCTTTTTAAAACTACAATAATATCTTGTAGAAATATAAAATGCAATAAAAAAGTGTATTACAACAATGGCACAAGGGTGAGAGATACACAAATACATGGAAGTAAACTTGTAAGGATCTTGCATTCTTTGGGAAGTGGCCAAAGTACTAATAACTTAAGAGAACATATTGTGATCTTGAGGGAAATGACTAAAAGTTTCATTACAGCTGCAAAGCTAATACAGGAGATTCATAGCCAACAATTGGAAATTACCCAAAAATTCATCAATAAAAGAATGGATAAACAAATCCATTGTATGAATTCCATTCATATAATGGAAGAGTACATAACAGTGGAAAGGAATGAACTAAAAATATCTACCAAAAATTGGAGGAATATCAAAACATTTTGCTAAGGGAAATGAGCAAGACACAAGGTGACATACTGTATGATTCCATTTATATGTTCAAGAAGAGGCAAAACTAATCAATGGTGATAAGAGATTGTTTTGGAAAGGACACAGGAAACTTCCTAGGTAATGGAAATGTTTTATATGTTGATCTGAATGAGGGTAAAGAGAGAGAAGGAGGAAGACAGAAAGAGAGAGTCATTGAATAATACTGAAGTTCTGAGCTAAGAGTCCTTAACGGATATAAAAATATTAAAAGGAGCCTTCTTAAATTGTACCACACACTTTAACCTGGATTCATACAGCATCAAAGGTAGAAAGGATATAGAGGGATCATTTATTCCAATCTCCTCAATTTTACAGATGAATAAACAGACACAGAAGAATAGTTGCTGTATTAGTCCATTCTCACACTTCTATAAAGGACTGCCCAAGACTGGGGAATTTTTTTTTTTTTTTGAGATGGAGTCTCATTCTGTAGCCAGGCTGGAGAGCAGTGGCACAGTCTTGGCTCACTGCAACCTCTGCCTTCTGGGTTCTAGTAATTCTCCTGCCTCAGCCTCCTGAGTAGCTGGGAGTGCAGGCACATGCCAACACACTCAGCTAATTTTTGTATTTTTAGTAGACACAGGTTTTCCACCATGTTGGCCAGGATGGTCTCAATCTCTTGACCTCATGATCCACCCACCTTAGCCTCCCAAAGTGCTGGGAGTACAGGCATGAGCCACTGTGCCCAGTGAGACTGGGTAATTTATGAAGAAAAGAGGTTTAATTGACTCAAAGTTCCACAGGCTGTACAGGAAGAATAACTAGGAAGCCTCAGGAAACTTACAATCATGGTAGAAGGTGAAGGGGAAGCAAGCATGTCTTACCATAGCAGAGCAGGAGAGAAAGAGTGAAGGGGGAAGTGCCACACATTTTTAAAACATCAGGTCTCATGATAACTCACTCATTATCATGAGAACAGCAAGGGGGAATCTGCTCCCATCATCTAATCAGCTCCCACCAGGTCCCAGTTCAACATGAGATTTTGGTGGCAACACATAGCCAAACCATATTATGCCACCACTAGTCCCTGCCAAATCTCATGTCCTTCTCACATTTCAAAACACAAGCATGCCTTCCCAAAAGTCCTCCAAAGTCTTAACTCCTTCCAGTATTAACTCAAAAGTCCAAGTCCAAAGTGTCATCTGGAACAAGGCAAGTCCTTTCCACCTATGAGCCTATAAAACCAAAAACAAATTACGTACTTCCAAGATCCAATAAGGGTACAGTCATTGTGTAAATGCTCCCATTCCAAATGAGAGAAATTGGCCAAAACAAAAGGGCTACACATCCCATGCTAGTCTGAAATCCAGCAGGGGAGTCATTATATTTTAAACCTTCATAATAATCTCCTTTGACTTTGTCTCACATCCAGGATACACTAATGCACTGGGTGGCCTCCGAAGGCCTTGGAAAGTTCTGCCCCTGTAGCTTTGCAGCATACAGCCCCCACGGCTGCTTTCACAGGCTGGAATTGAGTGCCTGTGGCTTTTCCAAGCACATGGTGCAAACTGTCAGCAGATCTACCATTCTGGGATCTGGAGGACAGTGGCCCTCTTCTCATAGTTTCACTAGGCAGTGCCCCAGTGGGGACTCTGCGTGGGGCCTCCATCCCCACATTTCCCTCCTGCACTGCCCTACTAGATGATCTCCATGAGGTCTCCACCCCTGCAGCAGACTTCTCCCTGGACATCCACACATCCCCTTAAACCTAGGTAGAGGCTCCCAAACCTCAACTCTTGCCTTCTGCACACCTGCAGGCCCAACACAATGTGGAAGTCACCAAGGCTTGGGGCTTACACCCTCTGAAGCAATGGACAAGCTGTATCTTGCCCCTTTTAGCCAATGCTGCAGCTGAAGTCTCCATGATGCAGGGTGCCATGTCCCTAGGCTGCACAGAGCAGTGGGTCCCTGAGCCTGGCCCACAAAACCATTTTTGCGTCCAGGCCTGTGATGGGAGGGGTTGCCTTGAAGTTCTCTGAAATATCTCAGAGGCATTTTCCCCCTTGTCTTGGCTATTAACATTCGGCTCCTCTTTACTTATGCAAATTTCTGCAGCCTTCTTGAGTTACTCCCGAGAAGATGGGTTTTCTTTTCTACCACATGGCCAGGCTGCAAATTTTCTGAACTTTTATGCTCTGCTTCCCATTTAAATGTAAGTCCCAGTTGCAGGTCATTTCTTTGTTTATGCAAATAAGCATAGGCTTTTAGAAGCAGCCAGACCACCTCTTGAATGCTTTGCTGCTTAGAAATTTCTTCCAACAGATACCCTAAACCACCTCTCTCAAGTTCAAATTTCCATAGATCCCTAGAGCAGGGGCACAATGCCATCAGTCTCTTTGCTAAAGTATAGCAAGATTGACCTTTACTCCAGTTCCCAATAAGTTCCTCATCTCTATCTGAGATCACTTCAGCCTGGACTTCACTGTCCGTATCACTATCAGCATTTTGGTCACAACCATGCAACAAGTCTCTAGGAAGTTCCAAACTTTCCCTTATCTTCCTGTCTTCTTCTGATCCCTGCAAACTGTTTCAACCTCTGCCTGCTACCCGGTTCCAAAGTCACTTCCACATTTTCAGGTATCTTTATTGCAATGTCCCACTTCTCTGCTACCAATTTTCTGTATTAGTTTATTGCTATAAAGAACTACCTGAGACTGGGTAATTTATTTTTAAAAAGAGGCTTAATTGACTCTCAGTTCCATACGCTGTGCAGGAGGCATGGCTGGGGAGGCCTCAGAAAACTTACAAACATGGCATAAAGTGAAGAGGAAGCAAGCACATATTCACTTGACCAGCAGGAGAGAGAGTGAAGGGGGTGGTGCTACACACTTTTAAACAACTAGATCTTGAGAGAACCCATTATCACAAGAACAGCAAGGGGGAAATCTTCCCCCAGGATCCAGTTACCTCCCACCAGTTCCCTCCCCCAACATTGGGGATTACAATTCAACGTGAGATTTGGTTGGGGACACAGAGAAGAGCCAAACCATATCAGATGCCTTGTCACAGTCTATCGTGCAACTTGTAAATGGAAGAGCCAGTGCTAGGATCCAGTTATCTTGTATCCACTGCAGCACTTGCTCAGAACCACTTTTTCTGAAAAATTCAAATTCCATAAGAATTAAATGAAGGCAGAAGACAAATAATATAGCATTCTAAAATTAATTCATACAGTTCATAAGTCAGAAGACAAATAATATAGCATTCTAAAATTAATTCATACAGTTCTTTTATTCCAAACTTAATCTTAGTTGTCTCATTAAATGAAAGTTTCTGGGTTGACCACTGATGAAGACATAGACAGAAGCTATGAATTTTACACATACTTTGATCACATTTTTTCTTGCCTGAATTATTAGAAGAATAACATGTTTCAGTGTGCTTGATTGCTAAGTGAGACAGATAAGTGTAAGGTTATTTTTCAAGCAATATACTTGCTCGTCTTTCAGGAAGCACTTTACTCATGATTACATGTGCACTTAGATAAAAGTACAGTTTTTATCTTGATTGTCACTCATGATGTAATTATTCATAAACTTAAGAAAAGAAGTTTCTTTCAGCATGACAAATGGTTCTCATGCTTGTGACATGACACTTTTGATCTGTTATGTGAAGGGAAAGGTTTTTCTTCCACCTACCTAAAATTTTCCCCAATACAAGAAATTTGACAGCACTGAATTCTGTACCTGACAGGATGACTTGTCTCCTTGCATTTTGTTAACCTAACAATTTCTTCCAATAGAAGCATTCAAATGAAGAGTAACTTTGTGATAAAAACACAGGAAGCAAAGGGAAACCAAGGGAAAAAACTCATAAAATAAACCACCTGTTAGTGCTACCAAAAAGGTTAAGAGATCAATTCCAAGATTTATATACTAAGAGGAAAATATTTTTAACCAACTTATAGAATGTCATAAGCTGCCACTCCACCTGCTATCTCCTTTCCCGATTTACTTTGCTTCATAGGATATCTATAACTGGGAGGATATACAAAGAAATACAATGCATTACTTTATACCTCAAAACTTTTAACTAAGAATAAAATATTACATGAGGCAGAGAAATGTTCTATCTATAGATTTAATATCTAAATGATTTTCTTCAAAAGCCAGCAACAGAGTAAAATTTATTTTGTGGTGACTTTTCATTATTTATCCTCATTTTAATCAAAATCAGGTTGTTTTTCTTGTTCTAAATTGCTATTATATATAGCATTTGTGGTTTGACAATTCAATGAAAATAGGTTTTCACCGAAATATCAATTCAAAGTTTCTACCAGTAGTATCCAGCGATAAAATCGACTATGTTTCCTTATGAACTAAAAGCAAAACTTGACATCTAAGTAATCAAATGTTAATAATAGCTTGGATAGATTCTCATTGTTAAACAAAAGCAAAGCAAAGAACAAAAGCAAAACCAAACAAAATGCTGTAATTATATTTGACTTCACTTCTTACTTATACATACATATATATGTATATATGTATATCATTGGTTGGGCATTTTTTACCAGTCATTTATTATCAAATGTTTATGTAAAGTCATTGATGCTAGAAAGTCATAATTTTAATTATTGCATTACCTCTACAATTTCTTCTTTCATGTTCATTTTAAAATGATGAAACTGCTATCAGCTAAGTTTTTTAAATCAAAGTAAAAGGAATCAGAATCTTGATGTCAGTCTAGCCTGTACCTGACCTGCAAACTCCCTAAAAAGGAAAAAAAAAAAAACTGTATTTAAAACTTCTCATGTAGAGTCAAGGATACTTTTTAAGTCCCCCTTCCTGGAATATTGATTACTTAAGTGCTTTTCCAGAATCTCTGAGCTCAGTTACAGTCAGACCTTCCTATCCATAGGTTCTACATCCATGGATTCATCCAGTCATGGATAAAATATCTTCAAAAATTAAAAATAACACAAATTTTAAAACAGTATGTAAAACAACGATTTATATAGTGTTTACATTGCATTGGGAATTATAAGTAATCCAGAGATTATTTAAAGAGAGAGTGTATGTGTGGGTTACATGCAAATACTTCATCATTTACATAAGGAACTCAAGCATCCATGGGTTTTGGTATCCCCAGGGAGTCCTGGAACCAATGTGCCACCAATACTGTGTTAAGTATCAAGACAAATGGATTAATGATAAGCTGTGTCTTCTCTACAATTCTTTCACCACGTTTTTCCTTTAGAAAAACACTAAAGTAAGTATGAAAAGCTTTGGCTCCAATTTCTCATAAATTACTTAAAATTTGATATTTACAAATATAATTATGAATTATAAGTTGATATCGTATTGCAATAACATTTTGTTTCTATAATCATGCCTCTTTTTAATGTGATTTTCTCGTGTATTTTAATATATTGCAGAAATGCAATAACTGAAGAACTTGTTTTTTGTACAGTGAGAAATTTGTATACAAAGTCTTCTACCATAATAAAAAAAATGAAGAGGAGCACCAAAACAAGTAATTTGCCAAGAGTCAGTTTTCCTTGGATTCGTATATTCCAATTCCCCTGCCACCACCCCACACAGACATGTTCACATTTGCCACCACTCTCTCACTGCCTGCAATGAGATCTAGTTAGCCAGAGATGTTTTTCAGGCTTTTTCAGATATTATGTTCATGTTTTGACTTGCCATGTAGCATAGTTAAGGAGGCCTGGCTTTGTTTTCCTACTGTGAAAGGTTTGGAGAGTTTGATGTCCCACTGGGCTGAATGATTGGCAGTCAATTCAACTTTCTTCCTCATGTAGGTATGCATAAGTGACTTCTCAACTATTAGAAAGTTACTTTTAAGTAGGATTCACTTGAGTAATAGCCACCTTAATATTTCTCTTCTTCTCTTAAAAGGAAGAGAAACATTTGCCATATAAAATACTGTATATCTTATTTCAATATAAATAGCAAATTTGATTTTTATTATTCATATGCAATACTAAAGACCCTCAGCAACATTTCAAATCAGAGTTTCACATGAAATATGTAAAACTGCCAAACTTGAACTGAAAGGCATCTTAATTTCATCATTGAAATGGTAACTTTCGCAATAAATATTTTGAATATTACTGAAAAATAAGAGAATGAAAGTTGGAGGGCATGTCATTTTTTTATCTGTAGCTTGAACACTGCGATGATCCACCTCATTGCCATAATGTTTTTATAATTTAATTTTCTCATTAACTCTCATTCACTTTGAAAAATATGTGCCATGTTGCACAAGGATAACCAAAAGATATTCCTCAGAGAAGGCACACACATAAATCAGTAAGCTTGGAGCTCATGTCTGTTATGTAGTTTTGGAATTATTCCAAAGACTTACATAGTTTGCTATGTTTTGCTGTAACAAGAACTTAGATTGTGCTCCCTCCAGCCCTCAAGAATGCGGTGTCTGCCGGGCGCGGTGGCTTCTGCCTGTAATCCCAGCACTTTGGGTGGCCGAGGACGGAGGATCATGAGGTCAGGAGTTTGAGAGCAGGCAGTTTGAGACCATCCTGGCCAACATGGTAGACCCCGTCTCTACTGAAAATACAAAATTAGCCGGGTGTGGTGGCATGCGCCTGTAATCCCAGCTACTCAGGAGGCTGAGGCAGCAGAATCACTTGAACCCAGGAGGCAGAGGTTGCAGTGAGCTGAGATCACACCACTGCACTCCAGCCTGGGTGAGAGAGCAAGACACCGTCTTGGTGGGGGAAAAAGAATGCAATGTCAGAGCTCATCAGACCCATCATATGTGAGTTACTGACCTCAACCACTGGATTTCAAAATACATATAAACATAAGAGCTCAATGAACACTTTGAGAACTTCAGTAAGTCTCAGCCACTTCTCCAAAAATGGAGAGCATATTCTGTGACAGGGCTGCCCTGCCAGTCACTTCTTGGAAGGCTGAACTCATGCAGCAACAGCGCCCCACCCTGTCAGCCGCTGAGCTTTGAAGACTCACCTGCATCACTGGCACCACCGACTGGTGTCAAGGGACCCTAGGTGTCTTTGAGGATCTCCATGGTGTCAGACACCATCTCTCCAGAGAATTCGCTTGAAAAAAAGGTGCACCTCAAACTTTCATTCGATTTGCCTTTCCACAGAGGTCTGCTTCTATTTCTACTTCAGGAACTAGACTTTAATATTTGGAACTCACTCCCTCTGTGGTTAATGTGCTTCATCTTTTGAGTGTATTCCCTGTAGATTTGTTCACATTATTCTTCTCCTTTTCGAGCATTGTGAACTTAAGAAAACAAATTCTCCTTGCATGGCAATAACCATGTGATTTGTGAAATCATACTTTGAGCATCTTATTTTAGCCATACAAAATAGCGTGGCTCAGAAATTCAATGTGATCGTTTCTCTGGTCAGTGACATATCCCCATGAAGTGAAGCAGCAAGGCAGTAAAGGAACAGGGGTTTTAGTTAAGGGGTAAAATGGGTAATCTTCTTGGAAATTACAAGCAACTGAATAGCTCATTCCAAAATATGCAGAAATCTCTGAAATCATACATACTTTTTATGTTAGCAAAACTTAAGTGCAAGGAGTCATAATTTAGGTTTATTTAAAGAATGTCTCCAGTCTTGAAATAACCTGGGTGATAAAATAATAATACAATCTTTACTTTTATCTACTTGTTTCTCTTTAATTTTAGCACATTTAATATGACGTAAAGTAAAATATAACAGTTCTTCAATACATATTTTTCAGAACTAAATAACATTTAAGGGAGATATCCTGATAGTCTTCAAAATATTTTCACCTTAGATTACATATCATTATTTTTTGGTATTAATTTCTAATTTAAAGCTATTTTTCCACTTAGGATCCTAGTTTTTATTTAAATTTTATTTAATTTTTATCTCCTCTTTTTTCATCTATTGTTTTACAGATCGCTTACAATAATTTTCCCTCAGTGCATAGAAAGGAGTGAGCTTGACAACCACCCACCCCCTTGAAAATCAATAGAAGTTGTCTTTTATAATAAAGCTCTCCCTTATTTACTGGAGAAGTGAAGCTAAGTATACAGATGCATCAGCCTGAGTCAGAAAGAGAAGCAGATATTGTTCAGCAGGAAGCCAGGATAGTGGGATTTCCAACTTCCTCTAGGTCGTTTTGTGAAAGGTGGTATCATTTTATGTTAAGACAAATTCCCAGAAATGTTACCACCCTCCACACACACACACACACACACACACACACACACGGAGGCAAGGAGGAGGCTACTGTGCCTGGGCACTTGCCTAGGCATTGCCTGAAAATTACAGATAATTGTCACTAACCAATCTAATTGCAACTGTTAAAAGAAATAACCCTCAATTCAGAGTTATTTCCTATTCAAATGCAATACAATTTTTGTTTCTAATATATTAGGTTGCACAGAAACACTAAGATTGTACTTAAATATGGACTGAGGACCATTTTAAACATTACAGTAAAGTAGTGATCACAATTTCATCTGGTTATATTAAAAGTGTTCTGGAATGGTATTGGGAATTGATTTTTTCTTTTTTTGAGATGGGGCTCTCACTATGTTGCCCAGGGTGGTCTCTATCTTCTGGGATCAAGTGATCCTTCTGCCTCAGTTTCCCATGTAGCTGGTACTACTGGTGCATGCCACTGTGTCTGTCACATTTTTTAAAATCATAAACTGATTCTAAATTATAAATAAATCAAGAGGAAAGGCAGAGGACTTACTATGCTGCTATCTTGACAACATCAAAGTAATTAATCCCCAAAAGTTTATTCAAAAATCACAAGTTGTTTCCATCTTAGACCCAATTTCTGTACCAAATAAAGCCTATTTTACTCCATAATGAAAAGTACAGATAATGAAAAGTACAGAGCCCAATGATGCTTAAATGATGCTATGTAATCTAATAGCTTTGATGAGTCAGTTTCCAAGATATATAATTATATTCAAAGAGTTCTGTCTGGTTCTGTTGATACTACAATCAAATTCTTCCTTCGCTGCAGACAACAACTTGTACTTAAGCAGAAGCTGAGTCATGCCCCCCACTATACGCCTCTAACAACAGATATGCAAAAGTCTTAGAGCTAAATGTCTGAGTGGTCCTGTTTTATAACAGATCAATAGTTCCTGAAATTAGTATTTGCCTTCCAGGCTAAAATATTTTTTCTACAGTGTTCCAAATATTCTTGCATTTCTTAAAGTCATTGTCATAAATAGCAATGATGCTTTGATAATCCTGATAACAAACTACTTCCAAACTGCAGCAACAGAAGGAAAGTGGTAGGATATACAGAAAATCTTTTGAGAAATCCAGAGAGGACTGATACTAGACATAAAAGCAATAACCTGTGGCTTTTCAAGAAGAGAAGCACATTTCTTCCCAATTAAAACTAGGAATTCTCAACAGATATAGTTCACTTTCAAGTGACTAGAATTGTCGCATTCCTTATAATATCAAATGAAATATTCTTTGTTTCCTATGTTCACCGGCTCCTTGGTCACACTTACTATTTGAGCAGAACAGTCCAACATACATCGAGAAGGCACAGTCACAAGCGATCCCTCTGCGTTTCTCTCACATCTCCCTCGGAGGTGACACATGTGGCCATAGCTATGCAGTGTCCAGCATGCCCTTGCTCCACTCTTGGAGTCACTGTGGCTCTTTCTTTCAGATCCGGGATCGTCCCTTTCAACTGCAGAAAATGAATGCATTCCAGAAAGCCTGGGTCTGCTGGCCATTTCACCTGCAAGGGAAGCACTGCAAATACAAACACATTCCTTTGTGTTTTATTCAAGATTTCATCACCCTGTCAAACTGAGGCCTTATGGAGAATAGCAGAAACTGTGATCACTCAAAAGGTCTCAAGAACAAATATAATTTTGGAAACATACATTTAATGAAATGTTAAGTAATGGCAAATTACTTCATTTATTTATTTACTATATATATTCATATTTTACTTGACACATAATAATTGTACATATTTATGGGGTACAGTGGGATATTTCAGTAGATGTATACAATGCATAATGATCAAATCGGGGTAATTAGCATGTCCATCACCTCAAACCTTTATCATTTCTTTGTGTTGGTAACATGAAAAACCCTCTCTCCCAGCTATCTGAAAAAAAAGACAATACACTGTTGTTTACTGTGGTTACCCTATAGTGCTGTACAACACTAGAACTTATTCCACCAACTAACTGTAATGTTGTGGAAGACAATACTGACCACATTTGTGAAATATTATCCTAATATGAATGATAATTATAGGTGGGGTTTTATGCTAACATAGCTGCCAAGAACTCCATAAATGAATGCCCACAATTGTAAGTGAGAAAACAAGATTATTCAATTTGGTCTGTGTGTGTGTGTGTGTGTGTGTGTGTGTGTGTGTGTTTCTATTCTCAGGCAGGGAGTTGGTTTTAGTTCTTTTTTTAAGAGGCCCAAACTCATGCTACTGTAAGAATTAACTGCAAGTTAATTATTGCAAGTTGAAGTTATTTATAAGACTATGGTATGTATATGCAGACACACAATTCTGAATTCACTGTGTAATATTAGTACTCAAAATCATATATATTGTACAGGAGAACAACCTGTGTGATAATTCATGAGTTATCTCAGTCTCTAATTGGACAGTACAATTATTTACTTTAAAATAGATTAGAAATCACCAACAGAGAGCTTTTTTTTTAAACTAAATGCAAGCAGAGTAAAAAGAAATGTAGAGTAGAAAGAAATGAAGCAAAATATAGGTCTTCCTTTGGGAAAAAAGTCAAGACACAAAAGCAGTTGAAGAGGTGTCTTTCATTTCCTAGAGTGATACACATATTTAGTAGTTCAGTAGTTAATTTTTGTTCAACAGCCATATTGAGGCTTTATTGGCATATAATGAACACACATGCTTAAAGTGCAGGACTTGTTAAATTTTTACTTATGTATACAACCATGAAACTATCATCACAATTAAAATAAGGAATATATCCATCAACCTAGCAAAATATTCTCCTCCCTCTTGATAACCCCTCCCCCATAACCTCCCTGCTTCCCTCAAATCCCTGGCAACCACAGATCTGATCTCTCTCATGATTAGTTTCTATTTTCCAGAATGTCATATAAATGGAACCACATAGTATTTACTTTTCTTTATCTGGCTTTTTTCTTTCAACAGAATTATTCTGAAATTCATTAATGTGTGATATGTATCAATAGTTCATTCCTTTTTATTGCTGAGTAGTATCTCGTTGTGTGAATATAGCTCAATTTGTGTGTTCATTCATTTGAAGATGGGCATTTGAATTGTGTCCAGTTTTCATCTGTTATAAATAAGCTACTATGACCACTTATGCACAGATGGTCATATGAAAATATCCTTTCATTTCTCTTGGGTAAATATCTAGACAAGAATAGCTATGTCATATGGTAGGTATCTGTTTAACATTTAAGAAACTGCCAAATTGTTTTGCAGAATGTTTGTCTTTATGCCAAATTGCTTTGGTTGATTTTATTATGGTAATCTAAACTTGAATTACTGGTATAAGTCAATTTTTTGAAACTTTGTTAAGATTTTTTTGCATCTGTGGTCATGAAGGACTGTATTTTTACTTTTTAAAAATGTCTGTCTAGGTTGGGCATGGTGGCTCACGCCCATAATCCCAGCACTTTGGGAGGTCAAGGTGGGTGGATCATGAGGTCAGGAGGTCGAGACCAGCCTGGCCAACATGACGAAACCCTGTCTCTACTAAAAATACAAAAAATTAGCAGGGCATGGTGGTGGGCACCTGTAATCCCACCTACTCAGGAGGCTGAGGCAGGAGAATCACTTGAACCCAGGAGGTGGAGGTTGCAGTGAGCCAAGATCACGCCACTGCACTCCAGCCTGGGTGACAGAGCGAGACTCCGTCTCAAAAAAGAAAAAAAAAAGTCTGTCTGAATGTGGTGTCAGAATAATGCTGGACTTGTAGAATGAGTTCAAAAGTATTCTCTCCTCTTCAATTTTCTGAATGAGTTTATGTTTATTTGTTATTTCTTCCTTAAATTGCTAGAAAACTCCAGCGAAGCCATCTGGGCCTGGAATTTTTTTGTGGGAAGGTTTTTAACAATAAACTCAATCTAATTAATAGACTATTCATGTCATCTATTTCTTCTTGAGTCAGTATTAGTAGTTTACATCTTTCAAGGAATTTGTCTTTACTTCTAAGCTGTCAAGCATACTGGCATACAGCTTTGCATTGTAATCTCTTATTATGCCTTTTAATATATGTAATGTATGTAGTGAGATCACCTCTCTCATTACTGATGTTGGTAAATTTTGTCTTTTTTTCTCTCATTGATGGCAGCAGCTGCAGCCATCATGCAGGCGACAGCAGGGAGGCATGGCTGGGCCTGCATACTCCATGAAGCTGGTGGGAGCCCCACCCCTTCTGAGTTGGGGTATGAGTTCTCTGGTGTGGCTGCAGACCCAGGCCTCCTGCTCTATGGAGCAGGCTGTAGCCCAGCCCAAACTGCAGCTGTGGATCCAAGCTTCCCTGTGCTCTTGGAGGGGGCTGGGAACCGACAGGATCTGCCCTCCTGGGTACAGCTGCAGCCACCCAACCCACTGCTGCAGACCTGGGCTTCCGGCTCCATGGAGCAGGAAGGAGACGGAGACAAGCAGAAGCCCCGCCCCTTCTGAGTTGGCTGGGTGGGAGCTCCCTGGGTGCAACTGAGGCCACCGTCTCAGGCGCAGGACCCTGGCATCTTGGCAGCCTGCACCTGCCACCCCCTGCTGGCTCTGGGATGTCTGCTCTCACTGCCTGGCCTCTCTCCTCTTCTGGCACCCGCTTTAATCTCCCAACAGGGTTGGTCAAGCCCTGGGGCCTTGAATGGCAGGGGGAGGGAGAGTCCTGGGCAGAAGCAGATGGGTCCCCAGTAAAGCCCCACCTTCAAGCCGGGGAGGGCCTGAAGGCTGGGAGCCAGACTGCCAATCCTGTGGACAGGACTGGGGATCTGTCCCTCCTCTGGGCCACCAATGGCTGCTCATGGACCAATTGGCAGGTACTTCCTCCCCTCTGAGGTCCATAAAAGCCCTGGGCTCTACCAGAGAGGGCAGAGGACAGAGAGACGATGGGACGACCAGCTGCAGAGACGAACTCTCCCCTCTACTGAGAGCTTCAGAGACCTGCAGAGACCTCCAAATGACCAGCCTGCAGAGAGGAGCCACACTCGCCAGGGCCTCCTCTCTGCTGAAAGCTGAACACTCCACCGGACGACCTGCCTGCAGAGAGGAGCTACCCACTGTGCGTCTTCTCTGAGCTGTTCTAACACTAAATAAAACTCCTCTTAATCTTCTTCGCCCTTCCTTTGTCTGCATACCTCATTCCTCCTGGATGCAGGACAAGAACTCAGGCAAAGATGCCACTGTCCACAGAGGTTTCTGGGCAAGAAAATCAAAACCCCAAAGATCCTGTAACATCATGATTGGCTGTCTCCACATTTACATCATACAATTCAATTACAAACCACTGCAAAGCAGCACTTATTGATGAAGAGCTGGCTCGTGAGCTGTAAGTGGACATGCCATCAGTGGTGGCAGGTTGTAGCTTATTAACTTGAAATGATACTTTTTTTACATTCCTCTCTGCCCTCACATGGTGCTAATAATTGTCATAAAAGGGAGTATATGACTCCACCATGACCTCAAAAGGCCTATTCCTCATCTTAAAGGAAAATGTCACTTTCCTGGTGCTAGAAATTGTAGATATGAGAGTTGCTCAAGTTCATTTATAGTGAAGAAAATTTAATAGTGTATTTATACAAGCCTAACACTATGAAATGCATTTATTTATTAAATACTATGGAAGGAGCTAATGGCAGTGATCCAGAAAACATATCCTTTTCAGTTGAGATAGAAGAGCAAAAGAAATCTCTATTCCTATTGCAGAGAAAAAATAGTAAATATATTTGCTCATAACAACATAACTAAACTGTTTGTGGCTTAATAAATAAAAATATAGTTATTTAAAGGTGGTTCAAGGTTTCCTATATAATCTTACATTCCCCAAATGTGAATTTGCACAGTAATGAATTAAAAATAAAACAAAGCAATATTACTTGTCAATTCAATCAAATAACTTTGTAATTTAGCAGAAAATAAATTGCACCAGTTTGGTTTAAAGCCCTAACTACACATCTATAGTTTCCTTAAATTAATTAAAAGAAGTCATGCAATTTTCACAGAATATCACATGCATGTTATCCATTTTAATTTCTCTTAAAAATGGGTTAGTTGCCATTATCAAACTTTAGACAAGAAATCAAACAGATAAAGTAACAATGAAAGCAACTTAGACATTAGCTGAAGGGTTTATTCTTAATTGCTGAGTACCCATGCTTTATCCACAAAGGGTGATTTACCATTTCTGTAAACTGATAGTGAGTTATTCAAAATGGAAATTAAGAATACAATCCCGGCTGGGTGCGGCAGTCACGCCTGTAATCCCAGCACTTTGGGAAGCCGAGGTGGGCAGATCACCTGAAGTCAGGAATTAGAGTGACCAGCCTGATCAACATGGTAAAACCCTGTCTCTACTAAAAAATACAAAAAAAATTAGCCGGGCATGATGGCGGGTGCCTGTAATCCCAGCTACTCGGGAGCCTGAAGCAGGAGAATCGCTTGAACCTGGGAGGCAGAAAAAAAAAAAAGAATGCAATCCAATTACAATAGCAACAAAAAACTTATAAAATACTTAGGCGTAAATTTAACCAAGGAGGTGAAAAACTGTACACTGAAAACTATAAAACACTGATGAAAGAAAATGGAAGAAAACACAAATAAATGGAAAGATATTTTATGTCCACAAAGTAGAACAATTAATAGTTTAGTTTTTATTTTTAATTTTTATGAAAACATAACAGTTGTACATATTTATAGAGTACCTGTGATATTTTGATACAAGCATACAGTGTGTAATGATCAGATATGGGTAACTGGGATATTCATTACCTCAAACATTTATTGTTTTCTTGTGTTGAGAACGTTGTGAAATACAAAATAAATTACTGTTAACTATAGTTGCCCTATTGTGCTACCAAACACTAGATCTTACTCCTTCTATCTATCTAACTGTATTTTATATCCATTAACCAACCCCTTTTCGAGCCCTCCTCCCACTACCCTTCCCAGTTTTTGCTAAACACCATTCTGTTCACTACCTCCCATTTTTTTAGCCCACACATATGAGTAAAATCATGATATTTGTCTTTCTGCATCTGGCTTATTTCACTTAACATAATGTCCTCCAATTCCATCTATGTTGCTACAAATGACAGAATTTCATTCTTTCTTCTGGCTGAATAATATTCCATTGTGTATATATACCACATTTCCTTTATCCATTCATTCATTGATGGATACTTAGGTTGATTCCATATTTTGGCTATTGTGAATAGTGCTGCTGCAATAAACATGGGAATGTAGATATCTCTCTGATACACTGAGTTCTTATCTTTTGGCCATATACCAACTAGTGGGATTGCTGGATCATATGGTAGTTCTATGGTTAGTTTTATTGACAAATCTCCACAGTGCTTTTCAGTGTGGCGATTTCCAGTAGCTGTACGAATTTACATTCCTACCAGCAGTGTATGAGTACTTCCCTTTCTCCACATCCTCCTTATCATTTGTCATTTTCTGTCTTTTTGATAATAGCCACTTTAACTGGGGTGCAAGGATATCTCATTGTGATTTTGATTTGCATTTCTGTGATCATCAATCATGTTGAGCATTTTTTCATTTATGTGTTGGCCATTTGATTTTCTTCTTTTGAGAAATATGTCTATTCAGATCTTTTGCCCCTTTCAAAATCAGAGTATTTGTTGTTGTTTTTTTTTTTTTGCTATTGAGTTGTTTGAGCATCATGGTGTATTCTGATTATTAATCCCTTATCAGATGAATACTTTGCAAATATTTTCTCCCATTCTGTAGGTTGTCTCTTCACACTGTTGATTTTTTCCTTTCCTGTGCAGAAGCTTTTTCACTCGATGTAATCCCATTTGTCAATTTTTGCTGTGGTTTCCTGTGCTTTTGAGGTCTTACTCAATAAATCTTTGCTCGGACCAATGTCCTGAAGGATTTTACCTAAGTTTTGTTCTAGTAGGTTCACAGTTTTGAGGCTTACATTTAACTCTGCAATCCATTTTGAGTTGATTTTTGTATATGGTGAGAGATCAGGGTCAAGTTCCACTCTTCTGCATATGGTTACTCAGTTTTCCCAGCACCATTTATTAAAGATACTGTTGTTTCTCCAGTGTATGTTCTTATGGCCTTTGATGAAAATCAGTTGGCTATAAATACATGGATTTGTTTCTGTGTTCTCTATTTCGTTCCTTTGGTGTATATGTCTGTTTTTATGCCATAAACATGCTTTTTATTTTTTATCACTGCAGCTTTGTAGTATATTTTGAAGTCAGATAGTGTGATGTCTCCAGCTTTGTTCTTTTTGTTCAGGGTTGCTTTGTATATTCAGGCTTTTTTGTGATTTCACATGAATTTTAGGCTTGCTTTTTCTATATCTATGAAGAATGTCACTTGATAGGAATTGTCTTGAGTCTATAGTTAACATTGGGTAGTATGGACATTTTAACAATATTAATTTTTCTAATCATGAATATGAGTTTTTTTATTTTTTGTTACCTCTTCAATTTCTTTTATCAGTGTTTTACAGTTTTGATTGTACAGATCTTTTACCTCTTTGGTTAAATTTACTCCTAGGCATTTTATATTTGTGTAGCTAAGGTGAATGGGATTGCTTCCTTGATTTTCAGATTGTTCACTATTGGCATATAGAAACGCTACTGGTTTTTGTATGTTGATTTTGTATTCTGCCACTTTGCTGAAATAGTTAACCAGTTGTAACAGCTTTTTAGTGAAGTCTTTAGGTTATCCTAAATATAAGATCATGTCATTTGCAAACAGTGACAATTTGACTTCCTCTTTTCCAATGCTCTTTATTTCTTTTTTAATAGCTCTGTCTAGGACTCTTTCACCACTTTTCAATAAAAGAAAACGATGTGATTGACCATTTTTCAATAAAAGTGGTGAAAGTAAATATCCTTGTCTTGTTCTAGATCTTAGAGGAAGGATCTTAGGGAAAGTGAATATCTTTGTCTTGTTCTATGTTAGAGAAAAGGCTTTCAACTTTTCCCTATTCAGTACGATGTTAACTGTGGGTTTATCATATACGAACATTAATGTTTTAAGGTATGTTCTTTTTATACCTAATTTGTTGAGAGGGTTTTTTTTTAATCACAAAGAGGAGTTGAATTTTATCAAATACTACTTCTGTGTCTATTGAGATAATCACAAGGTTTTGTTCTTTATTCTCTTGATGTGATGTATGTGATGTATCACATTTATTGATATTTGTAGGTTGAAACATCCTTGCATCCCTGGGGGAAAATACCACCTGATCATGGTGTATAATCTTTTTTCTGTGCTGTTGGATTTTGTTTTCTAGGGTTTTTTTTTAGAAGAGTTTTGCATTTATGCTCATTAAAAATATTGGCCTATAGTTTTCTTTTGTTGTGTCCTTGTCTGGTTTTGGTATCAGGGTAATGCTGGCCTTAAAAAAGATTTGGAAGCATTCTCTCCCCTTTGATTTTTCAAAACAGTTTGAGAATAATTGGCATTAGCTTATCTTTAAAAGTTAGGTAGGATTCATCTGTAAAGCCATATGGTCCTAGACTTTTCTTTGTTAGACTTTTTATTACTGATTCAATCACATTATTCATTATTGTTCTATTCAGGTTTCCTGTTTCTTCATGGTTCAATCTTGGTAGGTTATATGTGTCCAAGAATATATCTATTTTATAAGTTTTCAATTTGTTGATGTAAATTGTTCATAATGGTCTGTAATGATCTTTTGTATTTCTGTTTTATCAGTTGTAATATCTCCTTTTTATCTCTGATTCTATTCCATTGAGTTTTTCTTTTCATTAGTCTACCTAAAGATTTGTTGATTTTGTCTACCTTTTCAAAACAATATTTTCATTTGGTTGATCTTTCATATTTTTAGTCTCAATTTTATTTATTTTTGTTGTGATCTTTGGTATTTCTTCTTCCTGTAATTTTGGGTTTGATTTATTCTTGCTTTTCTAGTTTCATGAGGTGCATCATTATATTTGAAATATTTCTACCTTTTTATATAGGCATTTATTTCTATAAACTACCCCTCTTAGTACTGCTACTGCTTTTGACATATAACGTAAATTTTGGTATGTTGTGTTTCTATTTTTATTTGTTTTAAGAAATTCTTAAATATTCTTTTTAATTTCATTATTTGCCCATTGGTTGTTCAGGATCATGTTGTATTGGTGCATTTTCCAAAGTTCCTCTTGTTATTGATTTCTAGTTTTATTCCATTGTGGTCAAAAAAGATACTTGATGTGATTTTAATTTTTAAAAATGTGTTGAGACTTGTTTTGTGGCCTAACATATGGTCTATGCTGAAGAATGCTCCATGTGCTCATGAGAAGAATATATACACGTTCTCCCGCTGTTGAATGACATTTTCTGTAAAAGTTAGGTTTATTTGCTCTAGAGTGTAGTTTAACTCCAATGTTCCTTTGCTGATTTTCTCTTTGGATGATCTGTTCGGTGCTGAAAGTAGGGTGTTGAAGTCTCCTATTATTGAAATGCAGTCTGTCTCTCCCTTTAGATCTAGTATTTGCTCTGGTGTTGGGTGGGTGTATACTCATAATTGTTATACCTTCTTGCTGAATTGAGGATCTTTTTATCATTATATAATAACCTCCTTTGTCTCTTTTTAGGATTTCTAATGTGAAGTCTATTTTATCTGATAAAACTACAACTACTGCTGCTTTCTTTTGCTTTCCATTTGCGTGGAATATCTTCATGTGTCCTTACGGGTGAGGTGAGTCTTTTGTAGGCAGCATATAGCTGGGTCTTTAAAAAAATACCTCATTTAGCCACTATGTATCTTTTAACTGCAGAATTTAATCCATTTACATTCTAGGTTATTATTGACACGTATGAACTTACTCTTGCCATTGTTAAAGAGTTTTCTAGTTGCTTTGTAGAGCCTTTGGTCCCTTCTTCCTCTCTTGCTTTCTTCTCTTGTGGCTTCATGGCTCTCTGTAGTAGTATGTTTTGGTTCTTTTCCTTTTATCTTTTGTGTATCCATTACAGGTTTTGCTTTGTGACTACCCTGTGGCTTACATAAAACATGTTATACTTATAACAGGTTAATTTAAGCTGATAACAGTTAATTTTGATTGCATACACAAACTTTTCACTCTAACTTCCTTTTCTCCCATGTTTGATGTTTTTGATGTCACACCTTACATCTTTTTATAATAACAAAAATAACATAAGTAATAATTTCATATAAAATAATATAAATAAAAATAATAGGTCTCCTCAGCCACTCAGGCCTTTGCTGCTCCTCCAGAGAGGGACTTGCAAACATTTAAAGAATTTGCATGCCATAGACAAGGCCAGGAAGAACTGTGACTGGATTCACAAGCCCTTCCCAGGCCTTACTGGGCATCCTTACCTGGTGCCCACAAACAGGGAGTACTTAGAACATATTTTCTGGTGCCTCTGATGACAGGCACTGCTTTGGACTGGAGTGGAAAGTAGGGCACCAACCATTCCTGGGGCCTTCACTTTATAGCCAGATGCAGTCCTCCCCCCAACCAGGGGTCTTAAGAAACTTTTTGGAGACTCATTGGGCCAACCAGACCCATGCAACAAGGTACCCTTCTCAGGCCTTCATACCTGGCCCCATCTGAGCAGCCCCCAAGGCCTTCCTGACCACTGGCTCCCATCCAGGCTCTCCCCAGTTCCATGGTCCATTCAGATTTGTCCTGGCCTCCAGAGAGGGGTTTAGATACAATTTTGCAGGGTGCCTCCTATGACCAATCCCCACTCAGTCCACCAGGTGGAAGGGATGCCCTCCCTGGCCTCCATGACTAGTTAGGGAATGTCTCAGCTAGCTAATTTGAAAAGAGAAACGTTTTCGGGAGTGCTGTATGCATCTGTGCTCCAGACAAAACTGTAGCCATGACAGAGACCCTTCCTGGAGGCTCCCTGTCCAGCTTTGACTGATCTCTGTAGGAAATACAGACTTTCCCATAGGGGAAGTGAGAAACTCTTGGAGGCATTAGCTGTATTTTTGTTTTCATGTAGTTCAAAGAATTATTTTAATTTCTGTTGAGATTTCTTCTTGACCCTTATGTTATTTAGACGTGTATTTCTGAATATCCAAGTATTTTGAGATTGCCCAGCTATCATTCTATTACTGGTTTGTATAATAGGTTCCAGTGTTTTCAGAGAGCAGGTATGGCATGGTTTTTATACTTTGAAATGTGTTAAGGTGGGCTTTATGGCCCAGAATGTGGCCTATCTTGGTGAATGCTCCATGTGAGAGTGAAAAGAATATGTATTCTGCTGTCATTACACTAAGTAGGCTACAGATGTGAATTACTTCCAGTTCTTTGATGATGCTGTTTAGTTCTACCATATTTTATTGATATTCTATCTATTGGATCTCTCCATTTCTGGTAGAGGGTGTTGATGTTTACAACTATGATTGTGAATTCTTTTATTTATCCTTGCAGTTCTATCAGTTTTTTTGCCTCACATATTTTAACACTCTTGTTAGGTGCACACACATTAAGAATTGTTATATTTTCTCAGATAATTCACTTTTTGTTATCAAGCAGTGCCTATATTCATCCAGAATTATCTTTTCTCTCCGAAGTCTACTTTGTCTGAAAACTAATATAGCTGTTTCAGCTTTATTTTAATTATTGTTAACCTTGTATATCTTTTTCCATTTCCTACTTCAAATCTATATGTCTTTGCATTTAAAGTGAGTTTCTTTTAAACAATGTATAGTTGGGTCTTTTTTGTGGGGGATCAACTCAGATGAACTCAGTCTTTAATTGGTGTGTGTAGACCATTGACATTAAAGGTGATTACAGATGCAGTTAGATTGGTATTTATCATGTCTGTTATTATTCTCTATTTGTTGTCCTTTTTTTTCTTCCTATTTTTGCCTTCCACTCTTTTCCTGCCTTTTGTGGTTTTAATTGAGCATTTTATATGGTTCCATTTTCTTTCCCATTTAAGCATGTAAATTCTTCCTTTCTTTTTACTGTCAAAAAATCTTTCTATTGGTTGCCCTAGATTTTGCAATGTACATTTACCATTAGTACAAGTCTACTTTCAAGTAATACTATATTGCTTTATGAGTAGTGCAAGTATTTTATAATAACAAAATATTTCTAACTCTTCCCTCCTATAGTTTATATCATTGCTATTATTCGTTTCACTTATCAATAAATTATAAACATCTAATAACTATTGCTATCATTATTTTGAACAAATTATTTATTAGCTGCTATATCAATTGAAAATAAGAAAATGCAAAGTTTTTACTTCACATTCATATATTCATTTTTTATATTCTTCCTTTATGTAGATCCAAATGTCTTACTTTTCTCTTAAGAACTTCTTTTAACTTATTCCAACATTTCTTGCATGCAGGTCTACCAGCAACAAATTGCCTCAATTTTTGTTTTCTACAAAAGTCTCTTCCAGGCACGGTAGCTCACAGCTGTAATCCCAGCACTTTGGGAGGCCAAGGCAGGTGGATCACTTGAGGTCAGCAGTTCAAGACCGGCCTGGCCAACATGGTGAAAACCCACCTCTACTAAAAATACAAAAATTAGCTGGGCGTGGTGGTGTGTGCAGCCAAGATCACGCCATTGCACTCTGCACCCCAGCCTGGGTGACAGAGTGAGTCTCCATCTCAGAAAGGAAAAAAAAAAGTATTTATTTCTCCTTCACTTTTGAAGACTATTTTGTCTAAGGCATTCATGGTATCGCACTATGATTCTAATTTGCATTCTCATGAATTTGCTATTTTCATTTACTATTTCATCATGGACATCTTTCCATGTTAATACATGTAAGTCTACCGCCCTGAAGAAATAAACCAAAACATAAATTAACGGTATTGTATAGATGTACCAGAATTTTTTAAACCTGGCTTTTCTGAATGGCTATGTTTTCTTTATTTTTTGTTATGACAAGTAATGGTGAAATCAGTATTCTTATCATCACACATGTATTTGCACCGATGTTCCCCACACCCATTTGTTGTCATTTGACTTTGTCCTGGTACGTGCACAGATAAATTTTCTTTAAACTTTATGCTATCAAGTTAATCAATCGTGTCCTTGATGGCTTTCGAGTTGTCTTTGTTGTATACATGCCTTTTTATTTTTATTTTAAGAGACAGCGGTCTATTTATGTTGCCCAGGCTGGTCTCAAACTGCTAGCCTCAAGCGATCCTCTCGCCTCAGCCTCCCAAGTCGCTAGGATTACAGGCGTGAACAACCGTGACGGGCTCTGTTCTATGCTTTAAAGATCTTCTCTGTTCAGAAATTTTAAAATTAAAGTGTTTTCAACAAAGCTTTCATGGTTGCAGTTTTTCATCGCATACCTGAGGGCGCGGTATTTTCTAAGTCCACTTGCGAGGCTCTGGAAAGCCCGGCCTGGCAGGGCGCCCGGCCCGCAGGCTCGCGGTTAGCTTTTCCACGGGCCAGACTGGGAGTCACGTAGGGAGAGTCTGTATTCTTTATTCTTCCCAGCAGTCAGCCTTCCCTTATGCTGCTGGGGACGCGTCATGGTGACCTGGAGCTCCGAGAGGAGCCGGACGCTCTCCACCCACCCATGTCTGAAAAGCGATCCGACGTGGACTGCAGCCGTTTGCGCCGGTTGTCGGGCTCCACCTGGCGGCGGATGTTATGTATTGCACTTGTTCTCTGGAGCTCCCGTGAGAGAGAGAAGTGGCCGCTGTGCACCGGGTCGAGTTCCAGGATGTCCCTAGCGTTAGCAGGATTGTTCCGCCTGCTGGCAGAGCATTCGCTCCCCATCTGTTCGTGGGAGCTTGGACCTGCAGCTTAAGCTCGGAGGAGGCTCTTGCCTCGCTCTTAGCCCTGGATGCTCTGTGGTGGGGCAACATGCGGGTCGACCAGCAACCCCCAGTGCCTGCCCCTCCAACACAAGACCTATCGGGGTCAACACGAACCATCTTGAAAGGGTGTTTGGAGGCCTCCCCGCGTGTGTCCCCATACCAGTACCTTCCATTTGACCCCATTTTCCTCAAGTTCTGCCTCAGAGGTGGCAACCGGCAGCTGTACTCAGAGGACGGCGGAGGGGTCTCCACCAGCCTGGACTAGGTCCCGCGTCGGACCGCCTCCTCAGACCTGCCTTTTCCGAGGTCCGCTTGGGAGGTGACAAAGGACTGGAGAAGAACCAGGTGCCCCGGGGAGGGTGTCTCAGATTCTGTCTGTGTGGAGCAGGACCCTTATGTTTTTGGCCTCTTCCCACATACCTTAACCTCTTCCCAAATACTGGGAATCCCAGGGTTCATTTGGCTGCCGAAACTGTCCAAGCTCTAGGCTGCAGGCACCAACCTATTCCAGTATAGTCCTTTGCTCCAGGACACCTGGGCCGCTTTCCTGAGGGAAGAACATTCTCTTTATCAGGCAGAGACCCTGGCCACCCATGCCATTCACAAGCTGTTCCTGCCAGATCTGCCGGCACTCAGTCATCCTGGGCCATCAGGCTAGTGAGTTCCGGGAGATGGTGAGTGCTCAGGTGTGTGTGTGGCCGGCCAGAGGTGTCAGAGCCCCAAGTAGCTGGGAAGTAGCCAGAGGAAAGCCAAGTCCCCAGTCATCTGATGCTAACCTCGAAATTCTCATCCTTCTCCTTCCTCGTGCATTGCTCCTTCCAGGCATTCTTTAATCACAGCTGTGTTGGAGGCTGGGATTCCAGGCCCAGCACTAACAGGGTACAGCCACAGCTGCAGCATCTCACAGTGACCTAGAGCCTGGCCCAGCTACCCAACTCAGGCAGTTCATCTAGCACAGCATCCCTGGGAGGTGGCCACTGTGAGATTCACTTCGGATTAGGAACTGAGGCTCCAAAGCCACAAATGACTTGCCCAACATCAGGCAGAAGGATTAGAATTTAGGTCTGCTGGCCTCTAAAGCTGTCTCTCAAAGAATAGACCATCAACCAAGGAGACAGCTTATTTCCAGGTAATACAATGAAGTAACGTAACTACAAAGAAGGATGAGTAATCATGGTGGGGGCAGGATGGGGGGGGGCTGTCCCTGCATCTGTCTCTTCTCTTCCTCCTGCCCCCAGGCCCAGCCACTGAACACGCTCCTGGACCTTGACGTGCTGGGCTTCCATGTTGTCCTGTCTTGGCTCAGACACCACAGAAGGATCACTCCCCTTCCAGTGATAATGGAGTTCTTCATTACTAAAGTGTACAGTCATGAAATCCATTACTAACCCTGAGACTCTCAGGCAAGAGGTGACAGGTCAGCTAAGTGGGAGAACAGTAGCAAAGTCTAATGGAATAAGACGGGGAGGCTTCCAATCAGAGAAGGACAGTAAACACAGATACAAGCTGGGTGGCCTCCACACCTGTATTCAGTCCCCCAAGGTACTGTGGGGAAGAAGACATCTGCAACTCAGTAAAATCACATCTAAATCCTTAAAAAGGATTCTTCTCCTCTATACATTAGTCAAAACCCTCATGGGTACTTTATCCAGATATGAACATAAAATAGTATTTTCTGCACATCTAATTAGCAATAATTCAGGACCATTACAATAGTCCAGGTGGCGAGGACCAGTGAGATCCTTTGATGCTTCTCTTGAAAAATGTACATGGTGCCACTTTTTGCAGCATCATTTGGCAATATGTATTAAGAAGCTATAAAATGTTTACAGCCTTTGACCTACAAATCGTACCTCTGGGAATTTTTAGGAATATAATATTCAGAGATACTGACAAAGACCTGTGTACAGAATGTTCGTTGCAAACCAGCTCTGTTCTATGCTTTAAAGAGCCCATTATTCACAATAGCTGAAAATTGGAAGCAGCTTCCATGACCAATGAATAGGAAAAAAGTAGAGAAAATCGCTGGGGTGGGGGGACTCTACAATAAAAATCATAATGCTTTCCAAATGTTTTAGAAAGAATGTTGATGCTACGGGGGAAATGAGGGAGCTTCCTAATGAAGCATATTAAACTTAATAGATCTCAAAGGCGACTCTTGTTTTCACACTCAAATATGGCTCTTCCTTTTCTTCTCTCAGTGAAAAGCACTGAGTTGGGAAAAGTCCCCATCTTCTCCCAGTTTCTCAAGTCAAAAATCTAGAATTTGTTCTTGATTCTTTCCTTTCTCTCTCACTGGACAGCCACTGCTACAATCAGTCCTGCTGGGGCTGCTTTCAAATGAATACCTCTGGGCCATCCCCTTCCCTATCTTCACCCTCCCCCTTCCTCATCTTCCTCTCCTCCCTCTTCCTCCCTCCTTGTCCCTTATCTACTCCCTCCTCTCCTTGCCCTTCTCTTCATCTCCCTTCCCCTATTACTCCCTCCTCTCCCTATCTGCTCCTGTCCCTCCCCTTCCCACCCCACCTTACCCGGCCATCACTTCATTCTCACTAGGTCTCCTCTCTCAGGGATGACCCCAATGTCCTTCTGCTACTTGAGGGGCTCCCAGCTTCCTTCTTTAGCCCAGAGCCCCTTCTGTGCCCACAACCAGAAGCCTCCCGTGGAATGTAAGTCCTTCACTCACTCCCTGTTGGACTCCCCACCAGTGGATTCCTTGCTACTTAGAGCAAAACACAAAGCTCTTCCTGTGGAACTGAGCTTCGACTGGTGGGGGACATAAGAGGCAGCCACTGGTCCAACCAGCCAAGGCCTAAAGCTTGCAGAAGAGAAATTCTCATTAGCAGAATTTTCAGTCGTTGGAGCTGAGCTGCAGGATGTTTGAGTGTGGACACCTAGCACAAAATGTACCAATGGGGGGCTGGTCCGAGTCTTCAGTCCCCTACCATGCTCCCCACCTCTACTATGTGCTCCTGTCACTCTAGCTTCCTTCTGCATGGAATGCCTCCTTTCTGTTTTCTGTGGTCACACCTCTGCACTGAGCCCCATGAGACCCACCAACTTCAGAAGCTGCCCCTGACACCTCTGGCAGTAGGCAGGTGTGTCCTGTGCTGTCCATGCCCTTCCTTTGTACCTATAAGCTGGTGACTCTGTTCTGTAGATAGTTAGGTCCCTGTCTCATCTTCCCAGCCGGACTGTGAGGTATTCATGGTGGGATCTATGTCTGATCCATCTCAGGGAGTCCCGTGGAGCTTGACCTAATGCCCGGCATGTGGGAATCCCGGAGAGGAAACAGCATGTGCAAATGCTGGAGATCTGATGGCACCTGTGGCAATACGGAAGATTCCATGTGTGTAAAGGGCAACAAAATAGAGCAGTATTAGATAAAATAAATATTCTTGAGTGCATACTGATATAAATAAATGATTAAATAAGTTAATGAATGAGGGAAAGGAGATAAATTTCCCATGCAGGATTTCAAATGAATTATGTTATATATTCCATCCCAAAGGAGAGCGAGAATAACTCCCCACTCCTTAAGTGTGGGCTGCACACAGTGACTTAGTCTCCAAAGAGGACAGTATGGAATAGAGGGAAAAAGAGAAACTACAGTGGAGAATCCTGATGAGCACTACCTCTGCCAGGTCTTTAGTGATGTCAGTCATCCCCTTTTTATATTCATAATTTTCTCTTTTTTCCCAGTCAATCCAGCTGGAGATTTGTCATTTTCATTGATTTTTCCCAAAGAACACGTTTTTGGATTCACTGATTTTTTTCCTTTTCCTATTTCATTGATTCCCATTTTGATCTTTATTATTCCTTTTCTGCTGGTTACTTTAGATTTAATTTGCTCTTCCTCATATATATTTTGAGACAGAGTCTTGTTCTGTTGCCCAGGCTAGAGTACAGTGGCACAATCTCGGCTCACTGCAACCGCCACCTCCTGGGTTCAAGTGACTCTCATGCCTCAGCCTCCCAAGTAGCTGGGATTACAGGTGCCAGCCACCATAGCCAGCTAATTTTTGTATTTTTAGTAGAGACGGAGTTTCACCACGTTGGGCAGGCTGGTCTCGAACTCCCAACCTCAGGTGATCTGCCGACCACGACCTTCCCCAAGTGTTAGGATTACAGGCATGAGCCACTATGCCTGGGCGATATTCTTAAATTAGAAACTGAGGTTGCTGATCTGAGACTCTTCTTCTTTTCTAATACAGTAATATCATAAATTTCCCTTCAGGTACTGCTTCAGTGACAATCGACAAATTCTATGTTGTTTTTCTATTTCCAATAACTTCAAATGAAGTTTTTCTAAAATTCCTTTAGATTTCTTCTTTGACCTATGAGTTATTTAGAAGTGAGTTAATTTCCAAATACTTGGGGATTTTTAAAGGATCTTCCTGTTACCGGTTTTTCATTTTATTTCATTGTCGTCTGAGAACATACTTTGTAGTTGAATACTTTTTAATTTATAGAGGTTTTTAATGGGCTATAATGTGGTCTATCTCCATAAATGTTCCATGCACAGTTGAGAAAATGTGTATTTTGCTTTTATAGGGTGGAGTATTCTATAAATATAAATCAGGTCAAGTTGGTTGATGGTGTTGTTCAAGTCCAATACATTCTTGCTGATTTATTGCCTATTTATTCTATGAACTGTTGAGAGAGGGACTAAAATCTCTGATGGTTATCTCTATCTCTACGTATTGTTTTATTACTTTTCTTCATACATTTTGAAGCTTTGTTATTAGGTACAAAAACACATAGGTTTGTTATGTCTTCGTCTTTAACTAACCACATTATCAGTAAGAAATAATCTCTTTAATCCCTGGTAATAGTCTTTGCTCTGAAGTCTATTTTGGCATTCGTATAGCCACCTCAGCTTTCTTTTGACTAGTCTTGGCATGGTATATCTTTCTCCATCTTTTTACATCTAACCTGTTTGCATCTTTATATTTAAACTACATTTCTTGGCCAGGTGTGGTGGCTCACACCTGTAATCTCAGCACTTTGGGAGGCCAAGGCAGGTGGATCACCTGATTTCAGGAGTTTGAGACCAGCCTGGCCAAGATGGTGAAACTCTGTCTCTACTAAAAATACAAAAATTACCGGGGTGTGGTGGTGGGGGCCTGTATTCCTAGCTATTTGGGAGGCTGAGGCTGGAGAATCGCTTGAACCCGGGAGGCAGAGGTTGCAGTGAGACCGCACCATTGCACTCCATTGCACTCCAGCCTGGGCAACAGGAACAAAACTCCATCTCCAAAAATAAGTAAATAAATAAAGTACACTTCTTGTAAGCAAAATACAACCAACTTTAAAAATATCCAATCTGACAACCTGTCTTCTAAATCAATTTAAATGTAATGTAATTCCTAATATGGTTGAGTCTCTTATCTTGCTATTGTTTTCTACTCATCCCATCTGTCCTTTATTCTCTTTTACATCTTTTTCTGTCTTCTTTTGGATTTACCCAATATATTTTTATGATTCCACTTGATCTCCTTTGTTAGTTTAATAGCTGTAATCTTTTGGTTTGTTATCTTAGCCGTGGCTCCAGGGTTTACAGTGTACACCTTTAACGGATCACAGCCGACCTTCAGGTGACAGTAGATCACATCATGTACAGTTTAAGAATCTGAGAATAGCAAACTTCTCCCCTTTTAGTCTTTAAGCTCTTATTGTCATCCATTTTACTTTTACATGTATTGAAAAGTGCATATTACTTTATTTTCTAAACAATTATCTTTTAGAGAAGTTTAAATAATAGTAAAGTATATATCCATGTCGTTACTATTTCTGGTATAGATACACGATGTTACTATTTCTGGTGTAGATCATTTCTTTGTGTGGATCCAGATTTCCATCTGGTATTGTTACGGGATCCTTGCGGTATTACTTCATCAGCCAAAAGCCTCTATGGCCAGTGGCGCCTTTGCCCGAGTTTTGATCTGGATCGCAGGTCTCGTTCCACCCACTCGGCCTGGCAGTCTGCGCTCAGCTCCCACTATGAGCCTGGATCGCATGTCTGCCAAGGGTGAGCCAGGCACGGAGCAGCAAGGGGTGTGTGAGCAATCATGGGGTCCGGCCACTGCACACAGCCAGGCATGCCAGCTGAGGGTGGATAGGCGATGGGCAGGCAGCTTCAGGCACTGGCACGGGTGCCAGCTCCATGCAAGGCTGCAGCTAGACCAGGCATACCATAAGCAGCTTCCACGGCTGACACCAGGGAATGTGGTGGTGCCCAGAACCTTGGAGATGCCAGGAACCCACAGAGCCCTAAACAGGGTGTCACAGCCCTGGCTCAGGGATTTCCTAGGTCTGGGCTCCATGAAGAGCCACAGCTCTTTCCTCCTTCTCTCTTCTCGTTGCCTGCAATGTGACAAACAAGGGACATGTTTCAGCACTGTTTGTGTTATAGCTATTTTAGCTCCGCCATTCAGCAGGTCTCCAGGTCTTGTTCTGCGTCCAGGAAGAATGATATATGCAGACAAGTGGAAGGTGAACAAGATGAAGAGGAGCTTTACTGAGAGATAAGACAGCTCAGAGGAGACCCACAGTGGGTAACTCCTCTCCATAGCCAGGGTGTCCTGTTGAGTGCTGAGCTCTCAGCAGAGAGGGCAGCTCCTCTCTGCAGGCAGGTCATCTTGTTGTCTCTTCAGCTCTCAGCAGAGAGGGTAGCTCCTCCCTGAAGACTGGCGGCCCACCCCCCAGGCTTCAGCCCCACCCCAGCTTGCAGGTGGGGCTTCATTGGGAACCTGCCCCCTTCCACCCAAGAGCCTGTTTGCCTCCTGGCATTGTTCATGGCACCCAGGTTATTCATGCCAAGGAGTACCTGTAGGCCAGTGCCAAGCTGTCCTCAGCCCCACTTCAGCCTCCTTCCCATGCTTGTCAGCCTCCACAGTCCGAAGGGGGCCAAGGGGTTGACATGTCAGCACTACCCCAAGCATGCACACATGCAGCTGGGATGCGAAAGTGCTGAGAGAGAGACAGTGCCCCAGGTTGTGATCTGTGACGGGAGCAGATGCTAACAGTGAGGAGATCCCAGACAGTGGGAGCAGGCACTTCCTAGCCTGCAGGGACAGGGGTGCCTTCCTGGGCCCCCAAGAGTACAAAGATTCCTGGGTCCACAGCTGCAGCTTGAGTGGCTGCCGCTGCACTTGGGAGGGCAGGGTTCCTGCCTACTCTTGGCTCCCAAGAGCACAGGAGTGCCCTGGTAGCAGCCACAGCTTGGGTGGCTGCAGTTGCGCCTGGGAAGCTCCCACTCTACCAACTTTCTGGCTTAATAAAGCACGCAGCCCTGGCCATACCACTGGTCTGCATTTTCCCCTTAGTGGCAGCAGGCAAGGTGCGGGTGGCTGGTGGCCTCAGCCAACCCCGCGCAAACAAACCCAATGCTCCTGGGGCCTCCCTCCCCCCCGCCCACGAGTCCTGGCTGCACTATCAGCTCACAGGCTCCTGAGACTCAGCAGACAGTGAGGTTGAAGGTGCGGCGGAGGTTCTGGGCCTGCAGCGGGTCCTGCCTAGTTGTGCAAGGGTTGGGGTGGTGCAGTCAGCTGCCTCAGGGATGTAGGGCACAGGGGACCCACCACTACCACTGCTGCTCCCACAGCCACTCCTGCCACCACCACTTGTGCCTCCACTCTGCAGCTGGTGTGATAACAGTGGCTGCTCCAGATGGCACACTGCTGCCATTAGTATCCTTTTCTTTATGCCTGAAGGACATCCCTTAACTTTTTTTATAGTGCAGGTCTCCAGGTAGTAAATTCGTTCAGCTTTTTCGAGTCTGAAAACTTCTTTATTTCTTCATCTATTATTCTCTTTTTGATGACCGTTAGTTAAGCCAATCCATTGAACTTTCCATTTCAATTACGATACTTTTCATTTCGTTTCCACTTGGTACTTTTCCCAATCTATTTGGTTATTTTCATGCTCAAGTTATTTCAACTCCTTTGTTTCTTTAAGTATAAAACACACTTTGTACTGTCTTTGCTAACTTGACTGTCTTAAGTTTTTGCAGGCCTGCTCCTTCTGTCCATTGTTTCTGGTGGCTCTTGCCAATTTAACATTTGTGATTTTTTATTGTGAACTTATATTCCTTGAAAGTATCTCAGAGTTCCTCCAAAGACAATCCATTTTGCATCTGTCAGTCACCTAGAAGGCACCAAAAAGCTGATATTGCTGTAAATTTTAAGCTTGAGACATTTTAGACCACCCGGCTTGGGTGAACAAATCAGTTAAAGGACTATATAAATATATATATGTGTGTGTGTGTGTATATATATGTGTATATATATATATACATATATATGTATATATATGTATATATATACATATATATGTATATATATGTATATATATGTATATACATATATATGTATATATATGTATATATATGTGTATATATACATATATATGTATATATATGTATATATATATGTATATATATGTATATATATACATATATATGTATATATATGTATATATATACATATATATGTATATATATGTATATATATATGTATGTATATATATACATATATATGTATATATATGTATATATATACACACACACACACATATATATATACATAAAACTCTCAGGGGAGATGTTTTCTCTCAGGATACCCAATGTTCCTCACTGTTCCTAGGGAAGCAGGGGTCAAGGGCAGCATACAGGGGGAGGCGGACAGGTTTATTCATAGTTCACCCTTACACTAAGTCTGTCCTTTTGGATCTCACTTTATGATGTCTCCTTTTAGCCCCTCCCACTTGGCCAGGCCCTCAGCTTTGTCAGCTGTTCTGCTGCCCCTTTTCCACCTCAGGCTGTGAAAAACAGCAAAGTTTAGTTTGACAGGCAAATATCTTAAGGGTGAAAAGTGGCATCAGTGCCTTAGTTACTTCTTTGGGTTTCACTTCCATTTTAAAACTTTTTTAGCTTTTTGGAACTCTTATTTTGTAGCTCATTGACACATTTTTAAGAGGTTCTTGATATGTTTTCCAGAAGCTTAAGTTGTTTTCAGCTGGTCCTTATCAGCCCTACTGTTGGAAATAAAATTCTTTCAACTTGTTCTTTAGCAATGTACAGGCTCCATAGAGCTCTCGCTGCTCCTGAGGCAACAGGGTAAGAACGCCACTTAGGAATCAGGCTGGCCTGAGATCAAGTCTCAGATCCACCAGCAGTGTGACATCAGTGCCTCGCTTTCTTTATAGGGTTGGTGATATGGTTTGGCTCTGAGTCCCCAGCCAAATGTCATGTCGAATTGTAATTTCCAATTACAATTGGAAATTGAATCTTACAATTGGAAATTGATTATTGAATCATAGGGGTGGACATCCCCCTTGCTGTTCTTGTGATAGGACTCTCATGAGATCTGGTTGTTTAATACTGTATAGTAACTTCCCCTGTGCTCCTGCTGTCCATATGAAGATATGCTTCCTTCCCTTTCACCTTCCACCATGATTGTAGGTTTCCCGAGGCCTCCTCAGCCATGCTTCCTTTACAGCTTGTGGAACCATGAGCCAATTAAACCTTTTTTTCTTTATAAATTACCCAATCTCAGGTACTTCTTTATAGCAATGTGAGAACAAACTAATACAGAAAATTGGTACCAGAGAAGTAGGGCATTGCTACAAAGATACCTGAAACTGTGGAAGCGACTTTGGAACTGGGTAATAGGCAGAGGTTGGAACAGTTTGGAAGGTTTATAAGAAGATACGAAGATGATGGCTGGGCATGGTAGCTCATGCCTGTAATCCCAGCACTTTGGGAGAGTGAGGCAGGTGGATCATTTGAGGTCAGGGGTTCAAAGCCAGCCAGGCCAACATGGTGAAACTCTGTCTCTACTAAAAATAGAAAAAAAAATTAGGCGGGCATCATGGCACATGCCTGTAATCCCAGCTACTCAGGAAGCTGAGGTAGGAGGATCATTTGAACCCAGGAGGCAGAGGTTGCAGTGAGCCAAGATTGTGCCACTGCATTCCAGCCTGGATAACAGAGTGAGACTTCATCTGAAAAAAACAAAAATGAAAACAAAACAAAAAAACAGAAGACAGGAAGAAAAGTTTGGAACTTCCTAGAGACTTGCTGAATGGTTGTGACCGAAATGCTCATATAGTGATATGGACAGTGAAATCCAGGCTGAGGTGGTCCCAGATGGAGGTGAGGAACTTATTGGGAACTGGAGTTTGCAGTCACTCTTGCTATGTTTTAGCAAGGAGATTGGTGGCATTGTGCTCCTACTCTAGGGATCTGTGGAACTTCGAACTTGAGATGATTTAGGGCATCTGGCAGAAGAAATTTCTAAATTTCTAAACAGCAAAGCATTCAAGATGTAACTTGGCTGCTTCTAACAGCATATGCTCATATGCATTCACAAAGAGATGGTCTGAAATTGGAACTTATATTTAAAAGGGAAGCAGAGCATAAAAGATTGGAAAATTTGCAGCCTGACCATGTGGTAGAAAAGAAAAACCAAATTTCTGGTAAGACATTCAACTCAGCTGCAGGAATTTCCATAAGTAAAGAGGAGCAGAATGTGAATAGCCAAGACAATGGGGAAAATGCCTCCAGGACATTTCAGAGATCTTCACAGTAGCCCTTCCCATCACAGGCCTGAAAGATTAGGAGGGAAAAATGGTTTCGTGGCCTAGGCCCAGGACCCCACTGTTGTGTACAGCCTCGGGACATGTCACCCGGAATCCCAGCTGCTCCAGCTCCAGCTGTGGCTAAAAGGGCCCCAGATACATCTCAGGCCACTGCATCAGAGGGTGCAGCCATAAGAAGCCTTTGTGGCTTCCATGTGGTTTTAAGCTTACAGGTGCAAGGAAGGCAAGAGTTGAGGCTTGGGAGTTTCCACCTAGATTGTAAAGGTTGTATGATAATGCCTGGATGCCCAGGAGGAAGTCTGCTGTAGGGTCAGAGCCCTCATGGAGAGCCTTTACTAAAGCAGTCTGGAGGTGAAATGTGGGTTTGGAGGCCCCACTCAATGTCCGCACTGGGGCACTGCCTAGTGGAGCTGTGAGAAGAGGGCCACTGTCCTGCAGGCCAGAGAATGGTAGATCCACTGAAAGCTTTCACTGTGTGCCTGGAAAAGCCACAGGCACTCAATGCCAGCCCATGGAAGCAGTCACTGGGGCTGTACCCCGCAGAGCCATGGGGCGGAGCTGCCCAAGGCCTTGGGACCCCACCCCTTGCATCAGTGTGGCCTGGATGCACACCATGAGCAGTAATGGGAAAATTCTTATTGAAAAAGACAAGAACAAATCAGCCCAGTGAGATGAATTACATGTTGCACTCCTTCCTGTGATGGAAGAATTCAACAATGACAGGATCTTCTACATTTTGGTTTTTACTTTTACTGACTCATGGGCAGTGGCCAATTGCCTGGCCATGTGACTAGGCAGAGGGGCAATGGCAAACTGGGCTGTGAAAGGATCCCCACATGGAGCACAGCACTGCAGGAATTTAAAGGGCACATTAAAGTAGGTCATGTCAATTCCCACCTGAAGAACCCCTCCCAGGATCAGTGATCAGTTCTGGTAGGTGGATATCCTGGTGACCTTGAGGTGGCCACCTGGGCTTAATGAAGGAGTGGACACAGGGGAGCTGCAGCCGTGCAGAGATGGGCTGCTCAGCAACACATCCCTCCTCTACCCTCAGAGGCACCAAATGCCAACAAGAACTGTCCTACCTGACAGCAGGAAGACAGAGACCGCAGGTGGCTATAGGACAGATTCCCAGTGGGAAGGCACCACTCATAGCTAACAAGTAGATTATACCAGACTGAAGCCAGTATCCCTGGGAGGCTATAATGGGTCCTGACACATTCTCTGGACTGGGCTTTGCATAGTTATTAGATTCAAATGCCAAAAATACTATAAAAGAGCTGGAACAGATGATAAGACATCAACTTGGACCACCAAGTTTTATTTCTTCAGGCCAAAGAACACATTTATGGCCCACAGTGTCCTATAATGGACATACCATGTTGCATATTGTCTTCATCTCCTAGGGCTGCCATAACAAAGTGCCACAAACCATGTGGCTGACTTACAAAACAAAATGCACTGTCTCACAGTTCTGGAGACTAGAAGTCTGAGATCAAGTTCTTGGCAGGGCTGGTTCCTTCTGAGGGTTGTGAGAAAGAATCTAATCCACACTTCTCTCCTAGCTTCTGGTGGTTTGCTGGCAATCTTTGGCATTCCTGGGCTTGTAGAATTCTGCCTTCATATTCATATGGCATATCCCCTGTGTTATCTCTGTGCACAAATTTCCCTTTTTTATAAAGACACAAATCATACTGGATTAGGGGGCCCACCCTATTACAGCATGACCTCATCTTAAATAATTACATTAACAACAACCCCATTTCCAAATAAGGTCATGTTCTTAGGTACTGGGGGTTCTGAGTTCAGCATACAAATTTTTTATTTACGGTAACATATATCCCTTTTTTCAGTTTTCATTGTGTTAAAACACACATAAAATTTACCATCTTAACCATTTTAAGTGTACAATTCAGTGGTATTAAATACATTGATAGTGTTGTACAAGTATCCCCACAACCCATCGGCAAAACTCTCTTCATCTTGTAACTGAAATAATATTTATTAAAACCTAACCCCTACCCCCTCCTCCCAGCCCCTGGCAACCACCATTCTACCTTCTGTCTATGAAGTTGAATATTCTAGGCCCTTCATTTAAATGGAATCATGCAGTATTTGTTTTTGTGACTGGCTTATTTCACCTAGCATAACGTACTCAAGGTGCATCCATGTTATAGCATATGTCAGAATTTTCTTCCTTTTGGAAGCTGAATAATATTCCACTGTATGTATGTATATGTCAGATTCTGTTTTTCCATTCATCCCTCAATGAATGCTTAGATTATTTCCACTTTTGGCTATTGTGTCTAATGCTGCTATGAACATGGGTGTACAGATATCTCTTTGAGGCCCTGCTTTCAATTATTTTGGTATTCCACCCAGAAGTGGAAATGCTGGATCATAGGGTAATTCTGTTTCTAATTTCTTGAGGAATCACCGTACTGTTTTCCATACTAGATGTACGGTTTTATATTCCCACCAGCAGGAATATAAGCATTCCAAACATGAATTTTGTGGGAACATATTTCAAACCATAGCAGTCACCAAAAGCTCAAGCAACAAAACAAAAAATAGATCAGTTCGATTTCATTAAAAACTTCTGTGTTTCAAAGTTGACATGGTTTGGCTGTGTCCCCACCCAAATCTCATCTTGAGTTGTAACTACCAGAATTCTCATGTGTTGTGGGAGAAACCCAGTGGAAGTTGACTGAATTATGGGGGCAGGTCTTTCTTGTGCTGTTCTCATGATAGTGAATGGGTCTCAGGAGATCTGATGGTTTTAAAAATGAGAGTTTCCCTGCACAAGCTCTCTCTTTGCCTGCTGCCATCCATTTAAGACGTGACTTGCTCCTCCTTGCCTTTCATCTTTCACCATGATTGTGTGGTCTCCCCAGCCACATGGAACTGTGAGTCCAATAAAACTCCTTCTTTTGTAAATTGTCCAGTCTCAGGTATGTGTTTATCAGCAGCATGAAAACAGACTAATACAATGGTTACATAAGAAAATAAGGACAACCACAGAATGGGACAAAAACTTATAAGTCCTATATCTGATAAGGAACACATGTTCCAGATGATATAACCACTCTTACAACTCAATAAAAAGAAAACTCAATTTAAAAATGGGCAAAAGATGAATAGACATTTCTTCAAAAAGATGAAAAATGGCCAATAAGCATGTGAGAAGGTGCTCAATAACATTCATTATTAGGGAAATGCAAATCAAAACACAATGATACACCACTTCACCCCAACGAGATAACTAAATTCAAAAGACAAACAATAAGAAGTCTCAGCAAAAACAGGAAACTGGATAAGAACCTTCATTCAATGCTGAGGGAATGTAAAATCTTGTCTGTTGTGGAAAACATTTTGGTAGTTTCTCAAAAATTAAAACAGAGTTATCATATGATCCAGTAATTACACTCCAAGGTATATACTTAAAAGAAATGAAACCACACAAAAACGTATACCTTAATGTTCACAGCAGCATTATTCATCATAGCCAAAGTGGAAACAAGACCACTCAAGCCAGCCCTGCCTCAGAACCTGACAAAGTTAAATGGAAGCCTACAGAGCTGAGCCACATTTCCATGGGAGACATTTTGGTCATTCCAGGTGATGATGAACTACACCAATTGTTAGTGGCTGAGAAGAACCTCAGGAATGTGCCAGCATCTTTTGACTTTTATTTTGGGGGGCTGCATCTACTACCACGACATGCAATATGGGTAACACTGGCATGGCTGCTTAGATTTGATTACCTCATGCAAATAAGTCATGTGGTAATACTGATATTGATGATCAAATGTATTGGGAGATTGAGTTAAAGTCTCCTCAGGATGTAATACCAATGGAAAATGAGTCTTTAGAAGAACTATATTTAGTTAACCATCACCTAATTTCCAGATAAATAGTTCTGCACAGGTCATATAAGATACAAAGAGCAGTATATCAAGGGGGAGGATGATCTTGGGGACTCCTGAAATATACTGTAAATAACCCAGATATCCTCCAGTAAATAAATGGATATACAAATGTGGTATACATACATATGTACATACAATGGAACGTTATTCAGCCATAAACAGGAATGAAGTACTGATACAGCCTACACAATGAATGAACCTCAATAAACTGTAGAATCCTGCTAAGTGAAAGAAGCCAGTCAGAAAAGACCAGATATTGGATGACACATTTATATAAAATGTCCAGAATAGGCAAATCTAGAGACAGAAAGCAGATTCATGGTTGTCAGGGGTTGAGGGAAGGAGGAAATGAGGAGTGATTAAGTGAATTAATGCATGTTAACACTATAAACTTTGGGCAACTGCCCAATCACACAGACAGTGCAGTCTCATTCATGCGTTACATGACAAAACAAAGAGAAAAGCCTGGGTAGAAATACCAACATGTATGTTATGAAAAATATAACACCTAAATAAACAGAGAAACTATGTTCCTTAATGAGCAAATTCAATATTATAAGGTTGCCAATTCTCCTCCCATAGTTTCTCAAAAGTTGCAATGTAATGCAATTTTAATCCAAATGGCATGGTTATCTAGACAAGAAAAAAATTGATTGTAAAATTTATATGAAATAATAAAGGTGTGAGAATTGCAAGGAAAATTTTCAAATGGAAAATTATTACAGGAGAAAGGAGTGTGGAGACCTTGCTCTGTATGGTAGAAGTCAAAGACAGCTACCATCAATTCTTTCCCTTCCTCAACACACATTGCTTCTCAAGAGGTGAGGAATAGCTCCCCTCCCCTTGAATCTGGCTGCCTTGCAACTTGCTCAATCCATAGAATATGACATAAATTCCATTCTGGGAATTCTACTATTGGATTATTTTTTTTTCTCAGATGGAGACTCACTCTGTTGCCAGGCTGGAGTGCAGTGGTGCAATCTCGCCTTACTGCAACCTCCGCCTCCCAGGTTCTAGAGATTCTCCTGTCTCAGCCTCCCAAGTAGTTGGGACTACCATCACACACCACCATGCCCAGCTAATTTTTGTATTTTTTTTTATTAGAGATGGGTTTCACTATGTTGGCCAGGATGGTCTCAATCTCTTGACCTCGTGATCTGCCTGCCTTGGCCTCCCAAAGTGCTGGGATTACATGCGTGAGTCATCGCGCCTGGCCCGATTTTTTTTTTTTTTTTAAAGAAACTGAATCCTGTATTTTGGTCTCTTGGTAGCCTTGCTCCTGGGAAGCTCTTCCTTGAATCTAGTCACCATTCCATTCCACCAGGCCACATATGTCTTCAGGCAACAGGCAACATCAATTGTCAGCCGTGTAGGTGAGTTTCAGATGACTGTGGCCCCAGCTAATGCTTGACTATAGCACATGTGAGAGCCCCATGCAGAACCCCCTAGAACCATGGAGAGCAGTCACCCTGCAGAACCATGAGTAAGTTAAGCTTAGGGGTGGTTAATTACACAGAAATAAGTAAACAGAGCACTCCAACAGGTATTAAAGATTATTACAAAGATTATGTAATTAAAACAATACAGAACAGACCAGGGTTGACTACAAGATCAATGGGACAGAATAAAGTTACATATCCAATGCCTGCTGCTGACCACAGGGATTTGTCACAGATCTCATCACTTAGAAACCCTACAGCGGTTTCCCCGGTCACCTTCCAGTCACCACTACACCTTGGCTCCTTTTAGCACTCCTCCCTAGCTTATCACTATATGAAATTGCTTTATCTCTTTGTATTGTCTGTCACCTGCCACCATAATGTGAATTTCTAGACCTCCATAGCATGTAAAGCTCTAGAACAGTTCTTAGAACACAGAAGGTGCTTGACAAATATTTTCTGAAAGAAAAAGAAGATACTTCAATGCCTCAGTTTACTAATGAGGTGGGGCTACCATATGGCTGCCTGAACAAATACAGCTTGACATTCACTTTCTTGCTAGTGATTGAAGTGTATTAACTTGTGTAATCACACAACTACCCTACGGGGTAGGTGCCCTTATTTCTCCATTTAGCAGAAAGGGGCTAAGTATCTTAACCAAGGTCACACGGCTTTCAAGTGCCAGAGCCAGGACTCAGATCTACACAGGTCTGGCTCCAGAGCCCCCAGTCTAACCTCTTAACCTCTCTGCTTTACTGGGCTAAACCTTCACCACCTATCATATGGAAAAAGAAATTCAATAGAAATTTATATGGAAAAAATACAACTCTGTGTTAATATTAAAAAATCCATAGTAACATGTACAATGAGGAAGCTTCCTCAAGCCCAACTATACAGGTCAGATCGGTTGAAAAAATAAAACTAACACATTTTTACATGTCAAAATATGCAATATTTGAAAATCCAAGGCTAATATCTTTAAATAGGCAAAGATTTATTAATACCCCTTGACACAGAAACAGGAAGTGAGAAAATGGGCAACTGACACAAATCAATAATTAACTGTGCGGACATAGGTGGTGGAGTCTCTCCTAATCCTCTATTCTTGGAGATCTGGATGCCTGCCATTTGCGTATGGGAAGAACAGAGACGGTCATGGAGAACAGCATTTAATCTAGAAAGGACCACAATGAGGTCAAAGGGCAGTCTCAGGGCAGTCTTAAGAGCTCCCCATCCCCAAAGAACTGGCAAGGACTCTCCAGGTGCTCGTAAGCGACTGCTGCCCAACTCCCATCACGAACTCAGAAGACCTGTCATTTTCTGAAATTTTCATGACTCCTAAGACACTAGTTATTGGGGAAAACTTCAAATTATTTAAATAACGAGAGGCGAATAACATTGCTAAACTCATGAATACTCTGTATTTAAAACCTCTACTGGCGATCAGAGCACATAGAATCTCTACTACTGATCCCTGACGCTGGCCATCCCCCAACCCGTCGGCCCACGGACCCCAGCCCTGATCCCACCTCCTCCCAGCATCTTACACAAGGATTCTCACCATACTCCCCAGAGACTCGCCTGCCCAGGGCCCCTCTCTCACCCCATATAGCTCAGGTCTCTGACCCCGAGACAGCATCACCGACCTCTCCCACTACCTATTTCCAGATTAGAGTCCCTGATCCCAGAGGCATTGTCTAAAATAACTAGCTCTTACAACTACGTCCACTTCAGGAACCGCCCTGTGATGTCAGAACTTTGAGGCCGCCCGGCCAGGGCTGCACATGCTCAGTGAGGCCGGCGCCCGCCAGTAACAAACATGGCTCCCTGAAGCCGCTCAGGCTCAAGAGCAACATGGAGGTCTGCACTTAATCGCTCCTCTCCGGGGACGGCCATACTGAGGAGGCATCTCTTCCGTGCAGGCAGGCTCTCCTGGGGACCTCAGAGATTCTCTCCAGTGGCAGCGGAAAATGAGCAATGGGTGGATTCGGGTCCAGATTCTGGCAGGAGGGAGTTTGGGATCGAGATCTGGAAAAAAGCACTAGACTGGAAGAGGACGCGATGGAGTCGGAGCCGCTGGCGGGGACAAAAACCAGAGGCCCGGGAAGGCGCCGGTGGGAGGCAAGGCGCGCATGGACTTTACCTGCGCACGCGTCGCAGCCATCTCCGCGCACAGTGGTGGCCACCGCGACTGGTGCTGAAGAGTCGGCGCGTGCCAGGCGCTCCGCTGAAACGGGGTTGCTGGCCCTGAATCTCAGCTTTCTCATCTGTACGGTTGGGACAAGTACAGTAACCCTCGCCCGTCAAGACGGGCCAGGGCTGTCGCGAGGGTCCACGCCTTAGAGCAGGCACCTATCTTCTGCAGGGCCCTGAGATGGGGTCTGACTCAGTTCCTGCGGGGAACTTCACCAGTGACCCAGTCAGTGCCCTTCAGTTAAAGACCACCAGGAGCACACTTGTAATTACATTGCAGCAAGGAATGGGGTACTATGGGTCATCTCAGTGGGAGGAGTTAGAGAGAAACTGTTATACGATTTGGGCTTTAATTGGTTGATTTCGGATAGGATCTCAGAAAGTGAAGACTTTAGATTGGATGCTGTCAGAAAGCAGGAGCAATATGATTATTAAGTATTTGTGGGTGACATCAAGACCTTGTTTTTTATCTGCACTTAGACAACATTATAAAGTGCCCTTGTTTTTGTTTGCATTTATCACGGTCTCAGATTAACCTTCTGAAGTTGATATTATGCTGTGAGATTGTTTATGTCCAACAGGAAAACAAAATGTCCTGGCCATAAGCATCAGACCACCGTGTAATAACATTAAGGCCTAACTGTGACCCAAATATTGACAGAATTGAAGTTAGAAATAGTTCTACAGTAATAGAGTCTTCAATACTCCATATAAAATAATGCATAGAAGCTGGACATGGTGGCTCATGCCTTTAATCTCAGCTACCTGGGAGGCTGCGGCAGGTGGATTGCTTGAGGTCAAGTGTTCGAGACCAGCCTGGGCCTTTTGGCCTGTCTCGGCTTTTAACATACCTTCCTCACTCAGCTTAATCATTTCTCACTTTTGATTTATAATAAGAGATGTGTGACTCCTACTTTCACTTGAACACATAGAGACCTTTATAGAGTTATTAATTGGCCTAATTTCAATACTCCTGTGTCTCAGAAAACAGGGAGACCTGAGGAGAGGGGGAGATGGAGGAAGGGTAGATCGATGGAACCATTCGAATACACACATGTATCAATTAAGCTCATTGTCTTTTGGACCATGGCTTGTGATGCCCCAAAACAATGACAATAGTAATATCAACGATCACTGATAACAGATCACCATAACAGATATAATAATAACAAAACATTTGAAATATTGCAAGAACTACAAAAATGTAACACAGAGGTACAAAATAAGCACATGCTACCAGAAAAGTGGCACTGGTAGACTTGCTTGATGCAGGGTTGCCACAAACCTTCAACCTGTAAAAACTGCAATATCCGAGAAGCATAATAAAGTGAAGTTCAACAAATCAAGGTAAGCTTGTATATGTATGCATGCACACACCAATACACATCCACCTATCCGCACACAAATCTTTGTACAAACAAATCCTGTATTTTCAATTCCAACAATACATCATTTGTACCTTAAAAATATCTGTCATCCTTGTAGCGTCCTTTTCTGTCTTTGTTATCAGGGTAATGCTGGCCTCATAAAAAAATGTTTGGAAGTGTTCCCTCCTCTTCAACTTTTGGAAGTGTTTGTGAAGAAATGGTATTAATTCTTCTTTAAACATTTGGTAGAATTCTCCACTAAGCTATCTGGTCTTGGATATTCCTTTTTCAGGAGCTTTTTGACTACTGACTCAATATTTTTACTCATTATTTATCTGTTTTTATTTTCTATTTCTTCATGTTTCAGTCTTAGTGGATGTATGTTTCTAGAAATTTCTCTATTCTAAGTTAAACAATTTGTTGACACATAGTTGTTTAGAGTAGACTATTATTATCCTTTGTATTTCTATGGTACCAATTTTAATATCTCCTTTTTTGTTCTAATTTTATTTACTTGAGATTTCTTTTTTCTTAGCCTAGTGAAAGGCTGGTCAATTTTTATTATCTTTTCAAAAAATCAGCTCTTCGTTTCATTGATCTTTTCTGTTGTTTTTCTTGTCTATTTCATTTATTTCTGCTATGATCTTTGTTATTTCCTTCTTCTAATTTTGGGCTTGATTTTTTTTTCTATTTTTTGAGGTTTATTTGAGATCTTTTTTCTTCATTTAGCACTTATCTGTATAAACTTCCCTGTCTTAGAACGGCTTTTGCTTCATCTCATAAGTTTTAGTATGTCGTGCTTTCATTTTAGTTTGTCTCAAGTTATTTTATTTCTTTTTTGGTGTTTTCTTTGATTTATTGGTTATTCAGGAGTGTGTTGGTTGATTTCCACATATTTGTCACTTTTCTAAGTTTTCTCCTGTTTTTAATTTTCAGTTTCATGCCACTGTAGTCAAAAAGAATACTTGATAAGATTTCAATCTTCTTAAATTTGCTAAGACTTGTTTTCTGGCCTAATATATGACCTGTGTTGGAGAAAGTACTGTGTATGCTCGAGAAGAATGTGTATTTTGCTGTTTTGGAAAGGAATGTCATGTATATGTCTGGTCCATTTGATCTATAGTGTAGTTCAAGTCATCTGTTTCCTTATTGATTATCTGTCTGAGTGATCAATCCATTGTTGAAAGTGGGATATGGAAGTCCCCTACTGTTATTGTATTATTGTTGTCCACTTCTCTCTTCAGATTTGTTAATATTTGCTTTATATAATTAGGTGCTCCAATGTTGGGAGAATATATATTTGCAGTAGTCATATCCTCTTGATGAATTGACCCTTGTATCATTCTATGACTTTCTTTGTCTCTTGTTACAGTTTTTGACTTAAAGTCTATTTTGTTTGTTGTAAGAATAGCTACTCTTTGTCTTTTTTTGTTCCCTCTCTTTCAGTCTGTGTGTGTCTCTAAAGGTGAAGTGAGTCTCTTATAGGTGGCATATATTTGGTTCTTGTTTTACTATCCATTCAGCCACTCTGTGGCTTTTGTTTCACTAATTTGGTCCACTGATATTTAAAGTAACTATTGATAGGCATTTTGTAGGTTTTTTGTTCTTTTATTTCTCTCTTGCTGTGCATGATTTGATTACTTTGATTATTTTCTGTAGTGGTATACTTTGATTCTTTGCTGTGCCTTTGTATTAATTCTTTTTTAAATGTGGTAAAATTCTCATATGTGTATCTATTACTTATTTTGTCTTTGTGATTATCATGACGCTTACATAAAACATTGTATGCTATCATCTGCCACATAAGGATGTTTTGGTCAATGATGGGCCACATATACAACGGTGGTCCCATAAGGTTATAACATTTTTATTGTACCTTTCATATGTTTAGATACATTAGATACACAAATGCTTATGATTGTATTACAGTTGCCTATAGCATTCAGTATAGTACAGTGCTGTACAGATTTGTAGCCTGGAAGCAATAGGTTATACCATATAGCCTGGGTGCGTATTACGTAGTATTATCTAATTTTGTGTAAGCACACTCTATAATATTCACACCATGACAAAATTGCATAATGAGGCATTATTCAGAGCATATCCACATTAAGAAATGCATGATTATAGTTATAATGGTCTATTTTAAGTTGATAACAACTTAACTTCAATCATATACAAAAACCCTACACTTACCTCCACTTTTTATGTTTTTTGATGTCAGAGTTTCTTTCTTTGTATATTTTGTAATTATATTTATTTGTAGTATTTTTTATCTTTTAACCTTTTAAAAGCTAAAGTGATTATACTGCATCATTACAGTATTAGGAGTATTTTGAATTTGACTGTATAGTTACTTTTACCAGTGACTTTTTATAACTACATATGGTTTCATGATACTAATTAGTCTTATTGCATTTCAGTTTGAGGAACTCCCTTTAGGGTTTCTTATAAAGCAGATCTAGTGACAGTGGACTCCCCTAGATTATTTTGGGGTTTTTCTGAAAAAGTCTGTAAGTCCTAGCCAGAGCAGTTAGGTAAGAAAAAGAAATAAAAGGCATCCAAATTGGAAAAGAAATGAAAGTGTCTCTGTTTGAAGATGACATGATCTTATATAGAGAAAATTCTAAAAGCTCCAATAAAAAAGTGTTAAAATTAAGAAACAAATTCAACAAATTTACAGAACACATAATTAACATTAAAAAAAAAAAACCTGTTGCATTTCTATATACTAACAGTGAACTATCCCAGAAAGAAATTAAGAAAACAATCTTGGGCCGGGTACAGTGGCTCACGCCTGTAATCCCAGCAATTTGGGAGGCTGAGGCAGGTGGATCATGAGGTTAGGAGATTGAGACCATCCTGGCTAACACGGTGAAACCCCATCTCTACTAAAAATACAAAAAATTACCGGGCGTGGTGGCGGCCGCCTGTAATCGGGAGGCTGAGGCAGGAGAATGGTGTGAACCTGGGAGGCAGAGCTTGCAGTGAGCTGAGATCATGCCACTGCACTCCAGCCTAGGTGACAGAGCGAGAGTCCATCTGAAAGAACACAATCTCATTTACAGTAGCATCAAAAAATTAACTTAGGAATAAATGTAAATCAGAAAGTAAAATTTCTATATACCAAAAACTATAAAACACTGATGAAAGAATTTGAAGAAGACACATATCTCTATTACTCAGTGTGATCTACAGATATAATGCAACCCCTATCAAAATTTCAGTGGCATTTTTCAAAGAAATGGAAAAAAGCAATTCTAAAATCTGTGTGCAACAGACCCCAAACAGTCAAAACATCCTTGAGCAGAAAAAACAAAAGTGGAAGCATCACATTACCTTATTCCAAACTAAATTATAAAGCTATAGTAATGAAAATAGTACGGTACTGGCATAAAAACAGACATGTAGGCCAAGGAAAAAGAATAGAGAGCACAGAAATAAATCCATGCCTTTACAATCAATTGATCTTCAGCATTGGTGCCAAGAATACACAATGATAAAAGTTTAGTCTCTTTAATAAATGGTGTTGGGAAAACTAGATATCCACATGCAGAAGAATGAAACTGAACCCTTATCTCACCCTACATACAAAAATTGACACAAAATGGATGAAAGACCTCAACCTAGGAGCAATACTGTAAAACTCTTAGACATAAATATAGGAGAAAAGCTCCTTGACACTGGCATTGGTAATAAATTTTCAGATTTGACACCAAAAGTATAGACAACAAAAGCAAAACTAGACAAATGGGACTAAATCAAAGTAAAAGATTCAGCACAGCAAAGGAGACAATCAATACAATGAAAAGACAACCTAAAGAATGGGAGAAAATATTTACATGCTATATATCTGATAAGAAGTTAATATCCAAATAAATTAGGAACTCAGACGATTCCAAAGGACCTTGTATTAGTCTGTTTTCATGCTGCTGATAAAGACATACCTGAGACTGGGTGATTTATAAAGAAAAAAGAGGTTTAATGGACTCACAGTTCCACATAGGTGGGGAGGCCTCATGATCACAGTTGGAAGGTGAAAGGCACGTCTTACATGACAACAGGCAAGACAGGATGAAAGCCAAGCAAAAGGGGAAACCCCTTATAAAGCAATCAGATCTCATGAGATTTATTTACTACCACGAGAACAGTACGGGAGAAACTGCCCCCATGATTCAATTGTCTTCCACCAGGTCCCTTCCACAACATGTGGGAATTATGGGAACTACAATTCAAGATGAGATTTGGGTAGGGACACAGCCAAATCATATCATTCTGCCCTGGCTCCTCCCAAATCTCATGTCTTCACATTTGAAAGCAAATTACACCTTCCCAACAGTCCCCCAACATCTAAACTCATTTCAGCATTAACTCAAAAGTCCACTCTCCAAAGTCTTATCTGAGACAAGGCAAGTCCCTTCCAGCTATGAGCCCATAAAGTCAAAAGCAAGTCAGTTGCTTTCCAGATACAATGGAGGTACAGGGAGGGGGTAAATATACCTGTTCCAAATGGTTGAAATTGGCCAAAACAAAGAGGCTACAGGCCCCAAATCCAAAATCCAGCAGTCCAGTCAAATCTTAAAGTGCCAAAATGAACTCTTTTGACTCCATGTCTTGCATCCAGGTCACACTTATGCAAGAGGTGGGCTCCCACGGCCTTGGGCAGCCGCACCCCCGTGGCTTTGCAGGACATATCCCCCCTCCTGGTTGCTTTCATGAGCTGGCATTGTCTGTGGTCTTCCCATGCACATGGTCAAGCTGTTGGTGGATCTACCATTCTGGGGTCCGGAGGACGGTGGCCCTCTTCTCACAGCTCCAGGAGGCAATACCCCAGTGGGGACTCTGTGGGGGCTTCAACCCCACATTTCCCTTCTGCACTGTCCTAGCAGAGGTTTTCCATGAGGGCCCCACCCCTGCAGCAAAATTCTGCCTGGACCTCTAGGTGTTTCCATACATCCTCTGAAATCTAGGCAGAAGTTCCCAAATCTCAGTTCTTGACTTCTGTGCACCCACAGACTCAACACCATGTGAAACTGCCAAGGTTTGGGGCTTGCGCCTCTGAAGCCACAGTCCAAGCTGTACCTTGGCCCCTTTTAGCCGTGGCTAAAGTGGCTGGGATGCAGGGCATCAAGTCCCAAGGTGGCACACAGCAGGGGGGTCCTGAATCCAGCCCAGGAAACCATTTTTTCCTTTTAAGCCTCCTGGCCTCTGATGGGAAGGACTGCCACAAAGGTCTCTGACATGTCCTGGAGATATTTTCCCCATTGTCTTGGGGATGAACATTTGGGTCCTTGTTGCTTATGCAAATTTCTGCAGCTGGCTTGAATTTCTCCTCAGAAAATTGGTTTTTCTTGTCTATCACATCGTTTGGCTGCAAATTTTCCAAAGTTTTATGCTGCTTCCTTTTAAAACTGAATGCTTTTGACAGCACCCAAGTCACCTCTTGAATGCTTTGCTGCTTAGAAATTTCTTCCGCCAGCTACCCTAAATCATCTCTCTCAAGTTCAAAATTCCTCAAATCTCTAGGGCAGGGGCAAAATGCTGCCAGTCTCCTTGCTAAAACATAGCAAGATTTACCTTTACTCCAGTTCCCAACAAGTTCCTCATCTCCATCTCAGACAACCTCAGCCTGAATTTCATTGTCCATATCATTATTAGCATTTTGGTCAAAGCTACTCAACAAGTCGCTAGGGAGTTCCAAATTTTCTCATGTTTTTCTGTCTTTTTGTGAGCCCTCCAAACTGTTGCAACCTCTGCCTGCTACCCAGTTCCGAAATTGGTTCCACATTTTTGGATAACTTTACAGCAGCACCCCACTCTACCAGTACCAATTTGCTGTATTCATCTGTTTGCATGCTGCTGATAAAGGCATACCAAAGACTGTGTGATTTATAAAGAAAAAGAGGTTTAATGGACTCACAGTTCCATGAGGCTGGGGAGGTCTTACTTATGGTGGGAGGCTAAAGGCACATATTACACAGCAGCAGGCAAGACAGAATGAAAGCCAAGTGAAAAAGGAAATCCCTTATAGAACAATCGGATCTTGTGAGGCTTATTTACTACCACAAAAACAGTGTGGGGGAGACTGCTCCCATGATTCAACTATCTCCTACTGGGTCCCTCCCATAACACATGGGAATTATGGGAGCTACAATTCAACATGAGATTTGGGTGGGGACACAGTCAAGCATATCAGACCTGAAGAGATACATTTCTAAAAGACATACGATTGACAATAGGTATATACTAAGAAAAAGAGGTTTGCCATCACTAATCATCAGGAAAATGCACAATCAGATATCACTTCACATCTATTAGGATGGCTATTATAACAGTAAAAAGGTAACAAATGTTGCTGAGGATATTGAGAAAATGAAACCCTTGCGCTTAGTTGATAGTTGATGGGAATGTAAATTGGTACAGCCATTACAGACAACAGTATGGAGTTTCCTCAAAAAATTACAAATGGAACTCCCATATAATCCAGCAATCCCCATCTAGGTATATATCCAAAGTAAAGAAAATCACTATCTCAAAGAGATATGTATACTTACATGTTCATTGCAGTGTTATGTACACAGCCAAGATACGGAAACTACCTGTGTCCATTGACAGATGAATGGATGTTTTAAGTGTATTACACACACACACACACACACACACACACACACAGACACACACACATATGTAATGGAATATCATTTAGCCTTTAAAAATGAGGAAATGCTGCCATTTGTAACAAGATGGATAAACCTGGAGTTTATTATGGTAAGTAAAATAAGCCAGGAACACACACAGAAATATCCTGCATGATTTCACTTATATGCATACTTAAAAAATGTCAAACTCATGGTAAGAGAGTAAAATAGTGCTTACCAGGGCCTGGGAGTTGGGGGAAAAGAAAAAATGTTTGTCACAAGGTACAAACTTTCAGTTATAAGATGAATAAGTTCTGGAGATCTAATGTACAGCATAGTGACTAAAGTCAATAATAATGTATACTTGAAATTTGCTGAAAGAGTAGATCTCAAGTGTTCTCCACCACACAAACACAAATAAAAAGGTAACCAGGTGAGGTGATGAATATGTTACCTTGATTGTGGTAATCATCACTTCACAATGTATATGTATATCAAAATATCACACTGCATACCTTAACTATATACAATTTTTCTTTGTTAATCAATAAAACTGGCAAAACTATCTGTTATATGTTGCCTTGACTCCATTTCTTCTTATTTTGTCAAAATAGATAGTCCTCACTGTTTGCATAAGTTTAGAAACTTGTGCTACATCTAGAAGCCAGGAGCGGGGTAGGGTGAACTAAGTTACTGATTCTTTAGGAACCTTAGGGTGTGAGGTGGGACTGGAGTTCAAGGCCTAGGAGCCGAGTCTGGTCTTGATCAGTCTCTTTTTTTGTTTTGTTTTGTTCTGTTTTGAGACGGGGTCTCACTTTGTTGCCCAGGCTGGAGTGCAGAGGCACGATCTGGGCTCACTGCAACCTCTGCCTCCCAGGCTCAAGCAATCCTCTCACCTCAGCCTCCCAAGTAACTGGAACCACAGCCATGTGCCACTATGCCTAGCTAATTTTGTTGTATTTTTGGTAGAGATGGGGTTTCACCTTGCTGCCCAGGCTGGTCCTGAACTCCTGAGCTCAGGTGATCCACCCACTTTGGCCTCCCATACTGCTGGGATTACAGGTATGAGCCACCACGCCTTGCCATGAGCAGCCTCTTCTGATATCCCTGGTGTGTTCTGTACACATTTTTTTTGTCTGAATGCACCTTTCCTTTCTCTTCCCTTGCACTCCAGAACCGTGGATACTCAAGTCTATCCTGAACCATATAGAGGAGGAGCTTTGAGTGTTATATGAAATTCATTTATGATATCATCGTTCATTCCTTCGCAGAAGTAACTCAGAGTTCACTTAGGGATTCACATGGTAAATTTGTCTTAATGCTCCAAGTGGGCTTAAAGGAACTTTCTTCTTGTCGGCCATCATGTTTGTATACAACTGTAATGGGAATTTGAGTTTGTATGAGTAGTGTCATGAGCACGCATGTTTGTGAGCACACCTCTGCATCTGCTATTTCTTCTATTGGCCTACAGACTTTTCCTTCTTTAGGATATTATCAACTTGAATTCCAATTTTTATCAAAAATTGGACCTAGCTCTTTTTATTGATATTTTCCTGCTACATTTTTTCCACTAATTTATTTTTGATAGGTTATATTGTGTGTTTTTTGACACTTAAAAAATTTTACCTAACAATCTTAACCTTTGATTTATGTAATTTTTGTTCCATTATGACTTCTTTCTGTCATCTCGTTTATGATTTTTCATACTTTCTTTACTGTTTCTTTTTTCCTATTTGTACCTCTCACTCTATAGATCAAATCTTTTTCCACTTGTTTGAAATCTGGAAATTTTTAACATTGTAATGGTGGTTATATCATTATTTATGTTAATTTTCTCAATTTCCGAAATGTGTCCGACATGTGTCAAAATTAATATCATCTCAGCAAACCAAATAAGTACTCTAGCCTCCTCTTGCCACCTCTGCTTTGCTTTCTCTGTTACGACAGCACTTTGTCTAAGGGGGTGCTTTCTGAAGTTTACTCGGGGTTGTTTTCAATATGTTATGTTTTCATGTATTTTTTAGGTATGATAAACACCACTACCATTGATTCTTGAACCCTCAATTCTAACACCACGGTTTATTTCTCTTCTTAGTGGAGTATGTCTAGGCATTTTCAAAGGGATTTATTTGAAATAAAACTTTTGAGGCCTTATTTTATAATGTCTTTTTCTGTGCTTTCATATTTAAAAGATTTTGGCTGCAAATAATTCAAGGATTAAAATTTGTTTCCTTTTAATCCTTGAAAGATATTACTTCATTTTATTCTTGTCTCCAGCATTGCTGTTGCAAAGGCTGATGCCAATCAAAACCAATTTTTCCCTAAACGATGATCTGTCTTCTAGCCATTTTGACAGGATGTTACAAAACAAAGGAGGCTTCAATGTTCTGAGTATAAATCATTTTGCAATTATAAACTTAATGTAAATATTAATGCAATACAAAAAGAATTAAAACCTTCTTGAGACATGCAAGTGCACAGGAAAATTAACTATCATGCACTCATTCAGGAAGAAAAGGTGCAAAAGAAATTTAATGAAAGAGACGGTCGTTAGATGCAAGTGTGGTTGAATGTAGGGATGCGATGCTGACACGTGGCAGCAGGCCTGGCAAGCTGTCTGTCCCAATTCAACGACTTCAGAAAGAGAAGAATATTAACTAGGCTATCTTGGTGATGTGCTGAAAAAAGTACTGTGTTTCCTTTTTAATCATTCAAAACAAAGGTAAGTAAAATTCCTGGGAAATAAGAAATAATGCATCATAAATGTATAAAAATAGAAGAAAATACTATATTTTTATGAATTTAAAATGCCAGCTATTGTAGATTGTTATCTCTTTTCAGAAGTGCTTTAAAATTGATGACACATAGTGAAAAAATGACATAATTTCAAACAACTAATGGAAAAACATTAATCCATCTTCTTAAGTCTTGGAACCAGGATTCTTTTGGGAGGCTTCGGTGTATCTTTGTATCATTTCATTGCCTTCACACAAATCAAGTCACGCCACCTGCGACTGTAGTTTGAAAAAAAAAGAAAACATAATAATGATGCTGTCAATTCACTTGAGATTCCATGATCAAAATTAACCTATGAACAAAGCACAGACTTTATTATAACTACAAAATAGGATGTAATTTACATAAAATGTGAAAATATAAGCATAGAACCATATTTGATACAAGTCGAAAGCTATAACAGGGACGGTTGGAGGGGAGGGAAGTTTTACACTAATCTCCACATCCTACTGAGCCAATCAGTGGTATTCAAATTGGATGGACCATATATTATTTAAACAGTATATTATTTAAGCAAAGAATTAAGCACTGTAAGTATATTATTTAGAGGAAGCAAATTTTTAAAAATCCCTTAAAATTATATATTAAAGACTAAATTGGAAATATAGTTTTAGAAGAAGAAAGTGGGGTAAATGGGCTAGGCGCGGTGGCTCACGCCTGTAATCCCAGCACTTTGGGAGGCGAAGGCAGACGGATCACAAGGTCAGGAGACCGAGACCATCCTGGCTAACACCATGAAACCCCTTCTCTACTAAAAATACAAAAAATTAGCCGGGCGTGGTGGTGGGCGCCTGCAGTCCCAGCTACTCAGGAGGCTGACACAGGAGAATGGTGTGAACCCGGGAGGCGGAGGTTGCAGTGAGCCGAGATAGCACCACTGCACTCCAACCTGGGTGAGGGAGTGAGACTACGTCTCAAAAAAAAAAAGAAAAAGGAAAAAAGAAAAAAAAGTCAGGTAAATGAGCTATATTCTCTATCGTTCATAAAAAGTCAAGGGATATTACTTAAAATTGATAAAACAAATTAGGTGATTATATAATATTATTTACAGTTCAAGAGAATAGCATATAGTAAAAAAAAAAGAGTATGATAAAACCTGCCTCACTCTGAAAAACAGGACCAAGGTCTGTGGAAGGAAAAAAAAAGTTTCTGGTTTCCATCGATTTTTTTCCCATCAAACTGTTTGAATGATTTTCCATGCACATGTGTTGCTTTAATTTAAAAATGTTCTTACTCACAGATCCCCTTGAATTACGTGTAAAATTAGGTTTCCTTTAGTCAATGGTGTATGAAAAGTAATCAACTCATCTAATTGAAGTTAGACATTAATAAATTATAATTTGGGGGATAACATAAATATACCTATTAAAAACAACCAGAACATAACAGTTGGCTCTATGTTCTGCTTATCTAGGAATTCTTAAAATTATAAAAAAAAAAAGGAGTTTCACATTTTGAAAGAAACATTAGGAATAAAAATGCAAGTGTTTCTCTTGTATAAAGCTCTTAAAATCACTAGTAGAATAAAGTCAATCTAGATTAAAATTTATATTTTCAAATTTATAGTATGACCAATATTGCCATCTAAATGTTCAGGCACAGAACATTTTAAAGTAGCTATTTTATTGTTTCTCAACATCCTCTTCTTTCCTTTTATGATTGGCATCACAAATCATGATTGGGACATCTTATCAAAGAACTATACTTGTAGTTTTTGAGTGAAAAGCAAGGGAGAAATTTTATTTGTGCCTTGACCTTATTGATAACGTGGAACTTGTGATGGCCACTATCAATAGAACTATCATCAGATTTGAAGGGCACTGTTTGTGTCCTTTAGTATGGAGAAATATCACAAATAACTGGGAAATAATTTAATGACTGAAGCCTTCATTTTTAATCATATAGCTGAGTGATATTTTAAGTTTGATGAGGATAAACATTTGAACAAAAATAGCCAATTCCCTGTTTCATAATTTAATACATTTGTGTTAAAAGGTTTAGACAATAAAGTTAATTTTGAAATGCATTATAAATAACTAAGTAGCAATCATTAAGTTCATTTTTAAATAACTGTTTAGATAACTTAGTAATTAGCAATCATTAAGTTCATTTTTAAATAACTGTTTAGTCCACAAAAAATAAAAAATACATTTTAGAAAGAGAGGGCATTCCAAAATCAGTCTCAGGAATATTTAATCTCAAATATCTTTCAATGAAGCAGAAATGTAAATACATGTTTAGATAATTTAGGTTAAAAAAGGTAAATTTTGGTTGCCTGCTTAACTTTTATGAAACAGATATTTTCATTCAAGTCCAGCATATATTTTGCTATGACTTCCACATCCTTTCCTCAGAGAATATTTACCTAAACATTAGGATACCAAAGGAACTAGGAAGCAAAAACTTCTTATTAGAGAGAGAAATTTTTAAGTGAGGCACACATTCTAATGATATTAATTTGTTTTTGACATTTTATTAATATTTTGATAACACTAATAAAATCCAAAGGGGCAAGCAGGTATCACTCTCTCAGCGTGGGCCCTCTTTTGTCATCCTCTGTAAGGTGGCAGTCATCAAAGAGCGTGACCCAAGAAGAAAGTAAAACAGTGGAACAAATGAGCATTTCTCTAAATACAAACAGTAGAGTCCTTGAGAAAGAATCCTTTAAGGCCTTAGATTTCTTTAAACATTTTTAGATAAATAGTCTGGCCTATGCAGAACAAAATGAAATGGTAATAATGAACAGGATAGTGAAGTTTTGTACTAACTGACATAAATGGCAAGAGTTGATTAATCGTTAGGATAGTGTGAAAGAAGAATTGAATGAGAAATGAAAATTGTAAGAAAAAATATCCAGATAGGCCCTTTCCTAAAACATGTATCATAAAATATTTAAAAGCATCTGCTTTAATGCATGGGCTGAGTCAAAGTCAGGACAATTTTCAGATACCTAGAAGAGCAAAAAAAGTCTGAATCCAGAGGTGTGGGTGTCTCATCTGGCATTTGCCCTGGGGTGTCTCCCAGGAACTATTGGCCCAGACCCATGAGCACCTAATTCAGGAGAGAGAGACTGATGCCCATGCAGGGAGGAATATAGGCTAAAATACCTCCTGCATAAATCTAGGATTTCTAAAAAGAAGCATGTTAAGTGCCTGGGCTAGGAAAATCCCACCCCCATAAGAAGAAAGTGAAAATATGTGCTTGTCTTGGTCCCAATAGGGCAGACAAAAAAATGAAAAATAAAAAACGTATGGTAATTTCTAAATACAAAACAATAGCCATATTGGTTTGGGTTTGAATTCACACTATCTATGGGCTTGAGAAATACCAGGGTGGAAATTAGTCTCTGGTAGCAAGAGGTGAGACCAGCCGGACTTCCTGGGTCGAGTGGGGACTTGGGGAACTTTCCTGTCTTACAAGAGGATAGTAAAATGCACCAATCAGGAACTTACCTGTCTTACAAGAGTTCTATGAAATGCACCAATCAGCACTCTGTAAAACGCACCAATCTGTGCTCTGTAAAACACACCAATCAGCGCTCTGTAAAACACACCAATCAGCAAGCTCTGTAAAATGCACCAATCAGCAGGATTCTAAAAGTAGTCAATCGCAGGGAGGATTGAAAAAAGGGCACTCTGATAGGAGAGAAACGGGACAAATAAGGGAATAAAACCTGGCCACCCCCCACCCCCACCCCAGCAGCAGCGACCTGCGTGGGTGCTCTTCTAGGTTGTGGAAGCTTTGTTCTTTAGCTCTTCCCAATAAACCTTGCTACTGCTCACTCTTTGGGTCCTTGCCATCTTTAAGAGCGGTAACACTCACCGTGAAGGCCGGCGGCTTCATTCTTCAAGTCAGCGAGACCACGAACCCACCAGAAGGAATCGACTCCGGACACAGCAGTCCTGAGAGCTAATTAATCTGAGTAGAATCATAAAGATAAATATATTTTTCACACATACTTGGAAACATATTTTGTAACACAGCTTTTATTGTAGTTAAGTGAAGATAGTAAAGTTTACAATAAGCAACACTGGGACCACTGATGTCCATAAGGGGAAAAAAAGGAAATTGAAACTTAATCCCATAGACCAAACATAAAAATATATTTTAATGGATAAAGATACCTTCTCAACATTCTTAGAAAAAAACTGTGGAGCATCTCTTTTACCTTTACATGGGGAAGAAGAACAAACTGCAAGAGTAAAAACTAACTTGATCACATAAAAATTTAAGATTTCTGTTTATTGGATACCACAATGAGAAAAAAATATGTAAAACTTGGCAGAGATATTTGCAACACATGTTGCCTAGAAAGGTTTAGTATCCAGAATATATAAAGCTCTCCTATAAATTAATAAGTGAAAAATAACACCTCAATTAAGAAGTTAGCACAAATACCCATAAGCATGTGAAAAAGTGCTCAACCTCATAATAATCATGAAAATGAAAATTAACAATTAGATACCCTTTCACACATATTGACAAAATTTTTTGGAAGTTCTGAAAGGTGTAGTATTGGCAAGGATAAAGAACCGTGGAAGCATTCATCCCATGCAAGTAGAAGGACAGCCATTTGGAAAATGGATGTTAGCTCATACAGCTTATCATAATGTACCCTATGTCCCAGTGGCTTCACTACAACCTAGTGCAGCCTAGTCAGCCTGTTACAGGCCCCAGAAAAATTCTTGCGTTTGTTTACCTAGGGATATATGAGAATGTTCACCATTTTAAAATCCTGGAAACAATCCAATTATCTCTCAATATGGGTAGATTGTGGAATAGGTAACTAAATGATCATATATTCCAATAATAGAGTACCTCGCAGCACTAAGAGTGAATGAACTGCAGCTATTCACATTCTCAAATACAGCACTGCAATGAGATACTACTGCATGCGTATTAGAATGGCAAAAATCCAGAACCCTGACAACACCAAATGCTGATGAGGATGTGAAGCAACAGGAGCTCTCATTCAGTGCTGATGGAAATACAAAATGGAGAATAGTTTTGTGGCATCTTAGAAAACTAAATCTACTCTTATTATACGACCCAACAATCTTGTTTCTTGGTATATACCCAAAGGAGTTGAAAACTTATGTCCACACAGAAACCTGCACACAGATGTTTATGGACGTTTTATTTATAATTGCAAAAATTTGGAGACAAGCAAGATTACCTTCAGTAGGTGAATAATTAAACAAACTGTATTACATCCAGACAACTGAATACCATTCAGTGATAAAATAAATGGCTGTCAAGCCATGAAAAGACACAGAGGAAGCTTACATGCATATTGCAGAATGAAAGAAGCCAATCTAAAAAGGCTACATACTGTCACTTCCAACTATGACCTTCTGGAAAAGGTAAAACTATAGAAATAGAAAAAAAAAATCAGTGGTTCCCAGGAGTTAGGAGGAAGAGAGGGATGAATAACCAGAGCACAGAGGATGGTTAGGGCAGTGAAAGTACGTGTATGATATTTTAATAGTGAATACTTGTCATTGTAAATTTGTCCAAGCCCAAGTGTGAACCTTAATGCAAACTATAAGATGTATCATGTAGGTTCTTTAATTGTAACAAATGCACCACTCTGGTGGGGGATGTTTATTATGGGGGAGGCTATGCATGTGTGGGGGACAGGGAGTATATGGGAAATCTATACCTGCTGCTCAGTTTTGCTGTGAACTTTGAACTGCTCTTAAAAATAATGTGTGTATGTGTGTATATATATATACATATACATGTTTGTGTGTATGAATATCTGATCATAAGAAACAATACATAGTTTCACTTATTTAAAAAGTCAAACGTGCAAAACTAAACAATATAAAGTCTGTAATGACAAGCAATGGAATGATTAACAGGAAGTTAGGGATAGTGGTTACCTCTTGTGGAAGGAGTGAGTGACATTGAAGAAGGGCAATGGGAGTTTCTAAGATACTGGAAATATTCTATTTCATAACCTGAAGGAAGGACACATATGCTCATTTTATATTCTTCTTAAGCTGTACATACACACTTTTATATTTATGATCTACTTCATTAAGTAATGACAATTAAATATATGCATTTGTAAATAAGTGAGATTAACAAATTTTTAGATACATTTAACTGATTAAAGTTGACTCAAATAATTAGAAAATCTGGATGGAAATCATACCATTAAAGTAATCGAGTTGATAGTTAATAATTCTACAAAGAAAACAGGATGCCCAGATGATGTCACAAGTAGTTCCAATGTTACACTAATTATTTGCGAGGGGAGAAAAAAGAGACCATTCTTCAATTCATTTGAGACTAGGGTAACCTTGCTATTGTGTACCTCATCCATGCACACAGAGACAAATATTGTAAACAAAATACTAGGAAGTATACCTAGCAAAGTATAAAAACCATGAACAAGCTCGGTTAGTAATGCAAATTTAGTTCAGTGTTAGAAAATCTACTGAAGTCATCTCCTTATCAATGAATTAAAGACAAAAGTTATATGATTGTCTCAAAAGGCCTATAAAATTATTTTACAAAAATTAAATAATTCATGATATTTCCACCTATGAATAAAGGGTAACTTCCTTAACCTGATAAAAGGAGTCGACAAATAACCTACAGCATCTATCATGTTTTGTGATTAAAAATATTGAAATCACTCCTTTTAAAATCAAGAAAAAGACAAGAATACCATTGTCACTAAACTGCTTCCAAAGCTTATAGGGAAGAGAAAAGGGTCCAGTATAACTAAGACAATCCCATAGAAGAATAAAGTGTGCGAAGGTGGGAGGTGGAGCTTACGTACCAGATTTGCTGTGAAGTTATAATTACCACAGCAGGAATTGCTATTGTGAAAGTGTATGCTTGTGTGAAATTTTGATGTATGCCCTGGCTAACATTACAGAACAGTCAGAAAGGGTCTATATAATCCATGGTATGAGCAGTTGGTATCCATATGGGAAAATATCAGAATGGATCTCTATCCCAAAAATGGATCCCTGTCACACAAAGGCCAGATCTAAATGGACAAAGGACTTAAATTTGAGATGCAAATATTTAAAAATCTTTTAGAAGAAAATATAGGAGAGTAACTTACTACATGCCACACCTACTATGTGTACTTTGTACGATGCCAGTGTTGTATATGAGTGTAGTATGTAAGTGTAGATGCCTCTAAGTAGTATATGCATGCTTGCTACTTTACACACATGAAACACTGGGAATGGGAGCATGAGAGGAAACCCTAGGTCATTCTGGTCTCCAGACTGCTGCTCCTGCCCACCCCCGGTTCCAGCACTCCCTTCCCCATTCTCCTATACAGATCCTCTGTTCCAGGCACAGCCACTTACAGCAGCTCAAGCCAGTGGCACCCACGGAGAGGCCCTCTTCACCCTACTGCTGGGCTGTCATGTCCCCTTTCTTTTCTTTCTGAAAAACAGTTTTCTCTGCCTATGACTCCTCATGTTTCACTCTCTCTAAAGCACATGAAAGCCTGGTTCCCTCCTCTGCTTTATCAGACCTGTTGCTGTGAGTTCCACTAGTGACCCTGCCTGACAAATTCAGAGGTTTGCTCCCTTTTGCATAGCGTAAAATGTTTACCTCGTGACATACTTGATAAATACAATTTTATAATTGTTAAGCTATCTATATATTCTGTATCTGTTTCAAAAATTATGTATAGGCCAGGCAAGGTGGTTCACGCCTGTAATCCCAGCAGTTTGGGAGGCTGAGGCAGGAGGATCATGAGTTCAGGAGATTGAAACCATCCTGGACAATATGGTGAAACTCAGTCTCTACTAAAAATACAAAAATTAGCTGGGCATGGCGGCAGGAACCTGCAATCCCAGCTACTCAGGAGGCTGCGGCAGGAGAATCGCTTGAACCAAGGAGGTGGAGATTGCAGTGAGCCAAGATCGTGCCACTGCACTCCAGCCTGGAGACAGAGCGAGACTCCGTCCTCACACACACCCCCAAAAATATAAAGACAATGTCAGTTATGCCAAACAGATTGTTTTTATTCCATAAAACTGCTCTCCATATGTGTAATATGTTTCTATTTCACACATAGTTTTGATCAAAGATTAATCTATTGCATAGATACTTTTCTTAGTAATAAAACTCAGCTTGGATTTCTCTAGCCAGATAAAACACCTTATACTAAATGAATCAATCAAAGCTCTTTGTTGGAGTGAGATCTGAAAGCTTTCACTCAAGCTGGCTGCCTCAGCTTCACGGCATCAAATAATGGAGGGAGAAGTGGAGGCTGACATGCAGCAAGAATTATCATGTGTGTGTGTTGGAGAGATATTTTGTTTAATTCATTTGCAAGATACTCGTGGTGTACTGCTACATGCCAAACAGCTGTTCTTGCTACTTTGTAAAAATTAATCATCTCATAGCTGAAAAGTTAATTGTTGTAATGTGACTTCAGTACTGCCAATCTCTGGGATTTGAAGCCAAAAAAAAAGCTTCACCATCATGATTGAGAAATAGAGTTACTGGCAGTAGTGGAGCAAACCACGATTCTGCACTTCGACACAGAATTATTCCTGACAAGATCCTGGCTCCTAACTCTTCCACCAAAACCAAGTCTGCAGCTCCCACACTGAAATGCCACTCATTTCACCCCAAGTGTGTTCCAGCCGTTCCTTCTTCTTCTCCTTCCTACCAGCTCTGTAATGTCTCCATTACAATGCTAAGGTCAGGGTCAATGGCACTTCATTTCAGAAACTTTCTGAGAGCCCTGGAAAGTAATCTCTTCTTGTTCTTATTCCATGATCTCCTGTACTTTTTTTTTTTTTTTTGAGACGGAGTCTCGCTCTGCTGAACCTTCTTTAAATCACTGATGATCATTTCTGTAGATGAGTTGTCTCCGTGTGTGTCTGACCTTTCTCCCAGTTGGTGAGTTCTGGAATTCAGGAAGCATTTTAGTATAGTAGTAGTTTTTAGTAATTTATTTCACCTCCATGCACCCCATAGCCGTTTCTCACATGTTGGGGCTGCCCAGTGAGCACTTGCTGAGGGAAACTGCAGGGAGACTTGCAGGTCAGGTTCACTGAGCCAGAAAGTGAAGCAAATTGAGAGGGCAAAGTGCAAGACACTGGCTGAAATATATGAACACACTGGGGAAACAAACATCCCCGGCCTCTGTGGAGGCGGAACACAGTCGCTGAGGTCTGTGATTCAGCAGCACCCACCTGGCAAATCATACTCAGCATCGGGCTTAGTTCTCCCATAGTGCTTTCATGGCGAGGAAGAAAAGCTATACATACTAACATGAGCCAGCTGGAAACCACAACTATATAGTATTTCTTTTCAGCTTTTCAGCTGGAATCCTGAAAGAACTCTGAGGTCATGTAGAATGCGGCATATTGTTAGATGGGGCCTGGGTGGGCTTGGTGTTAGAGGACCTGCCCCAGGTCATGGTCTGTGGTGGGGATGGAGGGTGTGATTTCCCATCCCCTTATCTCTTTGTCCCATACTTTTTGCCCTGTACACACATGATCGTCCTCAATATCTTAAGTAGGATCTCCCATATAGCTAAAATTGATATTGGGCATCTGAAGTATGCCTAACTTAGCTGAATATTTGGCCTTTGCCTTTAAAGGATCTGTAAGTTATTGGGATGAGACCAAGGAGAAAAAGGAAGACCATAGATAACTCAAGCATAATCTGCCATCCAATAATTTCATGACATGCTTATCCTTGGAATAAAGTTGACCTGTTATCAGGAAACTGTCCCACCATCTTTTTTGCATGTAGAGACCTCCATTGCTATGGCCTCCATTGTAATGGGCTGTCATTGGGTTTGAAAAAAGTCTACATGTTGATTTTGATGGCAATAAAAGAGTCAGACGGTGCAAGCTGGAGCAAGGTGCTCACCAAAGCTAGGCCTTTCCCCTCCCTCAGGAACTGGCAACAAGAGCAAGAGTTAGCTTCCTGAATGTTTGCATTTCAAAGAGACAGCTCTCAGGTCTTTGAGAAGACAATTCTGGGATGTAGATTTACACTTCAAAGGTGGAGAAAAATTTATAATTGTAAGCTTTCTAAGGTTCTAAGAGGGGATTCGGGGCTCTACCTGCCCATCACCAGGTTTTGCCTGAAACAAACAGTAAATTCTCCTTGCAAGTGAGCTTTTTCAGGCAGTCATTTTAAGAGGGCTGGGGTCATCCACGGGACACCCTTGTGCTGCTGGAAGCCTCACTAGAGTTTGGTCCTCTCTTTGGACAGGGATTTGGAAGTAGTTAAGTACTGCGAGGCCTGTGTTCTCATGACCAAAGCTCACAAATGCCCATTTCTTTCTTTCTTTCATTTTAATATTTGAAATATTTATGTGTCTCTTAACACCTCTTGGAAATTTCCATCCCTTTCGAGCTATGTTCCAGTCAAACCAAACAAAGTGTGGCCCAGCAGCCCTGGGGAGTCTCTGGGTGAAGGGGAGATGAGCACACAAATGTTGAGAGTTTGAGAAACCCTGGCCTTGATTTTTATAATAGTTGGTAAAGTGGTCATCAGTGAAATCCACAGGGATTCCCTGAGAGTGTATAGCTTTGGCATGATGGTTGCTGTAATCTGAAGGGGAAAGTAGAAGTTTACATGTGAGTACTGAAGAAGCTTGAGACAGAGTCTCGCTCTGTCACCCAGGCTGGATGAAGTGGGGCCATCTGGGCTCACTGCAACCTGTGCAATTCTCCTGCCTCAGCCTCCCCAGTAGCTGGGATTACAGGCTCCTGCCACCATGTCCGGCTAATTATTTTTTTCTTTAAAATTAGTTTTTATTTAAAAAGTACAAATAGCACTCTACTTTTACTTTTGCAAACAGTAAAGAAATGGTGTTTTGTTACAAAAATTAAACTGAAATAAATTTTGGATTGTAGAAAATTCATTAAAAACTCAGGTTTTAATTTAGTTAAAATCCATCTAGTGCTGTAAGTGTGGCTGTTGGCAGATGTCTTATTTTTTATTTATTAATTAATATTATTAATAACTAATTTTTTATTTATTATTCGTGAGCCCTTTCCCATGACAGCTTCTTGGAAACTTCTTTCTCTCCCACTGACCTAGAATGATCTCTCAGGCATTCTTATTTAAAGTTTTTCCTCTCATTATTCCCTTCTTCACCATCATTCCCAGGTTAGTTACAAAGAACTAATTTAATGACCCATTTACTCTGAAGGGAGGCACAAGAAGTGAAGCTTCTTTCTGAGGCCTTAAGGGATCTCACCTCCTTAAATCTCTGTTTTCCTACCCCTACTTCAGATATTATTGAGACATTATGTTTTCTTCCTCTACCTTCAGAAACTTCAGTATCAACAGGTCCAGATCTGCCTAAGCCCTCAGATGAGTCTGCAAACAATCATTGTATCAACATTTGACTAATACCTTGCAGATGATCCCAGGCACCACTGTCTTAACCTGTGAAAACCGCAAATTCTTGGCACAAACAACTTCTTCTGCACATCCCTCCTCCTCATACATACACTAAGAGACTTGGCCAAATTCCAACACAGCGTCTATCAGCTCAGAGCCACATCCCTATGATGCCCCATGCCCCTCTAAAGCACCTGCCTGGGAACATTCAATTCTGCCAAAAGAATTTACTGTTTGTCCCACCCAAAACTTGACTATAGGTCCCTGACCTCCCATTTCTAAGAGCCTTAACTTTAGAAAACCTGCAATGGCCAGACGTGGTGGCTCACACCTGTTATCCCAGCACTTTTGGAGACCAAGGAGGGTGGATCACGAGGTCAAGAGATCGAGAACATTTTGGCCAACATGGTGAAACCCTGTCTCTACTAAAAAGAGAAAAATTAGCTGGGTGTCATGGCACACACATGCAGTCCCAGCTACTCAGCAAGCTGAAGCAGGAGAATCTCTTCAACCCGGGAGGCGGAGGTTGCAGTGAGCCGAGATTGCGCTCAGAGTGAGATTCTGTCTGGAAAAAAAAAAAAAAAAAGACAGAAAACCTGCAGTTATAAACCCTTTCTCTGCCCCTTTAAATCTCCTACAACATGGAAATGTCTTTCTGAAAGACTTGGGAGCCATCCCTTTGGACTATAAGGATCAAGAAGGATACAGGATTGTCTCCTGGTCTCTGTTTCTGTGTAGGAACCTAATTTTGATAAGCACTATTAGCAAACACAGATGGCCTCATCACATTGACCAACCTTTCCCCAAACATCAGTCCATGCTTTTCCTTTAGCACACTCCAACATTTGCAGAGCCTCTTGCTTTTTGTTTCCGTGAAGTTGAGGCTTTCTAACATACTATAAATTGATATGTCTACTTAGTGATTAGAAGACAGAAATTAATCACTGGATTTCATTATCACGCTGACTTTTAGGATTAAAAGCAGCCTGTGGTTACAGATGCAACATCTTTACATTTCTAAGAAAAACAGGAGAGATTTGTCTTTGGCTCCTTTGGACCTCACTGATTAATAGAAAAGAGAGGATTGAGCAGGTTTGGATGATACAGCACAACTCAGTTTAAAGTTCCAGGCAAAGAAAGCAACGGTTATTTTTCACTCCAGAGAGTGAATCATTCTTTGGGGCCACAAAAGAGAAGATTTGAAGAATAAGCAGGGACATCTAGAAGGTGGCTGAGTGTACTCCATTGGGCTAAATGAAGCTATTTTGTTGTTGTTGTTCAAATAGCTTCCCCACATGGTACATTTCATATCTAAAGTGCTATTCCCTCTCCCATCATTTTATTACGTATGCAATATCTGGCTGAGAACCTCTTTCTTGCCCTCCTTCTTACTGGTTAAGAGCACAGACAGTCCTCTCTTTGCATAGCAGTGCAGGGCCATACAAATCACTATGTAAGCTGAAGATCTGTAAAGTGACCTAAATAATCCACGTGAAACATCGACTGTTCTGTGTCATTTAAAAATTTTGGTCAAAACATTAAAAATCTCTTACTGTTGGTTATAAATGTATAAGGAAATGAAACATAGTGAAGTTAGTACTTTTTTTTTTTTTTTTGAGATGGAGTCTCACTCTGTCACCCAGGCTGGAATGCAGTGGCGCGATCTCGGCTCACTGCAACCTCCACCTCCTGGGTTCAAGCTATTCTCCTGCCTCAGGGTCCAAAGTGGCTGGGACTATAGGCACGTGCCACTACGCCTGGCTGATTTTTTATATTTTTAGTAAAGGTGGGGATTCACCGTGTTACCCAGGATCATCTTGATCTCCTGACCTCATGATCTGTCCACCTTGGCCTCCCAAAGTGCTGGGATTACAGGAGTGAGCCACCACGCCTGGCCAGTACTTAGTTTATACACTGTAATTTAACACATTAAACAACAGCCAATTTAAGTGCTTTATTTATTTATAGACGTGTATCAAGCCCAGTTTGAACAGTGCTTGCCTCCCTCTTGTCGTATAGCCTATGATAAGGAGCCAGCAGTGTTTCTATGCCTTGGTGAATTCTCGTGCTGTTTTCGGAACAGCATCTAACATTGTCAACGTCATGAAATATCTACAAGAGTTCCTTTAATATGAAGTTTGTTGCTGTCTTTGCCGGCATCACTTCCTCTGGGGCTTCTTCATCCTTTTCATCACAGCTGTGTTCCTCATTCATGTCAGAACACTGCGTTGCGCCGAGTTCCTCTTGCCGCGTGTCCTGTGGTGAGCCGATTCTATGATTCCATTTACGTTGTATTTGAATCCACTTCCAGGGTTATCACATTTTTTATTTCTTTGCTGCACATCAATGGTTGCTGACCAGTTTTTTCTTCTGATTATTCATATTTATAAATGTCACATGGGTTTCTCACTGGGAGACAAGGAATCAACACGATTGCAGACTTTGCTGTCTGTGTGCGAACTAGCAGATGCACAGTGATCAGTCACTGACAGGCTTTGAAAGAAGTGAATTGTGTCCCCCAAAAAAGATATGTTTGAAGTTCTAATCCCCAATATCTCAAAATAATATGAGCTTATTTGGAAATAGCACATTTACAGAGGGTCTCCAGTTAAAATGAGGTCATTAGGGTGGGTCCTAATCCAATAGACTAACTGCTGTCTTATAATAAAGGAGAATTTGGATACAGCTCCAGACACACACACACAAAAGACGATGTGAAGACACATAGAGAAAACAGAGTGATATATCTGTAGATCAGACAACACCAAGGATGGCTGGCAAACCCAAACAGGAAGGAGAGGGGAAGAAGGATTCTCCCCTAGAGCCAGCAGAGAGCGTGAACCTGCCAACACATTGATTTCTGACTTCTAGCCTCCACAACTATGAGTCAATACATTTCTGTTGTTTTAAGCAACCCGGTTTTTTGTACTTTGTTGCAGCATCCCCACAAGATTAATACAGTCCCTGATCATGATGCTTGCCTGTTATTTAATCACATAGGCAGTTGTGGAATTAAGAGCTGAGAACGAAGTTTGGATTTTATGCAGTTGCTCACAGTTAGCATATTGTGGTAACTGAAATTGTAACCATGTTGTTGGGAGACTAGTGCTATTTAACTAAACTATGTTAATTAAACCTGTGCATATTCAAATGCACAAAGCCAGGACTGTTTTTACTTAGTACAGGTATTTACAGGAAAAGAATGTTTGCCTCTTTTCAGGGCCTTAGAGCATGCCCTGTGCCAGCAGGCCCCTTCCACAGCTACTTAACATCTCTTCTCATCTTGCCAGCCACCTCTCAACCCAGATGACCAGCAAGGCCATCTTGGACTATCAAAATGAAGTAGCCCCTCTCCGCTTTTGACTACGTTCACTTGCTTTATTGTCTTTATAGCATTTTTTATTTACTAAAATAATATTTTTTTCATTACTTGATTCTTATCTTGATTCAGTACTTCTAAAAAATGCAGATTACAATTCAAATGAGAAACCAAGTTGACTAACGTTAAAAAGTTTGATACTATTAAGTTTTGGTGAGCATATAGATCTACCAGAACCTTTAACTTCTCATGGGAGCATAAATTGGAAAACAGTTCATTTTAACATAGTAAAAAACCAACAGTATACAAATCTTTTGACACAATGATTTCAATGTTGGGTTTATACCTTAGAGAAAATCTAACTTTTATGTCCAGGAGACTCATACAAGAAAAGGACATCTACTTTTTGTAATAGAAAAAAATGGATAATAACCCCAATCTAATAAAATGGAATGCTCATTATAGTATTATCCTGTGATGGAATACTCTAAATCAATGCACAGAAAGTACAGATAAACATATCATAAGAATGAATCTTACAAATTAAATATTGAACCAAAAAGCAATTTCAGAAAAATATAGTCAGTGTGATTCCATTTGTTTAAACTGAAAAATATGTGAAACAATAATGCTCAATGTCCTTTACTAATGCATTTATTTTGGCAAAATTATAAAGATAAGAAATGGGACTAATTAACAGGACAGTGTTAAGGACTCTAAAAATATGGGTAGTTTTTGATTCTTAGGCAGGTAATGTGTACATCAGTGTTCATTTTATTATTTCTTACACTGTCTTCATGACTTACACATAATATTTTGCTAGTTTTAAAACATAAGATGTGATAATAATCTAAACAGACCAAAGGAAATAAATGAATATGATTAAAAAAAGACAGAGAATAAGCCCTGTCTGATGGAAAGCATAACAAAGCAGGTAGAACAACTGTCAGGAATGCTTGATCCAATAAAGCTAGGTTTGTGATCCACAACACTTCAGCATTTTAATGTGATTTTTGATGTTTGCTTTTTGCAATGGTGATTCTCAGTTGCCTCCCTCCTGTGTCTTTACAAGCTGAAATCAAGTGAAGCTACTTCTGACTTTTTCTAAAACTTAAACCCAACATGAAGGTCTGCGTATTCTTTCACATGTGCACGTATGTGGCACTTTTCCATGATGCAACAGCAGCGGGTCTCTAGCTAAGCTACAGCAGCAGCTCTAAGAGGCAGAGGACCCTGAAATGAGGCTGAAAGAAAGAATAGTCCATAACTGACATCAGGCAGGCTGCTGTTGTAAGCACAGAAAGGAGGCTCACGGCGGCATGGACTCAGGCCAGGTCACACTATTGTGGGAGAACACGGAGCACACGTGTCAGCTGGAAAGGGGCCGGCTCAGGAGACAAAATAGGCACGAGAGGAAACCGAAAAATTGACATATGTGACTATCCTTGTAGAAATGTATAAAGGTTTGGATTATTTTGCTTATCGAGTTATAATAAAGTTATTCTAAAAATGTTTATCTAAAGTATTATGTACATTTTTGTTACCTTATAAAGATTATTTATATTTGAATTGTGTGGTTATTGGAATGACAGTATTTGTAAAGTTGGTATTGACATTCTCTACGATGCTTAATGAAGAAACTGACATTTAAGGCGATTCATTAATTCTCTTTGGTCAGTGGCTGAGCTGGGACAGAGTTCAGGTTTTCTGATTCTCAGCCTATGTTGTTTTCTCTTCATTTTAATGTGAACCTAAATATGTATAGGATCTAGACAAATATGACATGTAGTGCCTTATTTCTTGTTTTCTCTGTAATGAATGCCAGGTGAGATAACTTTATTTACAGAAGCCCATCCAGTGGCTCAGGTTGCATCTGTAGTTGCCTTTGAATCATTTATTCAACGTCAGGATGGTAAAGTGAGGAGCTTCCCCAAACTGAAGCAGAGTGGCATCTGTGCCAGGTTGTAGAGTATTCCCCGCCATACATAAAGACATGCTGGTTCTTGTTATTTATACAGGCACTGGGGTTCCCATTAGCTCTTACATTTCATATGCTTAGAGCAAGAAGCTAGAGAGTGACTTAGGATACAGTGTAAAGATATTAGTAAATTAAGGCAGTTCTGCAAGATTTTTAGGACTTCTATTTTTCTTCTATTCATCATTTATGAAGTATTCTTGCTGGAAATAGTTTATGTCTCTCTATCTTGCTGAGTGATGAATACTCGGCCAGGATGCTAAAATGTGGTTTCATGAAGTATGTTGTGTTTCTGTCTGTTCTTGTTTCCTTCCTTGAAATGTGTAAAAGTGAAAAACATATTAATCATAAATCAAGCATTCATCATAAGCCTAAAAAAAGATAAAATAACCAGTAGTATCATTGACTAAAATTATTACTCACCAAAAGAAACTCACTCCAAAGTTAGCGCAATACTAACAGAGAATACAAGTTTTGCCAGGAACCACTGAGGCATAGTACCTCACATGGGAAACATGGGAAGTAAAACCACCTGAGGAGCCTCTTGATGGTGAGTCAGGCTGTTCCTCGAAGAGTAGGCTGTGACTGCCAAACTTTGTAGGTTAAGGAGTATTTATAATGATCTTTGAGGAAACTGCAACTGACAATTGAGGGAAAAAAATGTTAGTTCATGACTGCAAAATACATGACAGAATCACAAAAACTATTTTACAAGTTTAAAAAACAAACCTGATGCTGATGCATGGCAGGCGAACCCCAAAGTGGGGCTTAGCCTGCAAGGGTTCTTGGCTTCACCCAGGAAAGGATTCAAGGGCAAGCCAGTGGTAAGGTGGAAGAAAACACCTTTATCAAAGCAACACTGTTACAGCTCCTGTGGGGTCACAGCTCAGTGACTGCTCCCAGGGTTGCCCCATAGGCAGGGTGCCGAGAGTAGCAGCTGAGCCCAGTTTTGCAGTCATATGTATACCTACTTTTAATTACATGCAGATTCAGGGGTGGTTTGCGCAGAAATTGTTAGGAAAAGGGTGGTAACTTTTGGGTCATCAGGTCATTGCCGCTGAAAGTGGTGGTAATGCCTGAGTTTTGCCATGGCAATGGTAAACTGACAAGGCACGCTGCTGGGTGTGTCTTACAGAAAGCTGCTTCCGCTCTGTCCTTGTTTAGCTAGCCCTCGATCTTTTGTTTGTAAATGAGCAAGAGAGTCACGGCCTTGGCGTTTTCTCCCAGAAGTACAGTGGACCCCAGAGCACTCTAGACCCAGGAGCCAAACCAAATCACAGCATCCCACAGTTATGTCCAGCCCTCCATCACTGATTGGCTGCAATCCAACAAGTGGCCCAGAGGGGAGGGTTCATTGAAAGCTCTTTGCTAAGTGACAGGCCTTTAAGAAGGAAAAAGCTGTTAACGATTGGTATGGGATGGGGGAAGTGTTTGTGGTCACCACGGCACCCCAAGGCTGTGGCCTTCTCTGAGCACCATGAGACTCAGCCATGTCTTTCTCTCTGTTTTCCCACAAAACCAGCCAGTGCTAAAGCATATCCTCCTGGCCTACAAACAGTGGCCATGACTTCCAACTCATCCAGGCTACTTCTGATTTAGTGTTAGGCCGCCCACTTGATGTGTATGTTCCCATGCCGTGTCAACCCTATTGCTTAATGAAAACACGCAGCACTCGTTTGCTTCTCGACTTACTTCTCATGAAATATTACTACTCCTCCCCACCCAATCACAATCCTTTGCTGCCAAAAATCCCTTGCTACCCTGTACATTTTGTCCAATAAGGGAACCCCTCAGCACACACACACAATGGTGCTACAGAAACCAGATCACTGTCTCACTCTAGGTTAGATGTGTCAGAAACCCTTCTCTCCTAAGTTGACCTTATGCTCTATGTCAATGGCTCCTACTTCTGGAAGGAGGTTGGGACCTTCCAGCCTGGATGTGCCATCACTCATCTACACAAAACTCTTGAATGCCAAGCTTTGCCACACGTTAAATCAGCCAAAGTGGCTAAATTAACTGTTCTCATTCAGGCTTATATAAGGCAGAGGGAATTCAGATTAGCATCTACAGTGACAGACACTGGGTCTTTGGTGTAGTGCATGATTTTGGTATGTTTTGAAAACAGAGAGGATTCATGACAGCAACTTGTCCCCAGTCAAAGGTAAACCCCAAATAGCAGAACTTCTAGAGTCATTGCTATTGCCCCAGCTAGTTGTTACAATTAAAGCTGAGGGATATAGTATAAAATACTCAGATGAGGCTCAGGGAAATAAATTGGCTGATAAAGGTGCTAAGCTAGCATCCTCTTCCTTGGCCGCCTAAGAAATCCAGGAAGTCTCCAAACCTTGTGACTAGATACCTGGGCTTCATTTCAAATACCCACAGTCCTGCTAGGATTATTTACCCTCTTTAAATAAATTGACAGAAGCAATGTCTTTACAAGGCCTCTAAAGGAAATGTAAAATTCACACAGCCCAGATAGCAATTTCAGAGTCAGAAAGAATTGGATGAGAAAAAGGTGAATGTTTGATCCACTTAAGTGGACTTCAGAAATACCCAGATGGCCATTTGGTAACTCCTAAGTCTGTCTCCCAAGTCATTGTGTACAATTTACTCATCCAGATTTACCACAGAAAGGACAAAATGCAGTATATATTAAACAAAACAATATGGCTTGGACTCTTTAGATTTTATTTGGACCAAGCTGTTGCCATTTGCTGCATCTACCAACAACATAATCCTCCAAAAAGCATAAAGGTGGGGCAAAAAAGGGAAGTGGCTCCTTCTACATCCTTCCTTCACTGGAAAATAGGCTTCCTTCACTGGAAAATAGAATGGGAGGCTTTCCCTGTTGAAACTCCTCAAGGACATCGGTTGCCAAGGTTTATTAAGAGTGAATCTTCCCCACATGGGTTATCCCCTCTACTGCCTCTAGTGACAGAGGATCACATTTCATTGGCAAAATTATTCAGGAAATAGGAATGGTAACACACGCCAGCCAAAGATTCCACTGTCCTTACCATCCTCAGTGATAAAGTTCTATACAAAGAGCCAACAGCATCCTCAAGCTGAACTGGCTAAACTGTCTGAAGAAAGAACTTGCCATGGCCACAGATATTACCCATCATACTGACTCTCAGATCCTTGCCCCTACCTTCACACAAACAATCCTCTTTGAATCATTACGGGATACTCATGAGAATACCCTACTAATGCAAACTAGAAGAAGATTCCAAACTAACTCAGTTCAACATCCTCAGATATTGTCAGGGATTAATTAAATACACACAGCCCCACTATACTCCACAATTGAGGCTTCTTGTATCTTTAAACTCCCTGATCAGTCCTTACTTGCTTTATAAGTAAGTGATCTGGCATTTTGAAAAAACACCAACATCAGAAAACTAACCTTGAACCCAGAGGGAGGGGACCTTTTATTGTTTCACTCATTGCTAACACTGCTAACAAATTACAGAATGTTTGAACTTGGGTGCATGTCTTTTAGTTGAAAAAATACAAAATCTATTTCGATTGGAAGGCACTCTAACCAGAGACTCACGCTGAGACTCTATGAACAACCTCCAGGCCAGGCGCGGTGGCTCACGCCTGTAATCCCAGCACTTTGGGAGGCCGAGGCGGGCGGATCACGAGGTCAGCAGATAGAGACCATCCGGTGAAACCCCGTCTCTACTAAAAATACAAAAAAATTAGCCGGGCGCTAATTGGTGGGCTCCTGTAGTCAGAGCTACTCGCGAGGCTGAGGCAGGAGAATGGTGTGAACCCGGGAGGCGGAGCTTGCAGTTAGCCGAGATTGCGCCACTGCACTCCAGCCTTGGGAACAGAGTGAGACTCAGTCTCAAAAAAAAAAAAAAGAAAAAAAAAAAAAGAACCTCCAAACTTTGCAGCGAGCAGAGATTGCACCATTGCACTTCAGCCTGGGTGAGAGAGCAAGACTCGGTCTCAAAAAAAAAAAAAAAAAAAAAAAAAAAAAGAAAGAAAGAAAAGGAAAGGAAAGAAAAGAAAAGAACCTCTAAAAGTAGCCAACAGCTGGAGACAGACATCCATCCTAAGAACTACGGAGCAAGTAAATGATATGATGAAGCAGTCCGCTTCTGCCAAAGATCATGAAACAAGATTCACTCCGATTCCCCTCCCCTGTCTCTGACTTCAATTTTGGGTCTACGCATTCTGCTACTACTCCTGTGTCCTCTACAACGTCCCATCTTCATCCTAGTGATGTGTCCTACTTACAACATATATACTCCATCTCCAGCCTCAGCAGCCCTGTCATGATTCCCCTCTGTTTCCTCCTTATCTTACCCTATCCCGTGCTTTCCTCTCATGACCATAATTCCCTCGGTCTCTTAGCTGACAAAGTAGCCAATGAAATTAACCAAAGTAATTGCCGGGTCTATGCCCATTCCCACTCTATTCTAAAACTCGTATTCCCTTAATAATTGTCTCCCTTATGCTTTAGATATGGCCTTGGCAGAAAACATTACAAATATACAGCCATTTAGGTCTCCCTTTTAGAAAGATATTGGGCTATTTCTTAAAAGCCCTTGTGACTGGGAGTATGATGTGGCCTCTTTAACCTAAGAAACGTGGTGTTTTACTAGAAATCAGTCTAATAAATACAGTCACCCTGTGGAACACAGTAGATGCTCTGTGTCCTTGTGAAAAGATGAAACCTATTTTCAAGAAACAGACATTCTTTGTAAGGGCCAAACTCCCATTAAGGACAGCATTGTCTGCAATACCCACGCAATACCAGTATCATAGGAAATTATTTTACTCCAGATCAATATTTTGGTGAACTGAAAGACTGGGCAAAAAAATTGCTGGCTAAATGGTACCAAAGTACCCAGCCATTTAGAAGATGATGTTTATAACTATCTCTTTGGAGTCTATTCCAGGTTAGCTCCTCTAGCCTCTGTTACAACCACTAGAGGCAATAACCAACACTAGTATGCCCTCAAGGGACATTATTTAGTATGTGGTCATAAAACCATACAAAGTACTTCCAGCCCATTGGGCTGGCTGCTGCGATGTGGCTTATGCTGTCCCTCAAATGGAAATGTATGAAAAATTTCCCAATGGAAACATTAGAAACATGAGCGCTCCCACAATTGCTGAGCCTGAAACTTGTGAATGGATAATGGCTGGATGACAAGCAGCCTTAAACAGGTCCGGGGAGAGCCGCTTGCTCAGGCCAAACTTACAGGGTGCTCTACTCTTGATATTCTACCCTTTGTCACCAACATAGGTCAGCCCACTCCTATGCTGTAAGATACATCTGACAAAGGACTAGTATCCAGAATCTAAAAGGAACTCCAACAAATTAGCGAGAAAAAAAACACATAATCCTACTAAAAAGTGGGCAAACGACATGAATAGATATTTCTCAAAAGAAGATATGGAAACGGCCAACAAATAAATGAACAAATGCTCAACATCACTAATCATCACGGAAATTCAAATTAAAATCACAGTGAGATACCATCTAGTCAGAATTGTCTTACCCTAGCCAAAAGGTTAAAACACAAACAAACAAACAAAAACAGATGTTGGCACAGATGTGATGAAAGAGAATGCTCATACACTGTTGGTGGGAATGTAAATTGGTACAACTTCTATGAAAAACAATGTGGAGATTTCTCAAGGAACTAAATGTAGATCTACTATTCAATCAGCAATCCCACTACTGGTATCTACCCAAGGAAAAGAAGTCATTATATATAAAGAACACTTGCACATGGATGTTTATCACAGCACAATTCACAATAGCAGAGATAGAGAATCAAGCTGAGTGCCTATCAACAGAGGAATGGATAAGGAAAATGTGGTATATATAAAAAATGGAATACTACAGGCCCAGCCAGGTTGCTCACGCCTGTAATCCCAGCAGTTGAGGAGGCCGAGGCAGGTGGATCACGAGGTCAGGAGTTGAAGACCAGCCTGGCCAAGAGGGTGAAACCCCATCTCTACTGAAAATACAAAAATTAGCTGGGCATGGTGGCGGGCACCTGTAATCCCAGCTCCTCGGGAGGCTGAGGCAGAGAATTGCTTGAACCCGAGAGGTAGAGGTCGCAGTGAGCTGAGATCACACCACTGCACTCCAGGCTGGGCAACAGAGCGAGACTCCATCTCAGCAACAACAACAAAAAGGAATACTACTTAGCCACACACGCACACAAATGTCTTTTGCAGCAACTTGGAACTGGAGGCCATTACCATAAGTGAAGTAACTCAGGAATGGAAAAACCAAATACTGCATGTTCTTACATATAAGTGGGAGCTAAGCTATGGGTACACAAGGTATACAGAGGGGCATAATGGACATTGGAGGCTCAGAGAGGAAGGGAGAGGGATAAAAAAAAATCACCTCTTGGGTACACTGTAAATTATTTGGTGACAGATACAGTAAAAGCCCAGACTTCTCCACTATACAATTTATTCATATAACCAAAAACTATTTGTACCCCTTAAGCTATTGAAATAACAATTTAAAAAATAATTAGTAGAGTTCATCTCAAACTTAATATAAGCTTTTGTTTCATAAATCCATGAGGTATTGGAGCTTCTCAAAATGACTTTACAAAACTAGCTCACCTTAGACTACATACTGGGTTTTCAAGAAGGTGCTTGTGCACTGGTGAGTTCCCAATGCTTTTCATTCATGAATGATAAAGAGAAATGAATCAAGAAGCCGTGGCAGCACGTGCCTGAGAAGCAGCCAACATAGCTCACGCCCCTCTGGAGAGGCTTAGTCTCTAAGGAGAAAATGGTTTCCCCAGCCAAATGGCTTAGGAGACTTTTTAAGGGACTTGGCTTTTTTTTTTTTTCTTTTAACTTTTATTTTAAGGTCAGGGGCACATGTGAAGATTTGTTACAAAGGTAAACTCATGTCATGGGGTCTTGTTGTACAGGTTATTTAATCACCCAGGAATTAAGCCCAGTACCCAACAGTTACTGTTTCCACTCCTCTCCCACCTCCCACACGGCATGCTCAAGCAGACCCCAGTGTCTGCTGTTTCCCTCTTTGTGTTAATAAGTTCTCATCATTTAGCCTCCACTTATAAGTAAGAACATGCAGTATTTGGTTTTCTGTTCCTGCGTTAGTTGCTGAGGATAATAGCCTCCAGCTCTAGCCATGTTCCTGCAAACGACATAATCTCATTCTTTTTTATGGCTGCATGGTACTCCATGGTGTATATGTACCACATTTTCTTTATCCAATCTGTCATTGATGGGCATTTAGGCTGATTCCATGTCTTTGCTATTGTGAATATTGCTGCGATGAACATTTACATGTGCAAGTGTCTTTATGGTAGACTGGTTTATACTCCTCTGGGTATATACCCAGTACTGGGATTCCTGAGTTAAATAGTAATTCTGCTTTTAGCTCTTTGAGGAATCACCATATTGCTTTCCACAATGGTTAAACTAATTTACATCCCACCAATATGTCTAAGTGTTCCTTTTTCTCTGCATTCTCACCAGCATCTGCTATTTTTTGACTTTTTAAACAATAGCCTTTCTGACTGGTATGAGACGGTATGTCACTATGGTTTTGATGTGCATTTCTCTAATGATCAGTGATAGATATTGAAGTCTTTTTCATATGCTTGTTGGATGCGTGTCTTCCTTTGAAAAGTTTCTGTTCATGTTCTTTGCTCACTTGTTAATGGAGTTGTTTGTTTTTCTCTTGTAAATTTGTTTAAGTTCCTTATAAATGCTGGATATTACACCTTTGTCGGATGCATAGTTTGCAAATATTTTCTCCCAATCTGTAGGTTGTCTGTTAACTCTGTCCATAGTTTCTTTTGTTGTGCAGAAGCTCTTAAGTAAATTGGATCCCCCTTGTCATTGTTTGCTTTCGTTGCAATTGCTTTTGGCGTCTTTGTCATGAAATCTTTGCCTATTCCTATGTCCAGGATTGTATTGCCTAGTTTGTCTTCATGGGTTTTCATAGTTTTGAGTTTTACACTATGTCTTTAATCCATTTTGAGTTGATTTATGTATTTGGTGTAAGGAAGGGTGGTGTAAGGAAGAGTGGATGCTTCAGTTTTCTGCATATGGCTAGCCAGTTATCCCAGCACCATTTATCAAATAGGGAATTGTTTCCCCATTGCTTGCTTTTGTCAGCTTTGTTGAAGATCAGGTGGTCATAGGTGTGCAACCTTATTCTGGGCTCTTGATTCTGTTCTGTTGGTTTATTTGCCTGTTTTTGTACCACTACCATGTTGTTTTTGTTACTGTAGCCCTGTAATATAGTTTGAAATTGGGTAACATAATGCCTCCAGCTTTTCTCCTCTTTACTTAGGATTGTCTTGGCTATTCAGGCCTTATTTTTTTGGTTCTATATTAATTTTAAAATAGTTTTCCTAGTTTTGTGAAGAATGTCATTGGTAGTTTGATATGAATAGTATTGAATCTGTAAATTGCTTTGGGCATTATGACCATTTTAATTATGTTGATTCTTCCTATCCATGAGCCTGTGATATTTTTTCATTTGTTTGTGTCATCTCTGATGTCTTTGAGCAGTGTTTTGTAATTCTCATTGTAGAGAATTCTACACCTCCCTGGTTAGCTGTTTATCAGCTAAAGGAGCTTTTGGGCTGAAGGTATGAGGCTTCTGGATATAACATCATGTCATCTGCAAACAGAGATAGTTTGACTTCTTCTTTTCCTATCTAGATGCTCTTTATTTCTTTCTCTTTCATGATTGCTCTGGCTAGGAATTTCACAACTATTTTGAATAGGAGTGGTGAGAGAGGGCAGACTTGTTTTGTGCCAGTTTTCAAGGGCAAAAAGCTTCCAGCTTTTGCCCATTCAAAGTGATATTGGCTGTGGATGTGTCATAGATGTCTCTTATTATTTTGAGGTATATTCCTTCAATACCTACTTTGTTGAGAGTTGTTAACATGAAAGGGGGTTAAATTTTATCAAGAGCTTTTTTTCTGCATTGATTGAGATAATCATGTGGTTTTTGTCTTCAGTTCTGTTTATGTGACGAAATCACATTTATTGATTTGCATATGTAGAACCAACCTTGCATCCCAGGAATGAAGCCTATTTGATCATGGTGGATTAGCTTTTTGATGTGCTGCTGGATTTGGTTTGCAAGTATTTTGCTGAGGATTTTTGCATTGATGTTCATCAAGGATATTGGCCTGAAGTTTTCTTTTTGGTTGTTGTGGCTCTGCCAGGTTTTAGTATCAGGATGATGGTGGCCTCATAGAATGTGCTAAAGAGGAGTCACTCCTTCTCAATTTTTCGGGGGGTACTTTCCCTAGGAATGGTACCAGTTCTTTGTACATCTGGTAGAATTCAGCTATGAATCCATCAGGTCCTGGGCTTTTTTTGGTTGGTAGGCTATTTGTTACTGGTTCAATTTTGGAGCTTGTTGCTGGTCTGTTCAGGCAATCAATTTCTTCCTGGCTTAGTCTTGGGTGGGTGTATGTGTCCAGGAATTTATCCATCTTTTCAAGGTTTTCTAGTTTGTGTGCATTGAGGTGTTCATAGTAGTTTTTAGTGGTTATTTGATTATTTTTATTTTTGTGCAGTCAGTGTTAACATTTTCTTTTCTTTTCTTTTTTTTTATTTGAGACAGAGTCTTGCTTTGTCATCCAGGCTGGCGTACAGTGGCACCATCTTGGCTCACTGCAGGCTCTGCCTCCTGGGTTCAAGCAATTCTTGTGCTTCCGCCTCCTGAGTAGTTGGGACTACAGTTGTGTGCCACCATGCCCAGCTAATTTTTGTATTTTTAGTAGAGAGGGTTTCACCACGTTTGTCAGGCTGCTCTCAAACTCCTGGCCTCAAGTGATCTACCCGCTTCAGTCTCCCAAAGTGCTGGGATTACAGGTATGAGCCACCACACCAGGCCTCAAAATTTTAGTAGTGTTTATTTGGAACTTCTCTCTTTTTTTCTTTATTATTCTAGGTGTTGGCCTATCTTATTAATTTTTTCAAAAAAAATCCTGGATTCAACAATCTTTTGAATTATTTTTGTGTCTTTGATTTTCTTCCATTCAGCTCCAATTTTGGTTATGTCTTGTTTTCTCCTAGCTTTGGGGTTGATTTGTTATTGCTTCTGTAATTCTTTTAGTGGCGATATTAGGTTGTTAATTTGAGATCTTTCTAACTTTTTGAGATTTTTCTAACTTTTTGATGTGGGCAGGTAGTGCTATGAATTTCCCTCTTATCATTGCCTTACCTGTGTCCCAGAGATCCTGGTATGTTGTATCTTTGTTCACATTATTTTCAAAGAACTTCTTGATTTCTGCCTTAATTTCATTATTTACCCAAAAGTCATTCAGGAACATGTTGTTTAATTTCCATGTAATTGTATGGTTTTGAGTGATTTTCTTAGTCTCAACTTTTATTTTTACTGCACTGTTGTCCAAGAGTGTGTTTGGTAAGAATTCGGTTCTTTTACATTTGCTAAGCATTGTTTTATGTCCAATTATGTGGCTGATTTTAGAGTATGTGCCATGTGGTGATGAGAAGAATGTATATTCTGTTGTTTTTGAGTGGAGAGTTCTGTAGAAGTCAATCAGATACATTTGATCTAATGTTGAGTTCAGGTCCTGAATATGTTTTTTAATTTTCTGCCTTGGTGATCTGTCTAATAACTGTTAGTGGAGTGTTGAAATCTCCCACTGTTATTGTGTGAGACTCCGTGTCTCTTTGTAAGTCTCTAAGAACTTGCTTTATGAATCTGGGTGCTCCTGTATTGGGTGCACATATATTTAGGATAGTTAGATCTTCTTGTTGAATTGAACTCTTTACCATTATGTAATGCTCTCCTTTGTCTTTTTTGATCTTGCACTTGGCTTCTTAAAAACATCCTTAATGGCAATATTCTTTGTCTCTTAAGTACACCACTATTCTTCTTTTTTTTTTTTTTTTCAGATAGAGTCTCACTCTGTCACCAGGCTGGAGTACAATGGCACTATCTCTACTCACTGCAACCTCCCCCTCCTGGTTCAAGCGATTCTCCTGCCTCAGTCTCCTGAGTAGCTGGGACTACAGGCGTGTGCCACCATGCGCAGCTAATTTTTGTATTTTTAGTACAGATGAGGTTTCACCATGTTGGCCAAGATGGTCTCGATCTCTTGACCTCGTGATCCACCCACCTCAGCGTCCCAAAGTGTTGGGATTACAGGCATGACCCACCAAGTGCATCTCTATTCTTATGAGACAATTGTGCCACCATTGATAATACACCAAACCTCCTCGATTGTTGCATTTACCACCTTGACTCTTCCTGAATTGCACAATGATGATAAACAATGGCTGAACTTTTTTCTTTTGAGGACTTTGGAGTGCAACAACTATATTTATTCTACGAGAAAGAAATTCATTCTTTCTCTTGAACAAGAGGAGGGACTGTGAACTTCCCTGAAGCAAAAAGGATTTGCCTAAACACTGTGCTAAGAGACTTGACCTAACATTAGCCTGGCTTCCACTTGGAGTAGTTAACCCCAGGCCCTGCGCTGAGTCTTTGCTCAAGAAAATACAATGCTGCCAAACTACATAATGTATATTGTCGTAACCGATGGTGTCAAATCATTTTCAGTAATTCTCTACTTACCCCCCGCTTTTTTTTTTTTTTTTGAGACGGAGTCTCCCTCTCTCCCCAAGGCTGGAGTGCAGTGGCGTGATCTCAGCTCACTGCAAGCTCCCCCTCCCAGGTTCACGCCATTCTCCTGCCTCAGCCTCCTGAGTAGCTGGGAGTACAGGAGCCCGCCACCATGTCCAGCCAACTTTTTGTGTGTTTTTAGTAGAAACGGGGTTTCACCGTGTTAGCCAGGATGGTCTCGATCTCCTGACCTCGTGATCTGCCCGCCTCGGCCTCCCAAAGTGCTGGGACTACAGGCGTGAGCCACCGCGCCAGACTCTTACCCCCTTTTATAATTTGCATTTTCACGTAGTCCTCAGTCCCTTTTTTAATTCCCCTCTTTTTACTTTTCCATAGTTTCTTTTTATTTCCCATTTGTTCTATTTTTAAAAACATCAGCCTCCTTTGTCTTACTTGGAGTTGAGCTTAGTTTATACTGAAGTCTCTCCCTCCTGCTGAAATAGTCTGAGTAAAATAGGTCTCATTGCCTTTAGCAAGTATCCAGCACTGCTGTTTTTCTTTGACAATTTCTAGGGTTGCCTTAGATGAAGTGGGGTGAAAGGGCATTAGAAGGCACAGGCCAAAAGATCAGAACTCTGGACTCTCAGTCCCAAATTCTACTAGCAGAACTCCTTTTTCATATTCTTCATACACTGGGGGCTTTGCTGAGAGTTTGCTGGACTGAATATAGGAAGAACAACAGACTTCTGAAGTTAGTCACATCTGTCCTTGATTCAATTATACAAACATGAGGATTCTCAAAGTTATGATTTTTTTCCTAGAAATACTTTATTTTCAGGAAATATTTATTTAGCGTTGATGACTTGAGTATTAATCTCAAGGCAAGGAAATGAGGGAAATGACCTCCTGATGTCTTTCCCATGAATCTGTAACTTGGTGGTCAGCTTCTTCCCAAGTTATTTTTCTTGTGGCACCTCAGTGATTTTATTAGTTTCACCACAAGTACTCCCAGCAAGGGAAATCAGTGATCCCAAAGGCACCAGGCTGGAGTTTTCCCACATAAAGATCACTCTTTGAAGCAGCTCCTTCCTAGAAATTTGTTATGTTTACCTTTGCCAATCATCTATGATTAGTGTAGTAATTATTCTGTTTTTGCTTTTATTTTTGAAATTCACTGAAGGCTTCACTGATCAACGATTAAGGCATGTGCTTCTGCTTTGATTCAGTGTCTTCTTAGTATGAGCGTGGTGGTATAAATCTCTTGAATCAGTGCTGGGATTTATTTGATTATGAAAATTTATTTTCATTCAAGTATTTTGAATGCACTTTTAATATTAAGTACATTTAATATTACATGTAATATTAACTTGAAGTGTAACTAATATGAACAAATTCCAAAGTACATGAAAATAACTTTTAATCCTGTAAGTATGACTATTTATTTCTTTTCACAATATAAAAAGCACATGCGATATTTTGAAAGACTATTAAAGGTGGGGACAAGAGGTTATTTAAATCTATGTTTGGATGCAACTTTTATGGCTTAAACTACAAAGAATTATCCTTTTTATATATTAAATGATTGTATAGTTCTTTTAATACTGTTTTTTGATACAAGTGTGAAATTCTTAAAGAAAATGGCAAACATCACTAACAACCATTACAATTCTAATAGCTAACTTTTCTGAGCCATTACTTGGAACCATGCACTGTTTAAAATGCCTCACTTGGCCAGGCACGGTGGCTCATGCCTGTAATCCCAGCACTCTGGTAGGCCGAGGCAGGCAGAACACGAGGTCAGGAGATTGAGACCATCCTGGACAACATGGTGAAACTCCGTATCTATTAAAAATACAAAAATTAGCCTAGTGTGGTGGTCTGTGCCTATAGTCCCAGCTACTCAGAAGGCTGAGGCAGGAGAATCGCTTGAACCGGGGAGTTGGAGGTTGCAGTGAGCCAAGATCGCGCCACAGGACTCCAGCCTAGCGACAGAGCCAGACTCCGTCTCAAAACAAACAAAAAACAAAAAAAATTCCTCACTCATCTCACTCATGTAATCATGACAATAACATTAATTGTATTATCCCTACATTACAGATGACAGGTGACAAAAATATGCAGAGAGGGGTTAAACTGCATAACATTACTCAGAGAATGCATTCTTTTTATTCCATAGGTTTTTTGTATTACAGTACTACATTCACAGAGGCCTTCCATTGGAAATAACTTATAGGAATTATTGTAGGTCTCTTTGCACTTTCTTCAGCTCTTGGTTTAGGTCTCAAATTGTGAGTGATTTCTCTCTTTAGTGAAGTTGTAATGCAATTCATTACCATAGCAGAAAGCACAGAAAATATTACCTATTTATTAACTGGAAATGCACTCACATGTTGTATTAGTCCATTCTCATGCTGCTATGAAGAAATATCCAAGACTGGGTAATTTATAAAGAAAAGAGGTTTAATTGATTCACAGTTCCACATGGCTAGGGAAGCCTCAGGAAACTTACAATCATGGCAGAAGGCACCTCTTCACAGGGTGGCAGCAGAAATAATGAGTTTTGAGCAAAGGGGAAGCCCCTTATGAAATGATCAGATCTCATGAGAACTCACCCATCATCATGAGAACAGCATGGGGACAACTACCCCATGATTCAATTATGTCCACCCGATCCTACCCTTTACACTTGGGGATTATGGAAACTGCAATTCAAGATGCGATCTGGGTGGGGACACAGAGCTAAATCATATCACTCTGTCCCTGGCCCCACTCCAAGTCTCATGTCCTCACATTTCAAAACAATCATACCTTTCCTACACTTCCCCAAAGTCTTAGCTCATTACAGCATTAACCCAAATGTCCAAGTCCAGAGTTTCATCTGAGTCAAGTCCCTTCCACCTATGAGCCTGTAAAATCAAAAGCAAGTTAGTTACTTCCTAGATACAATGGAGGCACAGGCATTGTGCCTGTAAATACACCCATTCCAAATGGGAGAAATTGGCCAAAACAAAGGGGCTACAGGCCCTATGCAAGTCTGAAAAACAATAGGGCAGTCATTAAACCTTAAAAGTTCCAAAATGTTCTCCTTTGATTCCAGGTCTCACATCCAGGTCACACTGATGCAAGAAATAGGCTCCCATGGCCATGGGCAGCTCCACCCCTGTGGCTTTGCAGGGTACAACCTCCCTCCTGGCTGCTTTCATGGGCTGGCATTGAGTGTCTGTGGCTTTTCCAGGGGCACAATGAAAGTTGTCAGTGGAGCTACCATGCTGGGGTCTGGAGGACGGTAACCCTCTTCTCACAGTTCCACTAGGTAGTACCCCAGTGAGGACTCTGTGTGGGGGCTCCAACCCCACATTTCCCTTCTGCACTGTCCTAGCAGAGGTTCTCCATGAGGGCTTTGCCCCTGCAGCAAACTTCTGCCTGGGTATCCAGGCATTTCCATACATCTTCTGAAATCCAGGTGAAGGTTCCCAAACCTCAATTCTTGACTTCTGTGAACCCACAGGCTCAACACCACATGGAAGCCTCCAAGGCTTGGAGCTTGGACCCTCTGAAGCAATGGCCTGAGCTGTACCTTGGCCCCTTTTAACTGTGGCTGGAGCTGAAGCAGCTGGGAGACAGGGCACCATGTCTCAAAGCTGCACAGAACAGGGGGTCCTGGGCCCATGAAACCATTTTTCCCTCCTAGGTTTCCAGGCCTATGATGGGAGGGGCTTCCAAGAAGGTCTCTGACATGCCCTGGAGACATTTCCCTCATTGTCTTGGCAATTAATATTCCACTCCTTGTTCTGCAAATTTCCGCAGCTGGCTTGAATTTCTCCCAAGAAAATGGGTTTTTCTTTTCTATCGCCTTGTCAGGCTGCAAGTTTTCTAAACTTTTATGCTCTGCTTCCTCTTGAACACTTTGCTGCTTAGAAATTTCTGCCACGAGATACCCTAAATCATCTCTCTCAAGTTCAAAGTTCCACAGCTCTCCGGGTCAGGGGCAAAGTGTTGCAGTCTCTTTGCTAAAGCATAGAAAGAATCACCTTTATCCGAGTTCCCAACAAGTTCCCCATCTCCATCTGAGACCACCTCAGCCTGGACTTCATTTTCCATGTCACTGTCAGCATTTTGGTAGAAGCCATTCAAGTCTCTAGGAAGTCCCAAACTTTCCCACATCTTCTTGTCTTCCAAGCCCTCCAAGTCTCTAGGAAGTTCCACACTTCCCCACATTCTTCTGTCTTCTTTTTTTTTGTTTTTGAGATGGAGTTTCGCTCTTGTTGCCCAAGCTGGAATGCAGTGGTACAATCTCTGCTCACTGCAACCTCCACCTCCCATGTTCAAGCCATTCTCCTGCCTCAGCCTCCCAAGTAGCTGGGATTACAGGCATGCACCACGATGCCCAGCTAGTTTTATATTTTTAGTAGAGATGGGGTTTCACCATGTTGGCCAGGCTGGTCTCAAACTCCTGACCTCAGGTCATCCACCTGCCTCGGTCTCCCAAAGTCCTGGGATTACAGGGATGAGCCACCACACCCAGCCTTTACTGTCTTCTTCTGAACTCTCCAAACTATTCCAACCTCTGCCTGTTGCCCAGTTCCAAAGTCACTTCCACATTTTAGGGTATCCTTATAACAGCACCCTATGTCTGTGGTACCAATTTACTGTATTAGTCTGTTTTCATGCTGTTATGAAGAACTACTCAAGACTGGGTAATTTATAAAGAAAAGTTTAATTGACTCATAGTTTGACATGGCTGGGCATGCCTCAGGAAACTTACAATCATGGCCGAAGGCACCTCTTCACAGGGTGGCAGCAGAAACAATGAGTTTTGAGTGAAGGAAGAAGCCCCTTATAAAACCATCAGATCTTGTGAGAACTCACTATCACGAGAACAGCGTGGAGAAAACCACCCCTATGATTCAATCATGTCCATCTGGTCCCGCCCTTGACACATGAGGATTATGGGAATTACAAGATTACACATTAATCTTAAATTACACATTAATAAGTGTGTAATGAAACATCCCCTTTTTTTATTTGAGTTCATTTCAATAGATATGGAAATAATAGAAAATGCATCTGACATCAAATTCCTGGGAAGTACAGGTAAAAAAAAAAATACCAGATGTTTAAAGGTATTTGAATAAGTAAATGTTGCAGTCTGTACTTTATCAGTTAGCTATGATACAAAAAACAATGCATGGCAGTTGCTTGTCAATTTTGTGATTTGTTCAGAAACATACATCTCTGCATGCACTTAGTTTTATACGGCAGTGCAAAATGTCAAAAGCACTGATGTTGCTCAAAGGAAATGGTAAGGAACTAACTAAGGCTCACTCCAAATTCCTTCACAAACCCGTCCAATCCTGTGAGTGTCGAGGGGCCTTCACATCACAGCCTGCATCCTGACAGGCCCTGTGAGACCCATCCCGCTTCATGGAACGTGAGTCAGCAGCTCAGAGAAGGACAAGGACATCTACATAACTGGCTCGAAATATTCAACTTTTCAAAATTTTATATTTTCATACATATAAATATATATTCTTAAAATGCATTTTTGTTTTTCTATCCGAACAGAAGTGCAATAATTCTTTAAAAATATTCCTAAACAGACCGGGGCAGTGGCTCACACCTGTAATCCCAGCACTTTGGGAGGCCGAGGCAGGCGGATCACGAGATCAGGAGATTGAGACCATCCTGGCTAACATGGTGAAACCCCGTCTCTACTAAAAATACAAAACATTAGCCAGACATGGTGGTGGGCGCCTGTAGTCCCAGCTACTCCGGAGGCTGAGGCAGGAGAATGGCATGAACCTGGGAGGCGGAGCTTTCAGTGAGCTATCCAGCCACTGCACTCCAGCCTGGGTGACAGAGCGAGACTCTGTCTCAAAAAAGAAAAAAAAAAAAATTTGTAAACAAACGATGATGAAAACAGGAAACTGAATACAATTACGAACAATGAATTTAATCTTTAGTTTCTTCTGCTTTATACTATATGTGAATTTGGTCTAGAAAATACAACATAAAAGGAAATAAGTAAAAACCAAACGTTGAGCATTACTAAGGTAAAAATGTTGAATGGAATACTTTATTATGTATTTATGTATTTATTTGTTTGTTTATTGAGACATGGTTTTACCCTGTTTCCCAGGCTGGAGTGCAGTGGCATGACCATGGCTCACTACAGTCTTGAACTTTCATGCTCAAGCTATCCTCTGACCTTAGCCTCCTGAGTAGCTGGAACTACAGGTGCATGCCACCATGCCTGGCTAATTAATAATAATTTTTTTTTTTTTTGTAGAAACAGGCTCTCGCTATATAGCCAGGGCTGGTCTCAAACTCCTGGGCTTAAGGGAGCCTCCTATCTTCATCTCCCAAATTACTGGGGTTATAGATGTGAGTCATCAGGTGTCGCCTGAATGATATATTTTAATGATGTACCTAGCACATGAGTTTCAAAGTTTTCACTCTCCAAGAATTTTCATAAGGTCAGTTTAATTATTAATAGCATGTTTTACAGTTATAGAATTAATGCATAAATACAGTAAAACAAAATGTGAAACTATAGAATTGTATGAAATAAAAAATAAGAATATTTCTTCTATCTCTGTACATTTTCCATCTTTACCATGTTCAACATATCTTTATTACTATTATGAAAAATTTAAAGAATATACAAAAGGAAATAAATAGCATAATGAATGAATAGTATAATTAACTCATTGACCTAATACCCAGCTTCAGTTTTAGACAGTCCTGATTCCTCTGATCCCACTTCCCTGACATAGATTAATTGAAGAGCATTTCTGGCATCCTGTCATTTCATCCATGAATATTTGGAGGTATCCACCTCCAAAGGGTAAGGATCCCCTTTTTAAAATAATACATCTAAAAATTAGCCAGAATTACTTACTTTTACCCAAAATCCAGTCGCTGTTCAAATTTCCCTGATTGTCTTACTTTTTTTTTTTTTTGAGATAGAGTCTCGCCCTGTCACCCAGGCTGGAATGCAGTGGCAAGATCTCGGCTCACTGCAACCTCCGCCTCCTGGGTTCAAGCGATTCTTTTGCCTCAGCTTCCCAATTAGCTGGGATTACAGGTGCCCACCACCATGCCTGGTTAATTTTTTGTATTTTTAGTAGAGACGGGGTTTCACCATATTGGCATGTTGGTCAGGCTTGTCGGCCAGGATTGATCTCCTGACCTCAAGTGATCCACCCACCTCGGCCTCCCAAAGTGTTGGGATTACAGGTGTGAGCCACGCTGCCTGGCCAGTCCTACATATTTTTTCACACCATTTTTCTTTTTTTAAAAGAGCAGAATCCTTGTACGGATATTACGATGGATTGCAGAGTCTCTAAAGCATTCTTCATTCTTATTCTTCCCCTTCCATCTTTTTTTTCATGCAATTCGTTAAAGAAACTAGGACAGAGTCCACAGTGTAGATTTTTATGATTGTGTCATCACTGTGGTATCATTTAACACGCTACTCTGACCTCAGTATTTTCTGTGAAACCCACATGTCAGGGGTGTTGGGCAGATTTGTTTGCTTCTGGGTTTGTGTTTCCAACACTCAGACTCAGGACCTGGTAACAATCCCCTATAGCAGTTCGTAACTATTTGCTTGATTTTGACTGAACACCAGAGGGCAGTGCAGGTGGACACCAAGAGCATTGCTGTCAACACACAGAGGCCTGTGGGCACAGGGGTCCTGCACTGCGAGGCCAAAGCTCCCTTCTCTGCTCCCAAGCAATCTCTTTCCCTCCTCTGAAGGACAGCCACATACTCTAGGTCCTAACCTCTGGAGTGCACTAATGACCAAGAGGTGCATGAGCACCAAATGTGAGAGGACAGGAGTCTGGAAACCTAGCACAGGAGTCTTCTCAGAACCTTAGGACATTCCTACTGTTGTGAGGGTAGGAGAAGAATGCCTAGCTAAGGAAACAAGTGTTTAGTGTCCAATGTGAGTAACTGCCATGGGGAAGAATAAAGCAGGGAAGGGCAAGAAGATGCCCAGGGTGGACAAAGAAGCTCTCATTGATAAAGAGACATTAGAACACACATCTGAAGGTGGCAAGATAGTCAGCCTTTCAGATATCTGGAGCAAGCTTGTTGCACTAAGAGGAAAAAGCAGGTGCAAAGGCCCTGGGGCAGGAACGTGCTAGTTGTGTTTGAGGGGGGCAGCCAGCTGTTGTAACTGGAACAGAGAGAGAAGGGGGAAGATGGTAGTGAATGAAATCTGAAAAGGAACAGATTATGTACGATTTTTAGGCCATTATAAGGACTTTGGCTTTTACTCCTGTGAATCAGAAAGCTACGTGACTGGGGTGGGGTAGTGCTTTACTAAGAGGAGTGGCGCTCTCTGATAATTTTTAAAGGCTCACTCTGGTTGCTGAGTTACAAATACATAGAATGAGTCAGCTGGGAGATCAATGGGGAGGCGATTGCAATCATCTGGGGTGGCTGCTACAATCTATGTTAGAAACTTGCATGGTTCATGCCTTTTATTTTAGGCAAGTTCATCAGCATTTGCTTTTCAGATACTTAATGAATCCTTCAGTCTATTCAGAGAATAAGGCATGTGTTGAAATGATCAGTACACAGTATTAGAGAATGGAAAGTCATGAATATAATAACAGAGACGCCTTTAGGGGCAACGTGAGGTCAAGAGAGGAAGGGACTGCAGCCAGCTTGGCAGGTGAGCCTGGCATAGGACAGGCCTTCCTTGAGATGGTCACAAATACAGTTTTATCAGTTTTCCTTGTGATGGTCACAAATACAGTCTTATCAGTTTTCACAAATAAAACCTTACAAATGTTCACTAATAAAATGCTACAACATATCCTATACCATATGCCAATTTAAGATAGGTTTTACTCCAGTGAGTTAGGTTATCTGTAAATAACACATGGTCAAATCCCATATGTCTGTGTAGCAAATACTTTCTCAGTGTCCTGTTGTTTTTAATCCAGCATGTTCCACCAGCCTGGCCTAGGCTAGGGCTGGCACCTAGATAGTCATTAGGGTAAGTGTGTGTTTGTTTTGGGGTGTGGGTTTCTTTTGGGGTGTGTGTGTGTGTGTGTGTGTGTGTGTGTCTGTGTGTGTAAGACTCATTGGCTCTACTCCAGGCCCCCTCTATCAAAATTTCTGGAGGTGGGAATCAAGTGTGATACTGATTTGGAAACCACCAATTCAGCTCACAGTTTTCTAGTCCAGTCTGTAACAGCTGCCTTCATGACAAACTGAATGCTGAAAGCTGTGGAAGGTGCCGGTAAACAAAAATAGAGGTGGAGGGAAAGCCATTTCAGACAAAGGGGATAGAGCACTAAACAACATAGGAGTCAGACCGGATTGGTTTTGCAGTGACTTCTGATGGCCTTTGCAAGTGTTCCATAACTGGATTTGCCTGGAATGTGGGGTTCAGGGTCCTTGGAAGAGAGTAGGTAGAAATAAGGTTTTGGAGCGTGTGAAATTAGATTGTGGAGGGCCTCACATGTTGAGCAAAGGACACTAAAGTTTATTTTCTAGGTAATAGGGAGCCAACCAAAATTTTTAAAATGAATGATGACACCAGAGAACTATGGTTCAAGAACTCCACACGTCTGACAGTCGTGTGTAATAATAACTGTTGTGTTATGAGTCCAGAGATGAGAAAGCTTTCTGCATTCATTCAGGAGAGAGGGGGTTGGGTGCTTAAATAGGAATAGGCCACTGGGATGTGTAGGTTGGAATGAATGTGAGAGACAGAAGACGTGAACAGCAGAAGAGAAAGGACAAGGTCAAACGTGGCACTGGGGTTTTAAATACAGGAAATTGGGAGGATGAACCAGCAGACTTAGCAAGATACAGAAGAAAAAAGAGATTTAGGAAAAACGTAGTATGGGTCAGCCAGATTTGGGGATGCCGATGCCATAACCAACTATAACCAATGGAAGATGATTTAACACAGTTGTAAGTATCTTGAAGCCAATGGTCTGTTTAGATGGGAAACAGTCTTTCATTTTCAAATTTAAAACTTTATTCTTAAAATGTGTACATTTAATCCAGAATAATCTATGGATATGTATTGAATAAATGCGTTCATTTTTAAATTTATATTTGATTTGTAGTGTCCCATTTCACTATAGTTTTCTGAAGAAATCTCAGTTCTTTATGCAAACTGTATCATAATAGTCAAGAATTTAAGATTACTTTCGTGTTCAAGGTCCTATCTCCAATTATCCTCTTGCTTAACGTGATTGCCTTTTGACCTACTTTCCATCTTAACATTAACATTATATTTTTTAATTATCCTGAATCAAATTTCGATTTAAGAAACTCCAAAAATAACAAAAATTGGAAACAGCCTATAACATTTTAGGAAATCAAGAAATATATTTAATTGTAACACCCACTTTCATATTCCACAAGAGAAAAATAAAGCAAAGCCTGATCAAGACGTGCCTTTAACACAACTCAATCACCTTTGAGCCTTCATTCTTTACCAGTCTCTCTATTCTCTGTGCCTATTTTCTACTCTCCCTGAGCAGAAATTTAAGTGTCACATTTTGCCAAGGCCTCCATTACATGAGTAATGAGTGCTTACATATATTGATATCCCCTGATTTTCTGTTGGTGAAGTTTCCAGGAACATTCATTCTCTTGGGAGGAGTAGAGACTCAGGTAAAAGTCATGTCTCTTCATCTTCCATCCTTCAGAGATTACTGGTGGCCAGAACACCTATGTGGGAGAGTGGGTATGGGAAGTGGGGTGTGTGGATAAAGAAACTCTGTTCGGGAGAGGCTCCCAGGGATCTGTGAGTCAGAGGAGTCACCTATCTTTAGGGTTGCACAAATCTAGCACCTTCTATGAAAACTGCATTCACCCAGAATGTGAAAAGAAAAAAGGGATGGCTGAGAACTTTTAAAATTCAGCAACAGACACCTGCCCACAAATCAAAGAACCTCAGAGAACACCAGATGCTACTATCCTGTCATAAATTAGGTAGTTATTTTATTAAAATAAAAAGATAGGGCCGGGCGCGGTGGCTCACGCCTGTAATCCCAGCACTTTGGGAGGCTGAGGCGGGTGGATCACAAGGTCAGGAGATCGAGGCCATCCTGGCTAACACGGTGAAACCCTGTCTCTACTAAAAATACAAAAACATTAGCTGGGCGTGGCGGCGGGCGCCTGTAGTCCCAGCTGCTGGGGAGGGTGAGGCAGGAGAATGGCGTGAACCCAGGAGGTGGAGCTTGTAGTGAGCCGAGATCGCACCACTGCACTCCAGCCTGGGCGACAGAGCGAGACTCTGTATCAAAAAAAAAAAAAAAAAAAAAAAAATTGAGCAGATAATAGAGTTCCTATAAACAATCTCCATTTCCCCCCACAGTTCCTCCATTATAAATATCTTGCATTAATGTGGCACATTTATTACAATAGATGAGCCAATATTTATTTATACCATCAATTTATACTAACGTCCCCGCTTTGCTTTGTATAGTTCTATGAGTTCTGACAAATGTATATCGTGTATCCACTATTACAGTATTACGCAGAATAGTTTCACTGATTTAAAAATCCCCTGTGATTGAGCTTTTCATCCTTCTTCTGCTCTCCTCAAGGCCCTTGCAACCACTGATCTTACTGCCTCTAAAGTTTTGTCTTTGCCAGAATGTCATATGGCTGGAATCATACAGTATGTGGCTTTTTCAGACTGGTTTCTTTCACTTAGCAATATGTACTTAAGGTTCCCCTTGTCTTTTTGTGGCTTCACAGCTCAATACCTTTCATTGCTAAATAATATTCCAATGTATACGTGTACCATAGTTTGTTCATCCATTTACCTATTGGATATGTTGGTTGCATCTGGTTTTAGATGATACGAATAAAGCTTCTATAAATAGTCATGTTCAGGATTTTGTATGGACGTAAGTTTTCAATTCAATTGGGCAAATACCTGGGGGCATGACTGCTGGATTATATAGCATGTTTAGTTTTTAAGAAACTGCCAAACTGTCTTCCCATGTGACTGCACCATTTTGCATTCCCACTAGTAATGAAAGAGTTTTGGTTGCTTCGCATCCTTGCCAGCATACAGCACTGTCAGTTTTTTGGAGTTTAGTCATGCTAATAGTTGTATAGAGGTATCTCATTGTTGTTTTAATTTTCAATTCCTTTTTAAATAATTTCAACTTTTATTTTAGATTCAGGGGGTTCATGTGCAGGTCTGTTACCTGGGTATATTGTGTGATACTGAGGTTTGAGGTATGATTGCTCCCATCACTCAGGTACTGCGCATAGTACCTAATGGTTTTTCAACCCTTCCCTCATCTACTCCCCGCCAGTAGTCCCCAGTGTCAGTTGTTGCCATCTTTATGTCCCTAAGTACCCAGTGTTTAGCTCCCAGTTATAAGTGAAAACATGCAGTATTTAGTTTTCTGTTCCTGTGTTAATTTGCTTAGGATAATGGCCTCCGGCTGCATCCATGTTGCAATTCCTTGATGATCTATGTTATTGAGCATATTTTCATCTGCTTATTTGCCCTTTGTGTATCTGTAGTGAGGTGTCCAGATTTTGCCCACTTTTTAACTAGGTTTTTTTTCCTTATTGTTGTGTTTTCAGTGTTTTTTTTGTATATGTTGGATATATTGATATATTTTTTGCATATATGTATATGTCGGTGTATTTTAGTGATGTAAAATGAATGGAATCTATAGCCTTAAACATAATATAAATATATAATGGTTAAGATTTCCCACTCAACAATCCAGGCTTGACAGAAAATCATAAAATGTATTTAAATGTAAATGTTTTTTTCTTTGTTGATACTAGTTCTTAGTTTTAACATGCCGAAGAGGGTATATTTGATCAAGGACAAGATTAAATGTTCTGATTGGCTAACTATCAAACCGCTGCCTCCACTTTTTTTTGCAACTTGAAAATAATATTTAGTTATCACGCTAGCACAGCCATATTAATATATACCCCTTCAAAACTTTAAACATAAAGCTTTAACGGTTTCAGGAAAAAGAAATATTAATGATGCTGAGATTGGTGGACACGGATTCTGTGTAGTGAGACACTAAAAAGTAATTTTTCAAACAGGAAAGTTAAAGCACTTTAAAATCACAAAGCTATTGGTAATTAAAAAAAGAATTAGTATCAATTTCTGAAATACAAGATTAGAGGGACACCTAAAATTCTGAAAGGTCTTACAGAATTTTTTAAAAAAGTAATTGCAATTTAGATCAAAGTTCCCCACTTTTCATTCCAAGTGTGACACAGGTTTAAATAATAAACCGACAAAAAGTTTAGATAAATTCATGAATTATTGAACCAGATGATAAAAAATAGGGAAGCTATTTAGGGCATAGTCTCTAGTGTGTAAGGGTGACATCCTAAATAATAAATTTATGCTATTGTTGACAATATTGCTGACAAGGCTAAATGGTCAATGTGCTTGACATATTGCCTGGTTTTTCATGTTCTATTGCATGAGCTGATTCTCTCTCTCTCTTTTATTTATATTTTTGAACTCTGCCATTATGTTATCATGGACATTATGCCAACAATTTGATGCATCTATGTATATGCTTTAAATCTCTGGGAATAAATTTACTGAGTGCTACTTATGTGAACAAACTTCTCTTAAGCACAAATGGAAATCCACAAAGAAAGACAGCCTCTTCTATTTGTTTTATGTGAGGCAACAGATACACTGTAGACAAAAAGACCAAGTATAATTAACTCATATTGGTAACTAACAATATCTGCATATTACATATTTTTCTATTATGTTTTCTGAGCAACTTCGTGGCTTCTGATTTGGAGGGGTAGGATTTCATAGTTAATACTTTTTTCTTTTTTTTTTTTTTTTTTTTTTTGGTGAGATAGAGTCTAGCTCTTGTTGTCCAGGCTGGAGTGCAATGGTGAAATCTCAGCTCACTGCAACTTCCGCCTCCCAGGTTCAGATGATTCTCCTGACTCAGCCTCCCGAGTAACTGGGATTACAGACACCCAGCATCATGCCTGGCTAATTTTTGTATTTTTAGTAGAGATGGGGTTTCACCATATTTGCCAGGCTGGTCTTGAACTCCTGACCTCAGGTGATCCGCCCGCGTTGGCCTCCCAAAGTGCTGGGATTACAGGCGTGAGCCACTGCGCCCGGCCCATATTTAACACTTCTATAAATATTTGTGCATATTGAAAGGAACATTACTCCCCACACTGCAACTGAACAAATGAGTGATAATGTTAATTTCCTTATTCTTGAGCTTTTCTTGAATAAAAGAGGGTCGTAGGACATGGAACAAAATAGACTAGAAAATAGGGTTGATAAGGTACTGATTCTGCCAACACTGCTTAATGCTCTCCCCAAGCAATTGTCTTTTAGATATGTTGATTTCCCAGTGTGAATGGTATTTTTTAAATATGTCAAGCAATTAAGAATATAAGTCTATTCTCATCTCAGCTAAACGTAGAATCTTTACAGAGAATTTGTGGTATCCTTAACCCTAATATGTGGAGAGATATGATTAAAAATGTTCACCACCTTATTTTCATTTATTTATTTATTTATTTATTTATTTATTTATTTATTTATTTATTTATTATTTTGAGACAGAGCCTCACTCCACCCAGACTGGAGTGCTGTGGTGTGACCTCGGCTCATTGCAACCTCTGCCTCCCAAGTTCAAGTGATTCTCCTGCCTCAGCCTCTCAAGTAGCTAGAATTATAGGAATTCACCGCCATGCCCAACTAATTTTTCTTTTTTTTTTTTTTTTGGTGAGACAGAGTCTCACTCTGTTGCCTAGGCTAGAGGGCAGTGGCACCGTTTTGGCTCACTGCAGCCTCCGCCTTCTGGGTTCAAGCAATTCTCCTGCCTCAGCCTCCTGAGTAGCTGGGATTACAGGCACCCGCTACCACACCCGGATAATTTTTTGTATTTTTCGCCATGTTGGCCAGGTTAGTATTGAACTCCTGACCTCAAGTGATCTGCCTGACTCGGCCTCCCAAAGTGCTGGGATTACAGATGTGAGCTACCACATCCAGCCATCACCTCTTGTAAAGTGCAGTAAAGAAATAGTGGGCAATAGACAGGCAGGGGATAGAGGAAAATGTTTTGGGAGTGGGACAATATGAACTTATTGTCATGACAGGACCAAAAAGGGAAGACGTCTGCCTATCATAATTAATACTAACTCTATCAGTCAACATTTATGTTTTACAATTGTTCTGTAAAAGAAAAGCCAGCAAACATTACAGATTCTAGTCCCTAATAACTGATCAAGAAAGACACTCTAAGCTTGTGCATCAGCATTCTCTTTTTATCTAAAAGAAAATATATTAAATACAGGGAGGAATGGCAGGAGTAAAGAGACTTGAAGGAAAAGAAAATATTGACTTTTTAATGATATTTTACAATGCTAAGATCTTTAGAAACCAACTATTCCATATGTCCTTTAAATATTAGTTTGGTGCAAAGGTAATTACAGTTTTTGTCATAAAAGTAATGGCAAAACTACAATTACTTTTGCACCAACCTAACTGATACATTCATTCCATTTTGGAGGTATTGCAAATATGCTGAATCAATGAATTTCTTCAGTATTTTTCATTGTATTAGTACAAATTTAACCTAATAGTATTCTTCTGCATGTTATTTCCCTTTGTGCTTCCTTTAATGCAATGAAGTTGTAGTTACCAAATAGAGTGCCCTAAAAGGGCAAGGCTTGTCTGTGAATTGAGCCTAGCATAGAATTGGCTCTCAGTGAAGATCTGTTGAACGTTACATGAATGCATCAACGTCATAATCCTTCATGTGCTTGTAAGCAATTAGTAAAATTTTCTCTGGCCTATTCAGGCCTGTGTTCTTCAAAATTCTTCAAAATATATGGACGTGTTTGCTGTTTCTATTAGGTTTTAACTTCTGGTATCAGAAACCAGGGCTGTTTTTCTTAATTTGTGTCCTAAAACTACAGTAGGGTTGTATGCATTGTGATAATGCTTAATAAATATATAAAAAGATTAATATCCATTCATTTACATTTTCTTAATCAAACCCAATTTCTGGAGGAGTAGCTGTGAAACTCTCAACTGGACGAGCTCTGACTAGTGTTAAGTATAGGATATTGGGAAAAGGGCTTCTATATGCAACATATATGTGAGGCAAATGAGAAATATTAGCTGGGCTACATTAAATCCCAATGACATGAATAGAAATTTTATTATCCAGGTAGCAAAAATGAAGTCAAAAAAATAAATAAGAGAATGAAGTAAAGGTATGGGGCAAAACAATTAGCTTTTTCTTTAAGTCAATATTTTAGAAAATAGCTTTTGAAGGCCCAATCACACAGAAAATTGACACTTTGACTTTTCTTTGCACTGTGTTAGACATAGGTAAAAGGATGTCTCAGCACTGTACCTTCATGTAGAAAATGTAATTAATACCAAATTGCATAAAAGTACACTAAAATTTTAATTCTTACATCATTTTAATAAATTTCTTGAGATTTTACTTTATTTAGTGTGTCATTAAAACACAGGATTTAAGGAAGATATATATAATAAAGGAAAATGGTAAGTTACCATTCTTGTGTAAACACGTTTTGTAAATACTATTTCAACAAAGATTTAAAAGTTAATTACAAAGGTATAAAGTTATGAAGTATTATATAAACAGGATTCATAATTTTGTTTTAAATGGTCTTTTCATGTATCAAAATACTATCAGTTTAAAACAACCTTTTATTTTAAGGCAGTAGGCTCTGTTTACCATCATTTACAATTGCTTTAATTAGAATTTTCTTCACTTTCAGTATATTCAAGAGCTATTCTGTTGGCCATAATTTTTAAGATAAAGTTTATCCAAATAGAAAAGTAATTATATAATGATTAAGTGCCAGAATGTGTGGGTTCAAATTCCAGTTCTGCTACTTATCAGGTATAAGAATTTGGGCAAATTTCTTAGTTTCTCTGTGCTTCAGTTTCCTGATCTGTAAAACTGGGATAACAAGACTACCTGCCTCAATCTGTGGTTATGAGTAAATGAGTTAATACATAAGAGCAATGCAATAATCCTTGGCATGTGGTATGCGTTCAATAAACATTAGCTATTATTATTATAGTAAATTAGAAATTTAATTCTAGAGAATAAAAAGCTGAACTCAAATATGTAACTATTTATTCGATACAGGCACATTTTCCACAAAATAAAAAACCGTCAGTTTGCACTTGCCTTATATAATGACTATTCTGGTGTTTGTGTGTATCTCTTGTGGGTCGGGGGTCTTGGGCTGAGTAAATAATCACATTAAAAATTTTAAAGACTTCCGATTAAAACAGAAATAAGAACAAATGGCCATTCGTGGATCATTTGCAAAGCTGAACGAATACTTGACATGTCTTTCTGTGATTCCTTGCAGATATCATGGAAATCAGGACAGTGGCAGTTCGGATTGTGGCAATCAAAGGGGTGGAAAGTGAATTCTATCTTGCAATGAACGAGGAAGGAAAACTCTATGCAAAGGTATTGATAATTGATAGCTTAGGCTTAATTTTTAAAACTCATTTTTGTTGAAATATCTCACCATTCTGAAAAGTAAACATGGACTTAATCTATCTCCAACTGTATAATTTAATGATTTTATTAAAACACTTTATACTCAAATGTTAAGAAAAAATGTTTTCTGTGTGACTTTGGACAAATGGCTTGTTCTTTGGATTCTGGTTTCTTCATCTGTAAAATGAGTTGAATTAGCTGACCTCTAAGGAGCCTTCCAGCTCTAACATTCCATGTGCATTTTAGATATTTAAAATCCAAAATTTCCATTTGCCAGTATTAAAGCTCTTTTTGCTAAAGTTCACCCAATTTGCACATTGCTGACATGAAAATTCTTGGGAAAAAATCTTGAAATGTTTAGTTCATTCATCAACATCAATCTCACAATCATGGGCTTTGAACTGTAATTATTCACATTGTTCCCACTTCACTACAATGCAAAATATGTAACAGTTCATCCCACTGTAATAAAATATAATTGGCTTTCCTTTGTATTCCCACAGCTCAGCATAATGCCTGGAACAGGCTAATTATATAATGATACAGGTTTAATTGAATGAACAAATGGTTGCATGGATGAACAAACAAATTAACCTTTTATCTTCCATTACCACTGAAGACAGTGTACAAGTAAATAAAGAAAAGTTGTGAAACAAGTCTCTCACCTGAGGGAGGCAGAGGTTCTGCTAATTCTACCAAATTTCCAGTGGTTAAAGAATGAGTGATGTGGGAAGAGTAATTTGAGGCCTGTTACTTAGGGGGAAATAGGTCCTAATTTTAAAGAATAGTTGACATGAACTTCCAAAAAGCTACACATATTTCACACTAGCTGTGCATTATGTGGTGTCTTTATTTCAAATTTAAGATACCTTTTTATGCAAATATACTACATAAGTCTAGCTAATAAACCACATTAGGCCTGCTCAATCTGAGGGTTAAAAAAAGTTGTGTATGTTTCAATTCTACCAAATATTGCTGCTTACTCTTCGTTTAATTGAGCCTCTCTAAAAATCATTTGGATAATGTTTGTGTGTTTGTTTGTTTGTTTGAACAGAAAGAATGCAATGAAGATTGTAACTTCAAAGAACTAATTCTGGAAAACCATTACAACACATATGCAGCAGCTAAATGGACACACAATGGAGGGGAAATGTTTGTTGCCTTAAATCAAAAGGGGATTCCTGTAAGAGGAAAAAAAACGAAGAAAGAACAAAAAACAGCCCACTTTCTTCCTATGGCAATAACTTAATTGCATATGGTATATAAAGAACCAGTTCCAGTAGGGAGATTTCTTTAAGTGGACTGTTTTCTTTCTTCTCAAAATTTTCTTTCCTTTTATTTTTTAGTAATCAAGAAAGGCTGGAAAACTACTGAAAAACTGATCAAGCTTGACTTGTGCATTTATGTTTGTTTTAAGACACTGCATTAAAGAAAGATTTGAAAAGTATACACAAAAATCAGATTTAGTAACTAAAGGTTGTACAAAATTGTAAAACTGGTTGTACAATCATGATGTTAGTAATAGTAATTTTTTTCTTAAATTAATTTACCCTTAAGAGTATGTTAGATTTGATTATCTGATAATGATTATTTAAATATTCCTATCTGCTTATAAAATGGCTGCTATAATAATAATAATGCAGATGATGTTATATAAGGTATATCAGACCTACAGGCTGCTGGCAGGATTTGTCAGATAATCAAGCCACACTAACTATAGAAAATGAGCAGCATTTTAAATGCTTTCTAGTGAAAAATTATAATCTACTTAAACTCTAATCAGAAAAAAAGAATATTCTCAAAAAAATCTATTACGAAAGTCAATAAAATAGATAATTTAACAAAAGTACAGGATTAGAACATGCTTATACCTATTAACAAGAACAAAATTTCTAATGCTGCTCAAGTGGAAAGGGTATTGCTAAAAGGATGTTTCCAAAAATCTTGTATATAAGATAGCAACAGTGATTGATGATAATACTGTACTTCATCTTACTTGCCACAAAATAACATTTTATAATTTCTCAAAGTAAAATTGAGAAATCTTTAAGTTTTTTTCAAGTAACATAATCTATCTTTGTATAATTCGTATTTGGGAATATGGCTTTTAATAATGTTCTTCCCACAAATAATCATGCTTTTTTCCTATGGTTACAGCATTAAACTATATTTTAAGTTGTTTTTGAACTTTATTATTTTGTTATTTAAGTTTATTTTATTTATTAAAAAAACCTTAATAAGCTGTATCTGTTTCATATGCTTTTAATTTTAAAGGAATAACAAAACTGTCTGGCTCAACTGCAAGTTTCCCTCCCCTCTGTGACCGAGACTAAGTCTAGCACACAGCACTTGGGCCAGCAAATCCTGGAAGGCAGACAAAAATGAGAACCTGAAGCAATGCTTACAGTAGATGTCTCACACAGAACAATACAAACATGTAAAAAATCTTTCACCACATATTCTTGCCAATTAATTGGATCATATAAGTAAAATCATTACAAATATAAGTATTTACAGGATTTAAAAGTTAGAATATATTTGAATGCATAGGTAGAAAAGTATCATATTTTAAAACTATGTATATTTAAATTTAGTAATTTTCTAATCTCTAGAAATCTCTGCTGTTCAAAAGGTGGCAGCACTGAAAGTTGTTTTCCTGTTAGATGGCAAGAGCACAATGCCCAAAACAGAAGATACAGTTAGGAATAAGGGGCCTTGAATGTCATGAAGGCTTGAGGTCAGCTTACAGATAACAGGATTATTAAAAAGATGAATTTCCACTTCCAAAGTCTTTCATTGGCAGATCTTGGTAGCACTTTATATGTTCACCAATGGGAGGTCAACATTTATCTAATTTAAAAGCTATGCTAACCATTGTGGTTTTAATTTCAAAATATTTGTCATTCAAGTCCCTTTACATAAATAGTATTTGGTAATACATTTATAGATGAGGCTTATATGAAAAGGCTAGGTCAACAAACCAATAGATTCATTTAATTTTCCTGTGGTTGACCTATACGACCAGGATGTAGAAAACTAGAAAGAACTGCCCTTCCTCAGATATACTCTTGGGAGAGAGCATGAATGGTATTCTGAACTATCACCTGATTCAAGGACTTTGTTAGCTAGGTTTTGAGGTCAGGCTTCAGTAACTGTAGTCTTGTGAGCATATTGAGGGCAGAGGAGGACTTAGTTTTTCATATGTGTTTCCTTAGTGCCTAGCAGACTATCTGTTCATAATCAGTTTTCAGTGTGAATTCACTGAATGTTTATAGACAAAAGAAAATACATAATAAAACTAATCTTCATTTTAAAAGGGTAAAACATGACTACACAGAAATTTAAATAGAAATAGTGTATATACATATAAAATACAAGCTATGTTAGGACCAAATCTCTTTGTCTATGGAGTTATACTTCCATCAAATTACATAGCAATGCTGAATTAGGCAAAACCAATATTTAGTGGTAAATCCATTCCTGGTAGTATAAGTCACCTAAAAAAGACTTCCAGAAATATGTACTTTAATTATTAGTTTTTCTCCTATTTTAAAATTTATTATGCAAATTTTAGAAAATAAAATTTGCTCCAGTTACACCCACTTAGAATTCCAGAATCTTAAAACTGTAAGGGGCCTCCATCCCTCTTACTCATTTGTAGTCTAGGAAATCGAGATTTTGATACACCTAAGGTCAAGCAGCTGAGTAGATATACAACTGTCACAAGAGTCTAGATCAGTTGGCACATGCTTTCTATACTAGATTATTAGTATTATTAGCTAATGGTCTTCTGCATTTTTTTGTTTTTTTATTTCTATTGAGATATAGCCTTTACATTTGTACACAAATGTGACTATGTCTTGGCAATGCACTTCATACACAATGACTAATCTATACTGTGATGATTTGACTCAAAAGGAGAAAAGAAATTATGTAGTTTTCAATTCTGATTCCTATTCACCTTTTGTTTATGAATGGAAAGCTTTGTGCAAAATATACATATAAGCAGAGTAAGCCTTTTAAAAATGTTCTTTGAAAGATAAAATTAAATACATGAGTTTCTAACAATTAGAAAGGAAAAAATTAAAATATGAAATGATAACAAAAGTAAACAAAAGATACTTTCAAAGCAGTGAACAAAACATTTTGACATAAGCCATAATATAAATTATAATATAAAAATATAAAAACCATAGTATAAATTGTCAATCTTTGAGTTGGCTATGAATTCAATTTAATGACAGAAGAGAAGGGATGCTGGAGGTAAATTCTTAGAGTTTCTATCTCATAGAGTTTGCTCTTCTGATTCTCTAGACTGCCAAAGAACATAAAGATGTACAAGGGGACCTAGCTGTAGTAAAAGCATTGCTATAACAACAAAAACTCTAAAACAGTGCCCCTCACGATTTTCTACTGAAATTTCTCTAACAGTAGAGGTATAAAACAAGAAGTTAGAGAATAATGCAGAAGGGGCCCACCACAGAAATCACATTTCTTTTCTGTTAAGACTCATGTGATTTTTGCATCTTACTCCATAATGTATTAGTGGTTGCGTTAATATGACAATGTCTGCAATTAAACACCAGTAAGCAAAATCGATACATCAGAATGACTTGCAGGGCTTATCATGCAGTTTCATTTACATCCCTATCCCACTGCCATTTACTTGAGCGTGAATGACACACGAGAGATTCTTTGCCTTCCATGATCCAACTTTACACATAAATAACACAAGGCTAAAGAAAACCAGAACTCAAATTCACCATGCATAGGAGTGATAACAAAAATATTTAACAGTCAGTATGGGTGATTACTGGCCAATCAGAATACGTCACTGATATATCAAAATGGATGCAGGCCACTGTGACTAACTTGTGGGTATCATTTCTATGATCACCCTAAAACAGAGTTGGGAAAATATCAATTAACTGGTCTCTCTGGTTTGAATTCTCAATATGTATCTTAATATGAAATAGCTCATTAAAACTTCATGTGTAACTATTTCAGCATTGTTGTCAGCTACTCTTTATTCCACTTCTGTACAGTATTTATTCAACCAAGCTGCTGCTTTCAATGAAGGTCACTTGTTCCTTCAGGGACACATGTACTCCCACCTATCCTTTAATTTTGAATGGTTTGTCAAGAAAATTTACTTTCTCTTGAGTTGAAAAGACTTGACAGGAAGCAAGAAATAATACAGTCCTAGCCTCTTTCCAGTAACATCTGATTTCTCCATTCTCAAACTACACTTCTCAGGGAACCAGATATTTACTCTCGTCTGGGAAGATGCCTCTTATGTTTTCCTTTTACTTCCTGGTTATCATGTGGTTGCATTTTCCAAGTTCTTATCATTGAATTTATGAGAGCCTATCCAAATTTATTTTCTTTTATTTTCTAATAATTGAAATGTGAGATGAAAATAACATTTCACTTATGAAAAACGCTTCTCTTGATGAATCCTTCCATGTGTTAGTTATCTATTGCTCTGTAACAAAGGTGTTAGTTATCTATTGCTGTGTAACAAATTAAAACTTAATGGCTTGAAACAAATATTTGTTTTCTCATAGTTTATGTGGCTCAGGAGCCTGGACGTGGTTCAGCACAGTGTTTTTGGTCAGAATTCCTCATGAGGCTGCAATCAAGGTGTAGACCAGGGCTGTAGTCATCTATCTCAATATTCAACTCAGAAAGGGATCCACCTTAGATCCTCACTGGCTCTTATCAGGACCTATCACTTCCTTACCACATGGACCTCTCCATAGCATTGCTTACAACATTACAGTCTGTTTCCCACGGAGCAAGAAATCAGAGAGTGTGAGATAAAGTACCCAAAATGGAAGCCACAGGTTTGTTTGTTTGTTTTAATATATATAACCTAGTTTCAAAAGTGATGTTACCTCTGCCTACACTCATGAGGAGGGTATTATACAAGGGCATACATACCAGAAAGCAGGGATCACTGGAAGTCATTTTACAGGCTGCCTAATCCAAGTCATGAACTAGATGTTTTTAATGTCACTGCCATAAACTGGGATTCTACAGGGTCTAATGAGAGTAATTAATTCATGGCTTTCAGTGGGGATCCATTCAGCAGAGAAAGAGATGAAATATGTATATTCTCTGTGGAAACACTCTTGATTCTTCCTTGAGGGATACTGCGTGGTCCATTCCTACACAGGATAATTAAGAAAAGGTTTGAACCAATCTGGACTTCCTATTAGCCTGAGATGTGGCTACTTAGAACTCCCAATGTAGCTGGAAAACTAACAATATCCCTTTGCCTCCACATGAAGCAAATTACCCTGCCATCAGACTCAACATGAAGATAATCCTCCCTTCAGCTGCTCTACCTCAAGAGAAAAAGATCATAGATGCCAGCTGGAATTCCTCTGGGCCATAGAGTGTTTTATTCTAGATGCTGAAGGCAATCAGCCACCATTTACCCAAGACCATCTGAGAATAAGACCTAAAAAGACTTGAAAACAATTGATTTCAATGGTAGGTACACACTGGTATCCCCTGTTCTGTATATATCTACAGATACTTAGATATATACAAAACAGGATAGATATATATATATATATATATATAGAGAGAGAGAGAGAGAGAGAGACAGAGAGAGACAGAGAGAGAGACAGAGAGACAGAAAGAGAGAGACAGAGAGAGAGAGAGAGAGAGAAAGAAACACCTAGGCCCCAACTCAGGCCAATTACATCAGTGTATATGACAGGTGGCCCATGCAGTCGTATTTTAAAAATTCCCCAGAATATTCTAATGTGCCTCTGCAGTTGAGAACTAATTAGGTAAATGCAAACAACAACAAAGACCAAAAAATGTCTTCAGAAACTATGCCTGCTTCTTCATCTTTGTCGCTTCTTTAAACACCTTGAAAGGCCTTATTCCCTCCCAGCCCCTCCTGCCCCTAGGTTTTCCTAGATGCTTCCGTATTTTCTGCTATGCACAACTGGGGCTCATAGGAAATGTAGGCACTAGAAAGAGAGTTACAATTGTTTTTGCATCAGAATGATTATGGAATAGAAAAAGGCATTTCATGCAAATGGACACCAAAAGCGAGCAGCGGTAGCTATTCTCATATGAGACAAAACAAACTTTAAAGGAACAGTAGCTAAAGTAGACAAGGACAGACAGTATATAATGGTAAAGGTCTCATCCAACAGAAAAATATGACAATCCCAAACATACATGAACCTAACACCGGAGCTCACAAATTTATAAAACAATTACTAGTAGACATAAGAAATGAGATAGACAGCAACACGATAATAGTGGGGGACTTCAATACTCCACTGACAGCACTAGACAGGTCATCAAGAGAGAAAGTCAACAAAGAAACACTGGATTTAAACTACACTTTGGAACAAACGGACTTAACAGATACATACAGAACATTTCATCCAACAACCACAGAATACACATTCTATTCCACAGCACATGGAATTTTCTCCAAGATAGACCATATGATAGGCCATAAAACGAGTCTCAGTAAATTGAAGAAAACTGAAATTCTATCACGCACTGTCTCAGATCACAGTGGAATAAAACTGAAAATCGACTCCAAAAGGAATCTTCAAAACCATGCAAATACATGGAATTTAAATAACCTGCTCCTGAATGAGCATTGGGTGAAAAACGAAATCACGATGGAAATATAAAAAATTTCTTCAAACTGGATGACACAACCTATCACCACCTATGGGATACAGCAAAGGCAGTGCTAAGAGGAAAGTTTGTAGCGCTAAACACCGACGTCAAAAAGCCTGAAAGAGCACAAACAGACAATCTAAGTTCACATCTCAGGGAACTAGAGAAACAGGAACAAGCCAAACCCAATCCCAGCAAACAAAGGAAATAACCAAGATCAGAGCAGAACTAAATGAAATTGATACAACAACAATAACAAATACAAAACATAAATAAAACAAAAAGTTGGTTATTTGAAAAGATAAATAAAATTCATAGACCATTAGCAAGATTAACCAAGAAAAGAAGAGAGAAAATCCAAATAACCTCACTAAGAAATGAAACAGGGGATATTACAACTGACACCACTGAAATATTAAAGGTTATTCAAGGGTACTATGAACACCTTTTGGCACATAAACTAGAAAACCTAGAAGAGTTGGATAAATTCCTGGAAAAATACAACCCTCCTAGCTTAAATCAGGAAGAATTAGATACCCCAAGCAGACCAATAAATCAAGCAGTGAGATTGAAATGGTAATTTTAAAATTACCAACAAAAAAAGCTGACGACCAGACAGAATCACAGCAGAATTCTACCAGACATTCAAAGAATGTCTTCCTTCATTCAAAGAAGAAATGATACCAATCCTTTCACACTATTCCACAAGACAGAGAAAGAAGAAACCCTCCCTGATTCATTCTATGAAGCCAGCGTCACCCTAATACCAAAACCATGAAAGGACGTAACCAAAAAAGAAAACTACAGACAAATATCCTTGATGAATACAGATGCCAAAATCCTTAATAAAATACTATCTAACTGAATCTGACAACATATCAAAAAGATAATCCACCATGATCAAGTGGGTTTCATACCAATGATACAGGAATGGTTTAACATATGCAAATCAATAAATGTGATACACCAAATGAACAGAATTAAGAAAATCTCACACGATTATATCAACAGATGCAGAAAAAGCATTTGACAAAATCTAGCATTGCTTTATGATTAAAGCTCTCAGCAAAATAGGCATACAAGGGACATACCTTAATGTAATAAAAGCTATCTAGGACAAACCCACAGCCACCATAATACTGAATGGGGGAAAGGTGAAAGCATTCCCTTTGAGAACTGGAGCAAGACGAGGAGCATGCTCTCACCACTCCTCTTCAACAAAGTACTGGAAGTCCTAGCCAGGGCAATCAGACAAAAGAAGGAAATAGAGGAAATCGAAATCAGTAAAGAGGAAGTCAGACTGTCACTGGTTGCTGACGATATGACCTTTTGCCTTGAAAACCCTACGGACTCCTCTAGAAAGCTCCTAGAACTGATAAAAGAATTCAGCAAAGTTTCCAGATACAAGATTAATGGACACAAATCAGTAGCTCTTCTATAAATCAACAGCTACCAGGCAGAGAATCACATCAAGAACTCAACCCCTTTTACAATAGCTGCAACAAACAAACAAACAAACAAACAAAAAACAAAACTTAGGAATATACCTAGCAAAGGAATCAAAAGACCTCTACAATGAAAATTACAAAACACTGCTGAAAGAAATCATGGATGGAGCCAAGCACGGTGGCGCATGCCTATAATCCCAGCTACTCGGGAAGCTGAGGCAGGAGAATCGCTTGAACCCAGGAGGCAGAAGTTGTAGTGAGCCGAGATCACACCATTGCACTCCCACCTCGGCGACAAGACCGAAACTCCCTCTGAAAAAAAAAAACAAAAAAAACAAGAAAGAAAAGAAATCATAGATGACACAGACAAATGGAAACGCATCCCCATGCTCATGGATGGGTAGAACCAATATTGTGAAATTTACCATTCTGTTAAAGGCAATCTACAAATTCAATGCAATCCCCATCTGAATACCACCGTCATTCTTCACAGAATTACAAAAACAATTCTAAAATTAATATGGAACCAAAAGAGAGCCATGTAGCCAAACCAAGGCTAAGCAAAAAGAACAAACCTGGAGGCATCACACTACTTGATTTCAAACTGTACAATAAGGCCATAGTTACCAAAACAGCATGGTACTGGTTTAAAAATAGGAACATAGACCAATGGAACAGACGAGAGAACCCAGAAATTAACCCAAATACTTACAGCCAACTGATCTTCGACAAAGTACACAAAAACATAAAGTGGGGAAAGGACACCTTTTCAACACATGATGATGTTGGGATAATTGGCGAGCCACATGTAGGGGAATAAAACTGGATTCTCATCTCTCACCTTATACAAAAATCTACTCAAGATGGATTAAGAACTTAAACCTAATTCCTGAACTATAAAAATTCTAGAAGATAACACTGGATAAACCCTTCTAGACATTGGCATGGGCAAGGATTTCATGACCAAGAAGCCAAATGCAAATGCAATAAAAACAAAGATAAATAGCTGGGACTTAATTAAACTAAAGAGCTTTTGCATGGCAAAGGGAACAGTCAGCAGAGTGGACAACCCACAGAGTGGGACCCCTGACCCTGACCCCTGACCCCTATCCTCTGACCCTAACTCCTAACCCCTAACCCCTGACCCTTAACCCTAACCCCTTACCCCAACCCTCACCCTCACCCTAACCCCTAATCCCAAACCACTAACCTCTCTTAACCCCTAACTCTAAACGTTGACTCCTAACCCCTAACTCTGACCCCAACCCCTATCTCCAACCCCTAACCCTAAACTTAACCCCTAATCCCTAACCCTAACACCAACCTTAACCCTGGGTTCGTTACTACGTTTGTATTGACTATGTCAATGTTGATTATTATGATTGCTGTCTTAGGACTGCATGGCAGCGAGGGGATTGCGGATCTTATATTAATATTTTTGTATTGAGGCAGTGCATTAGCATTACAGGTGCTTGTTACATGAGCAATGGGGGTGTCATATTTTGGGTGTCATGTCTGCATTAGGAATGCTGCATTTGTCTTCTGAGGCTGTGGTGTGGATCTCGCACTGCGGCCGCCTCGCCTTGGCTGGGGAGAACGTCGGTGGGCAGGATTCAGAGGGGCTTTTGGTTTCCCGTTTTCCACACTGAACCCTTCTAACTGGTCTCTGACCCTGATTATTCAGGGCTGCAAACAGGAAGGATTTTATTCACCGGGGATGCGGCCCGGAGTTGTCCCAAAGCGAGGCAGTGCCCCCAAGGTCTGTGCTGAGAACGCTGCTCTGCCTTCGTGGTGTCCCCCGGGTCTGTGCTGAGCAGAACGCAGCTGCGCCCTTGCAGTGCCCCCGGCCCGCCCGCCCGGCTCTGTGCTGAGGAGAACACTGCTCTGCCTTTGCTGTATCTCTGAAGTCTGTGCAGAGGAGAACTCAGCTCCACCCTCGCAAGAGGGTGACTGGGTAGCTGATGAATGGCAGCCCCTCCTGCCTGAATGCCCTCTATTGCTGGGCACTGCTGCACAGCACCTTTTTCCTGGCCTTAATACTTAACAATCTTTTAGAGAGCTCCATGCCTAACACTGAATCTTAAAATGTGACATTCTTCCTATAAAATCAATACTTAAACCACATTTTGTAAATTCATACCAAAATAGAAACCCAGGAAAAAAAGCACCCCTTTTGTCCTCTATTTTAATAATAAGAGGGAAAGGGGGCTGGGCTAAAGGGAACGGCTGCCCTTTCTGTGTGTGGAAAGCTATAATTTAAATATGCACACCAGATTTTCAAGCAGCACACTCTAAAGCATCAGCCCTGTTATTCAGATGATGGAGTTTGCAGACTTTCTGTTTGCCCTCCTCTTGCTTTTCCCACCTTTGGGGCTTTTCACTGTCCCCAGAAACCCAACCTTAGAATCGAGAAAGAAGGCAAAGACCATATCTAATAGACTCATAAGCTCCTTATTAATAATAGTTCAGTAAAGTGTAAATGGGGTAGGTGCCTTTTTTTGCAAAACAAAGTTTCTAGATTCTCTGTGTTGCATTTAGCCAGGCCCTCATTTCTAACCACAGGGTAGATAATCAAGTTAACAAAGACTGTTTTGTCCTTCTATTTCCATATGGACGTCATGTTTCACACCTGCACTCCTGTCTGCTCGGTTCCACAAAGGGACAGTAACCACTGACCGCATTTTAAATGTTCTTTGACTGCTTGCATTTTCAAAAGCACAGCACACGAGCATCTCGGTCAAGATGAGCTGGTAGGACCTCTCCTGACACCCTATTCCCTCACGGTGGACTTCTCACTGGAAACCTCCACTTTGCTGCTTAGCTCAGTGTGTCTCTGCAAATAGGCATGTTTAAGCAAAGAATAAATGCCTAAGGCGATGCAGGTGGGTAGCAGGGGAGAGTCAGGGAGACAAAAAGAACAGTAGCACTTACATGGAGCTCTGCCAGCTTTTGGGCTAACAGGGTCATGAACAGATCAGGAACCTGAGACAATCAAAGGACTTCACCCCACAAAGCCAGGGCACTCTCGGGAGCTGGAAAACCCAGGAGAATTTCCACATATTCCTGAGAGTTCCTCGTACATTACCTTTAGTGCCTCATTAGCAGGAATGGGTCCTTCTGTAGTTTCACCAGACTGTTTCGCAGTAGAAAGAGGACAGACCAAGGAGCCCCAGTCCCACCTGTGACCTCAGGCAGTCACCTGACACCCCTGAGCCTCAGTTTTCTCATCTGTTCAGTGGGGATGGTATATTCTCCTTACAGGGCTGTGGAAAGGACAACATAATCTTACACAGAAAAAGTAGTACTAAGCTAACATTGGTTGAGTGCCTATTACATTCTACACAACGCGCTAAGTACTTTGCATATTTTGTCTCATTGAATCCTGATGACAACCCTGTGAAGTAGGAACTCTTACTATCCCCCATGCTATGGATGTAGAAGCTGGGGCTCAGAGCAGTTAAGTACCTGGCCAAAGGCCAGAAAGTCAACTAGAATTGATGTGTCCATTTTCATTCATTCATCATTGATTGAGTACCCGTTCCATGCCAGGCAATGAGAAGCAAATCACAAATAGTCCCTGCCCTCATGGCACTGACACTCTTGTTACTGCAAAGTACAAGGTGCAGAGTAAATGGAAGTCAAATCAGATTCCAACTTCTACTCAACTCCCAGTAGGCCCCAGACTAAACTCTCCAGAACAATGGTACTGCTCCTGTGGTTTTGCCTGGTGCTCACGATTGAGACATACTCAAAGAAGAGACTGCTGGCTCTGCAGGTCCTCCAGGGACAGAAACCAGGAATGCTGGCCAATACAGAAACATCATAAACATTTTCCTTGTATTTCATGCATTCCTGGACCCATAGATCTGAAAGCAACCTTGAGAATGAACTGAATTTATTTCTCTGCCTCTGAGGAAGATTACATTTGAACTCTGCGTGACAGAGATCCAGCTAGGGAATCTTCACCTTAAAAACCTGGCTAAACAAAGCTCGTATTCATAAACAGTGAACTTAAGGGCATCCCCATGCCTTTAAATAGTGAACACTCTGGTGCATTTTAAGCAGGACTGATTCAGTGTATTCTCTTAGCACAGTTTTCAGGAATGCAAAATATACCTGTGCCCAGCATCTTAAGGCTTTTAAAAAGTAGATGATGCCTTTCTCTCTGTTCACTTACAAGCTCACGCCTTTAAAATCATTTGTTTGGAAGTCCTTCCTTAAATCTAACCTGAATCCAACCTGCTGTGCTTAAGGTTACCTCAGTAATCTTTCTAATACAACCCAAGAGAGAAGGACTGGAGGGAAGAATTTAAGACCCCCATGAGATGAGGAGCAGACTCCTAAGTTAGTTGTATCACTTGTGGCTAAATGTTGAATCATTTCCCTAATTTTTTCTAGCCACTCCCAGGCACTCCAACTGTCTCTGAGAATTTTCTTCTTGGACACACTTAAAGAAGCATCTGAAATTTGTGCCATGTAGCTTAGCACTTACTCAACAAGGATGAATCTTAGAGACCATCAAGTTTTGCCCAAGCAGGAGAGAAGAGGAAACTGAGATTCAGAGAACTGTGACTTAATCAAGGACCCATAGCAAATCTGTGGCAAACCTGGGAAGGTGACCCAAACTCCAGACCCCAAGCCCGGTGCTTTTTTTTTTTTTCCAGATCTATGTCTCCCCCACATCTGACTCTGTTTCCCTGAGGTCCAGAGCCATTCCCTGTTCCTTTTTAGGATTCTCACGACCCAGGTTTAGGCACATTAGTTGTCCAAAGCACACTTGGCTTGCTCTGACTTGAGCAGTACAATGAGCTATGTCTTAGTTTCAGGCAAGACCACCTTGACCATGGGACATGAAAAGGCACTCTATGGGGCCTCTACTATGATGTAGCAGGGACTGTGTTAGCACATTGCTATAGCCCTGGGAAGCAAGAATTCTTAGCACCCATTGCCCAGATGAAGAAACTCACTTTCAGAGAGGGTAAAGAATGTCTCTGTGGTACCACAGCTATATAGTGGCTAGGCTGGAATTCAAAACCAGGTTTGCCTGCCTCCTTCTCCTGTATGATACTGCTTCATACACAGTCCCCAGAACCTTAACGACCAGGTGGAACGAACCAACAAGGTCATACTGAAATTGTGCACCAGTGCCCTAACGACCAAGAGAAAATACATTTCATCCAATTCAAAGGTATAAAGATGTAAGGTAGAAGCCACCAACTGTGGACATGGAGGAGCCTCAGAGCGACAGCACCTGCTGTCCAGGGTCTCCTCCTCCTCTCTTCCCTCGCAGTTTCTCTCTCCCTTCCTTTAACACTTATTGACTACGCCAGCCACACAGTAAGCGCTCAATAAGTGTTTGGGCCCATAACCTTCCTATGGGAAAGCCCCTTCACTTTCTGAACATGGCCTGGTACTGTCCAGATGCCCTTCTGTCCTGTGTGGTCCCAGGCAGGGGCATCTCCTTCTCTTCCAGGACCACTCTGAACCCTAACTTGATGGCAGCTGCCTGGTGATCTCATCATCCTCCTGACATGGCCATGTAGCTCCTCAGCTTCCATCATTCCTGAATCTCTGCAAGGTTATGGGGTTGCCTTGCTCCAGAGGACACAAAAGTGCTTAGCTCTGCTTGGATTTGCTCTTGGATGGTGGAGACCTGTGATTGCTCTTCCGCTCCCTTGAGCCTTCCTCATGGAGGTTTGCTGAGGCACAGTCTGTGATTGATTCCTCATGCCCCTGCTAGGTTTTAACAACTGGTGAAAACGTCTGCTTATATTTCACTCACACTCCCCTGGCTGCGGGTTCAAGTCACTGTTGATTTGGTCATTGGGTTACACACACGTGCAGCCTGGGTGGACCTGTATGAGTCTTCCCAGCATCAGCAGCCTTGACCTCTCATGAGGTCACTCCCCTAGGCTTTGAGAACCACTCCTTGAATATCATCTTGGAACGTGTAAAACAAACAACAAGAAGTTTGAAAGGGCTCAGGACTCTGCATTTGAAGAATCAAACTATACTATCTTCTGGGCAAGTCACTCCCTTCCTTGGACATGAGTTATTCCATTCATAAAAGGGAAGAACAGGGATAGATAAGCTTATAGGTCCCTTCTGCACCCAGGCTCTGCCTGATTCTGCTGAACCACAACTTCGGGAGGGTGGCCAAGAGGTCTTTCTGGTCCCTGGCTGACCGCTTTCATCTATTCCCTTAACCTGAGGTCTGAAAACACATTTTTTTTTTTTGGCTTCAAAATACAAAAAGAGAAAACTGAAAAATTGAAATAGATAAAAGTTTAATTAAATGTCTACATAATGGAATGTTATGTAAACATCATTGTTAAGGTTGATGTTCATACAAATTGTATTACACTTAAAAACAATTCGTTCCTTAGAATTACTCACCTTGAAAGGGTTTCCAAATACGTCCAGCGATTGCTAAGGCCTCATAGCCATGAGTTAGTCACAGCCAACCACAAGCAAAATCATTAAAACCTCTTTTAAACATACTACAGCAAATAATAATAATAATTAACGTGAAATGTGGGTGACTTTCAGTATGTTTGATAAAATGTGGGGTGAAATCTCCAAAAGGAAGAGCGTTCAGGGTCTTCAAAAGTCTTAGGATTACTCTAGAACCAGAGTATAGAACATGCACTCATATTTATAAATCACTTACTCTGTGCCAGGCTCTTCTGAAGCCCTTCCCATGCATTAACTCACTTAATTGATGAGACAGTTCTTGAGGTAGACACAATTACCATTCCCATTCTACAGGTGAGGAAACTGGCTAAGCAAGTAAGTGGCACAGCTAGAATGGAAATCAATGGTGCCAGGGCTCATGTTCTCAGCCACCTTACCACATACAAAGCTTGCCATGCCGGGTGTTTCCCCAGGAGAAAACAAGTGCTGGCAGGTTGAGAAGGGAGGGAGGTGCATCTCCCTAATGAGGAGTGCACTTGACACTGCGTTAAATGGAACCCATTCCTCTCTCGGCTCTACTGCTACTTGCTAACTCCTCCGTGGTTCTCTTCTGCCCACAGAGGTCTCCTCTGTAGCTGACTCTCAGCCTTGCCTAATGCTATTAATAATAAAGAGGTGATGTTATTGAGAGCTCTATCAGCATTTTATATAGGACTTAATCTCATTCAATCCCCATGACCTCCATTTCATAAACAAGGGAATTGGGGGTTTAGAGAACTGAAACAATTTGTCCACAGTCACATAGTCTCAGAAATAGTAGAAGCCAGGATTCACACTCCAATCTTATTCTAAAGCCCAAATTCTCTCTTTTTTTTTTTTGAGACGGAGTCTTGCTCTGTCTCCCAGGCTGGAGTGCAATGGCGCCATCTCGGCTCACTGCAACCTCTGCCTCCCAGGTTCAAGTGATTCTCCTGCCTCAGCCTCCTGAGTAGCTGGGATTACAGGCACCTGCCACCAGGCCCAGCTAATTTTTTGTATTTTTAGTAGAGATGGGGTTTCACCATGTTGGCCAGGCTGGTCTCAAAATTCTGACCTCGTGATCCGCCCACCTCGGCCTCCCCAAGTGCTGGGATTACAGGTGTGAGCCACCATGCCCGGCCCCAAATTATCTTTTAATTATAAAGATATACATATTGTTTAAACAATTCAATAAATATGTATACTGAATAACAAAGTGAAGCCTTCCCTTTACCACAATCAGCCTACTGTTCTCTCTCTATCTGAGGCTCTCTTCCTACGTTCCACTGTCCCAGACTTCTGCAAAGTATTTATGTATCTGTTTAGGTATCTGTCCATCTTTCCATTCTTTTCTCAATTATATATTCTCGTGGTTTCACTCTCCATGCGGCAACTCTACATCCAGGATCAAAACGGCATCAAAGGAAGCTTGGAACAGTGACAACCCCTACCTGAGATGTCTCCATTCCGGGGGAAGGCTGCCTGGTGCCTGATATCCATGAGATTAGGGAAAGCAGGTGGGGTCCTGTCCACCCCCTCTATTCCAGAACGCTTGGCAGGGTTTCTGTGGCTAACATGCCAGTTGTATCAACTCCCGCACAGTCTCATGTGAAGTGCCACACTACGTTCTCAACCTGGAAGGTTTCAGGGCTCAGCTGGCTCAGATCCCATGTGTGGGGAGCATTAAGAAAAATAGGCCACCTGTATAAGACTAGTGGCAAAAATCTGACTCGGTGCTACTTCTCTGTTTGTCCTTTACTTAAAAGGAGAACCATAATTAAAATGATCCAGAAAAGAGAACCAAGCAGGAGACTGAGTTGCTTGGGGAAAGGACCATGTTGCATTGATTTTTACATAACCAATGCCAGCAGTGCATCGGGTACACAACAGGTTCTCAATTAATTGTTAAATGGATAAGTTGATAGAATAAAAAACAAGGTCTCTTCCCACTGCTGCATGCAAAAAAGCTCAGAGTGAATTCTTATTTGCAAAGATGAGAGATTTTTAGTCTTCTGATGGCTGTTTCCTCCTCTCTGTTTTCTTTGCCACAGTTTAGGGGCAAAGAAAAGTTTCTACCTCTCTGAAATGGTAGGAGAAACCCTTGGGGCTTAGGTAACAAATCAGGCTCTCTCTTTCACATGTTGTGAGAAAAGAAATATTTAACCATCAGCACCAACAATGTCATTTGCATAAGGGAGTGACTTCCTGGCTGAGAGATGGTCAGAATAACATAGAGCCTAGAGTGAAGGCAGTCAAGTTTGTGAGCCTAGGGCTCTGCTTCTGGTGTCTGCTTCATGGCTGTGTGATCTTGGGCAAGTTTCCTACATTTTCTGCTTCTCAGTTTTGTCATCCATAAAATGATAACAACAGTACCTGCCTCAAATAGTGTGTGGAAGAGGCTTAAACAAGCTAATGTAAGTCAAATCTTGAGCACAATCCCTGGTGTAGCTATACATGTTTGTGTATATATCAGAAGCTCAAAATTCTACCATTAGTATTAATAACATACTCTGAACCCTCATTATAATGCTATTCTCAATATCCCAACACTTGATTTCTATTGACAACTCCTAGGCTCAACTGTTCCTCCCACCTCAGCCTCCCGAGTAGCTGGGAATACAGCCACCATGGATGGCTAATTTTTAATTTTTTTTTTTTGTAGAGACAGGGTCTTGCTATGTTGCCCAGGCTGGTCTCAAACTCCTGGCCTCAAGAAATCCTCCCACCTGGACCTCCCCAACTGCTAGGATTTACAGGCATAGCCACCATGCCCAGCTCCCTTCCTCCCCTTTGTTCTCCTAACCCCATCTCAGCATCTGCCCCCGAGGACCAATGCAACAGGGCAATCAGTACATCTGTGAACTTCCCAACAGTCCTGTGGTGGACTAACCCAGGGACAATGGTCACTGTCCCCTCTGGTGCATTATTTGTCCCCATCAGCCTAGTAAGCTCCGGGGGCTGGCAGCTGGCACAGAGTACGAGGCTGCACTCCTTGACCTTTCTATGCTGCACACAGTCCTGTGCCCATCCTGTCCTCAGATCTGCCAGGGCCATGACCAACCTGCCAAGAGCGTGGGAATTGGTATGTGACCCAGCTCTAGGAGGAGGTGGAGCAAGCGAATGTAGGGGAAGCTGCTCCCCCAGTAGGTTTAGAGGGAGGGTGGGGAGGGGGTGCAGAAGGGCCAGGTGGGTGAGGGTGTGCGGGTAAGGGTGTGGGGGTGTGCAGGTGAGGGTGTGCAGGTGTGGGTGGGGGTGTGTGGGTGAGGGTGTGTGGGTGTGGGTGGGGGTGTGTGGGTGTGGGTGAGGGTGTGTGGGTGGGGGTGGGCGGGTGAGGGTGTGGGGGTGAGGGTGTGTGGGTTAGGGTGTGAGTGCCTGTCTGGCTCTCCTGGGTGGGGCTGGATGAATGTTTGGGCACAGGCAGCGGCTGTCACATGGCCTGGCTGCAGGTTTGGGACAGAAGCCAGGCGGGTGGGCTGTGTCAGGCACAGCTACAAACTGTGCCAAGGAAGTGGACCAGAGCAGGGGCCCAGGGAAACCTCTGCCTTAGCAGAAGATACTGGGGAGACGGGATCAATCGGGGAGGTCTTCCGAGGCACATGGTGCTTCATGGAGCCATGGCCCAGGACAGGGAGGGTGTAACCCTGGCTTGCCTGATTGGCTGAGCACAGACAGATAGAAGAGGGTGTGGGCAGCCCGCTAGGTGGATGCCTAAGTGAGGAAGGAATGGGTGGCCAGGTGACTGAGACCCCCAAGACCAGGACCCCGCTGTCAGGTCTGTGGCTTCCAAACGCCTGTGGGAAGTGTTCCCCTTTGGACACTGAGGCCATCAGCTTCAGCTTCACACCCTTTTCCAGAAAAAGTCCCTCGGGTAACCTCAAAAGTCACTTCTGGCCTTCCCCAGAGGGGAAAGGAGAGGGGTGCCTGTGGGCAGGTGACCCTCAGTGCTGGTGGAGGGCACAGCAGAGAGACTGCCTGTATGTGGGAGGCCCCCAGCAGACCTTGCCCAGATGCCAGCCCTCATTTGAGGCAAACTGTAAAATTATTACAATTTAGGCCAGGCGCAGTGGCCCATGCCTGTAATCCCAGCACTTTGGGAGGCCATGGCAGAAGGACTGTCTGAGCCTGCAGTGAGCTATGACTACACCCCTGCACTTCAACCTGGTCAACAGAGGAAGACACTGTATCTAAAATAAATAGGCTTGGCATGGTGGCTCACACCTGTAATCCCAGCACTTTGGGAGGCCGAGGCAGGTGGATCACCTGAGGTGAGGAGTTCGAGACCGGCATGATCAATATGGTGAAACCTCGTCTCTACTAAAAACACAAAAATTAGCCGGTCGTGGTGGCCCGTGCCTGTAATCCCAGCTACTCAGGAGGCTGAGGCAGGAGAAATCGCTTGAACCCAGGAGGCAGAGGTTGCGGTGAGCCAAGGTCGCGCTACTGCACTCCAGCCTGGGCGACAGAGTGAGACTCCACCTCAAGATAATAAATAAGATGGGAAAGCTACGTTCCTAACATTTTTCAAATGATAATTCATACTAAAGAATGTTACCAAGACTAACGCACAAAGCATTTTATAACTTTTAGACTATTAATAAAAAGTAAGACATGAAAACTGAAGTATTTGTAATCATGCTTAATATTGGAAGTTCCTATACCTGCAATGTAGCAGCTAATTATACAAAAATTTAATAAACGACAAAATAAAATTTTGCAAACAGATTTGTAAAAACCAGAAAGAAATTTGTATTGGCAATTAATGTAACATAATTAAAAATAATTTGTTATGGTCATCTGCTAAATGCTAATTAATGTAAAATGTTAAAAGATTATTTTAATTATGACATCTTAATTTTTAATGGCTTTAAATATTATAAATATAAAAAACAGGTTTCTAAATTTAAAAGAAAAATGACTAAATTTTCAGAATTATTTCGTATTTCTTGTCATACAACATAAGAACACCATCCATGTTTCCTTTTAGATTAGGAACCCTCCCTTATTAGCTCACTGAAAGGAGAATGCTGGAAGGTGCTAGTAAGATGACTGTCTAAGGACTCCAGAACTGAAAGAATGGTTTTGTGGCAATGCATGTCACTTCCCTAACTCAACTGGAAAAGGAGAAAAAAACCTAGTGTTTTCAACCCTCAAGCTAGCAAGAAAACACAGCCCAGGTAAGTTCATCTCTTCTCCAATGGAGCTGGAGTCTACTCAACAAGAGGTGACCATTTAGAATAGAATTGTTCAGAAGTTTGCTAACAATAAGCAGCCAACATAGACACATTCTCCATTAAATCTAAAATTCCCTTTTCCCCCACTAGGGTGCCTGAGGGGCATGTAGCAAAAGTGATCCCAACCACACCACGCAAACTAGCCAGGAAACCTTTTTGCCTTCACACATCTGAGAGTCCCTGAGAAGCCGGAGACAACACGGAGGCAGCAGAACACCAACAGGAGAGTCCCAGCATCACTTCCTGGCCATAGAAGCCCTCCTGAGCAGCAGGCAGAACAGAATCCACTACAGCAATCAGCCTGCCAGAGAAGCCTCTGCCCCTGTGGCCTGAGGTTCCACTTTCCCCAGGTGACACCATGGGCAGGTGGGCTGAAGAAGTGGGAAGGTCAAATCAACTGGCCCAGCCAGGATGCCTCTTTGATGATACAAGTGATACCGGTCTAAGCCTCCCCTCTTCCGCAGGGAAACTAGGTGGCCCAAAGGGTGCCCAGAGGCAGGGGACCTGCCACAGCAGCCATCCTCCTGAGAGGTTCCCTTTCTTCCCCTTGGTGAACTCCCTCCAACACACAGCTTGCCAGCAAAGCACCCTTTGTCTTACATGGGGGGATCCCACCACACCAAAACCCAGCCAAAGAAGCCTTTTGTCCCTTAAGGGTTATCACAACCAAAAACAAAAAGATACACAATAGTAAGCCCCTAAATTCTGTTAAGAATGAAACAGTGCTGCCACTCACACCTGGCTCAGATGCCAGCAGGAGGGCACCCTCCAGAGACCGCAGGAGAAGGGGGCGGACTCCTTGCTCTGGCTGCACCTCCACCACTGTCACTGAGGCCTGTGGTACAGAACCAGCAGCTTCTTACCCACCCCAGGCCGGACCGGGCCCCAAAGCTCTCCTACTCCCCCTTCCTGGCCCCTAGACTTGCTGCTGCTGCCACCATTAGCGCCGATGCCAAAGGAACCAGCGCTGCTGTCACCCTCCATGCACCTGCCCACCCTCCAAGGCTCCTACCACTTGGCCTCCACGGGTACCCTCCTACCGCTCCTGTTGAGCTGCCGTCTCCATCACCGTGGCCGCCACAACAGCAGGAGATGAATCACAGAGCTGTGCCATCTTCAGGCTCCAACCTCCAGTCACCACAGGGGACTCCTCCTTCATCAGCCTGGCTTGGAGTAGCTGGGCAGACAATGCCAGAAAAACCTACAACAGGATGCAGAAAGTGGCAGTGTTAGAGCCTCACCTTGTCATGCTGGCCACTGGGTGGCTGGGGCCAGTTTCAGCAAAGGCACTCACACCCACCCTCCAAAGTCCAGCCTCTCCTCCTAGACCAAGCTGGCCTCCTGACCTGGGGTGGGGACTGGAGACACCACAGTGCCCGGGGCTCCTTGGGGAGCAAGAATAGCAGAAACTCAGACCCAGCCAGTCTTCCCCACCCAAGTACCAGTTCCCATTCCTGAATCCTCCACCCACAGGACCCTGAGCCTCCGTGGTGCCCACTACTCCATGCCTGGGGCTCCCAGATAGTCTCCACAACACAGAGCAAGAGGGCAAGGGCTGGGTAACCATGGTGGGTGTGAGGGCCCTGCGGTGGTCAGAGGATTGCTGCGAAAACTCTGTGCACCCTCCGTGCTCCAACACGAGCAGAAATTGTTCACCCTCTAGAGCCTTGAGTCCGGGAAGAGGAGAAGGGCCCCTTCCTCAGAGGCCACCACTGTCGTGGCCACCTCCACAACCTACTGCTGGCAGCAGAAGTGCAACCTCCCCCCATAGCGCCCCTAACCTGCCCCCCCCCACCACAAACTTAGCCCCTGGATTGTGCCCACAACACACCCAGAGACTGCTGCAGGCAGTGTAACCCTGATAGCGCCCCCAAACCACCCCTCTGCTCCTGGCAGTGTAACACTCGATAGTGTCCACAACCCATCCCCACCACGGGTGTTGCAGCACCAAATAGTGCCCCATCAAACCTGCCCCCCACCCGGACCACAAGCAGCACAGCCCCAGATAGCACCCCCAATCTGCTCCTGTCGCGGGCAGTGAACGCCAGGGGTAGTGCACCCAACCAACCCCCCGACCCCACCTTCCCCTTTCCCCCACGGACAATGCAACATTTGACAGCTCCCCTAAAGCACCCCCGACTGCCTGCCAGTTGGCATTGCTGCTGACATTGTAGCTCACGATAGCTCACCCAACCCGCCCCCTGGATCGGCCAGTGCAGCAGCTAATAATGCCCCTAACCCCCCGCCACTTGCCGCTGGTAGTGCACGACAGCACACACAACCTGCCTCCAACCCCCCGCCACCTTAGGCAGTGTAGACTCTGATAGCGCAGCAAACCTGCCCCACTGCCAGCAATTCAACACCCGATAGCGCCACCCACCAGCCACCCACGGCAGGCAGTGCAGCCCCAAAAGCACACCAAACCCACTCCCCCACCACCCCACAAGCGGGCAGTGCAGCCGCAGAGAGCGCACCTACCCTGCCACCTTTCTACTACTTGACAGAGATGCAGTCTCCGTCGCCACCACCAACCGCAGCCAGGCGAGCCGCCAGGGCCAAGGCTCCAGCCGCCAGCATTGGGCATGGTCCCCACCTTCTCCTAGACCTCTAGCTGGTCAAGAGCAGCTCCAGCTGCCAGCCACCCCACTACCGCTCCGGCTGCCAGCCACCCCCCTACCGCTCCGGCTGCCATCTTACTGCTCCAGCCTCCCGCCTAGCGCTCCGGCCGCCATCTTACTGCTCCAGCCCCCCTCCTACTGCTCAGACTACCCTCCTACCGCTCAGGCCGCCCTCCTAAGACTTCAGCCGCGCTGCCATCTCTGTTGCCACCACCATCCAGAGCGAGACGAGCCATGGTGTTACAGGCTCCAGCCTCCAGCTCCCCCTTCTCCTGGTCCTCTAAGCCGGGAACAGAGCAGCTCGGCAGGAGATACTGGAGAGCCTAAACTGGCGTGAGGCCTCCTCAACATGCACATGGGGTTACGTGGGTGGTTTCTGGACTACATGTTCTGATTGGGTGAGAGAAAACCTCTAGGCCTTCTCTGATTGGACTTTATTTTCATACTCTGATTGGTTGTCCTAAGACTTTCTTTCATCCAATCAGAACATAACAAAGTCCAATCAGAGTAGGCCTCCAGGCTTTCTCTTATCCAGTCCTGGAACGTGTAGTCCAGGAACGGCATATGCATAACTTCAGTACATAAGTGGTGCTGAAGAAGAGTCAGGCCACTCCAGGTTCTTCTGTGTCTGCTCACTGAGCTGCTCCAAGCCCGGCTTAGAGGACCAGGACAGACTGGAGGCTGTAGCCTGCAGCACTGTGGCTTGGCCTCCCTGCAGTTGGTGGCGACAGAGACTGTAGTGTGGCTGGAGCGGTAAGAAGGGGAAAATACTTTTGGGATAGATGGAAGGGTAAAGAGGGTGGTTAGTGCCAAAAGGAAAAAAGGATGGTGAGCCGGAGAAGGCATTGCATAAAGACAGTAAGGAAAAGATGTTGGGGGGAAAAAATGGGGGGTAGATGGAGGGGGAAAAACAGGGTGGTGAACAGGAGGGAGAGAAGGTTTCACAGAAAGGCAGTGGGGAAAAAGTTTTTGGGTAGATGGAAGGGGGTAAGAGAGGGTCGTGAGGGGGGAACAGGGATGAGCAGGAAGGAGAGAAGGTTTGCAAAAATACGGTGGGGAGAAAAGAAAGGGAAAGAAGACTGTGGGTAAAAAGATTTTGAGTGGATGGAGGGGGGAAAAGGGTGACAAGTGGGAGGAGAAAAGAGGGTGCAGAGAGGGAGGGGGAAGAGAGAGTGGCGAGCAGGAGGGAGAGAAGGTTTTGCGAAAAGACAGTGAGGAGAGAAGCTTTTAGGTAGATGGAGGGGGGAAGAGGGTGGCCATTGGGAGAAAGATAAAGAGGGTGGCGAGTGGGAAAGAGAAAAGGTTTTGCGAAAAGACGATAGGCAGAAAAGAAAGTGTAGAAAGAAAAGACAGTGGGTAAAAAGTGTTTGGGTAGATGGAGGGGGAAAAGAGGGTAGCAAGTGGGAGGAGAATAGAAAGTGTGGCCAAAGGGAGTGGGGAAAGAGGACTGGGAAAAAGGCGATGGGGAAAATAGTTTGGGGTAGATGGAGGGCAAAAAGAGGGTGGCAAGCAGGATAGAGGAAAGAAGAGGGCGAGCGGGAAGCGGGGAAGGCTTTGTGAAAAGATGGCAGGGAAAAATTGGGGAGGTAGCTGGGTTAAAAGAGCGTGGTGAGCAGGAGTAGAGAAGAGGCTTTGCAAAAAGATGGCGGGAAAATGTTTTTGGGTAGATGGAGAAGGGAAAGGGTGGCAAGGAGGAAGGGAGAAAAAGACAATAGGGAAACAGTTTTTGGGTAGATGGAAGGGGAAAGAGGGTGGCGAGCAGCAGGAGTGGGGAGAAGGCTTTGGGAGAAGATGAGGGAAATGTTTTTGGGGAGATGAAGGAGCAAAAGAGGATGATGAGAACGGGAGGCGGAAAAAAGGGTGGCCAGGGAGAGGGAGAAAAGACGGTGGGGAAAAGTTTTGGAGTAGATGGGTGGGGAAAACGGAAGTGAGTGGTAAAGTATAGAAGGCTTTGCAAAAAGACAGTGGGGAAAAAATGGTGGGGAAAAAGTTTTGGGGTAGATGGAGGAAGAAAAAGGGTGGCAAGAGAGGGAGCCAAAGACGGTCGGCAAAAAAATTCCTCCTGTTACTGATTTTTTAATACTTTTCCACTCCGGTCAGAAAAAATAATTGATATGATTTCAGGGTTTTTTTGTTTTGTTTTGTTTTGCTTTGGTTTGGTTTGGTTTGGTTTTTTGAGATGGAGTCTCGCTCTGTTGCCCAGGCTGGAGTGCAGTGGTGTGATCTTGGCTCACTGCCACCTCCACCTCCCGGGTTCAAGCCATTCTTTTGCCTCAGCCTCCTGAGTAGCTGGGATTACAGGCATGCGCCACAACGCCCAGCTAATTTTGCATTTTTAGTTCTAAATGGGGTTTCTCCATGTTGGTCAGGCTGGTCCCAACCTCTGTTGATTGGCCCACCTCTGCCTTCCAAAGTGCTGGGATTACAGGTGTGAGCCACCACATCTGGCAAGGATGTTGAATTTTGTTGAATTTTTTTTCTGCATCTATTGAGATAATCATATGATTTTTGTTTTAAATTCCGTTTATGTGGTAAATCACATTTATTGATTTGCATATGTTAAATAGTCCTTGCATCCCAGGAATAAAACCTATGTAATCACGATGAGTTACATTTTTGATATGCTGATGGATTTGGTTTGCTAGCATTTTGTTGAGGATATTTGCATCTATGTTCATCAGCTATTGGCCTGTAGTTTGTTGTTGTTGTTTCCTTGCTAGATTTTAGTGTCAGGATGATATTGGTTTTGTAGAATGAGTTAGAGAGGAATTCCTTCTCCTCAATGTTTTAGAATGGTTGCAGTAAGATTGATACCATCTGTTTTTTTGTATGGTAAAATTCAGCTGTGAATTCATCTAGTTCTGGGCTTCTCCTGCTTGATAAATATTTTTATTACAAATTCAATTTCATAATTAACTACTGGTCTGTTCAGATTTTTTTAAATTTATAGAGAAAAAATATTTATTTGGTTTATAGTTGTGCAGGCAGTAGAAGCATGGGACCAGCACCTGCTCAGGTTTGGATGAGACCTCAGAAAGCATCCAATCACAGAGGAAGGCAAAGGGAGGGCCAGTGTATCACGTGTCAAGAGAGAAATCAAGAGCAAGAAGGGGAACATGGCAGGCTGTTTTAAACAACCAGCTCTCGTGTGACACAACAGAGCAAGGACTCGCTTATCGCCAAGGGGATGGAGCTAAGCAATTTATGAAGGGTCCACCCCCATGATTCAACACCTTCAACTAGGCCCACCACCAACATTTAAGATCACAGTCAACAAGAAATTTGGAGGGTAAACACATCCAAACAATGTCATTTCACCCCTATGGCCCCCAAATCTCATGTCCTTCTCATATTGCACAATTATCCTCTCCCAGTAGTCCCTAAAAATCTCAAGCTGTTTCAGCATCAACTCAAAAGTCCGAAGTCTCATCTGAGCTTCAAGGTATGTTCCTCCATCTATGAGCCTATAAGATCAAAACCAAGTTATTTGCTTCCAATATTCAATGCAGTACAGGTGTTGGGTAAATATTCCCATTCCTAAATGGAGAAGTTGGGCAAAAGAAAGGGGCAACAGGCCTCAGGCAAATCTGAAACCCAGTAGGGCAGACATTAAACTTTCAAGCTCCAAAATAATTCTTGATTTCATGTCCTGCATCCAGGGCACACTTGTGCAAGGGGTGGATTCCCAAGACCTTATGCAGCTCTGCCTCTGTGGCTTTGCAGTGCACAGTCACCATGGCTGCTGTCTTGGATCAGAGTTGAGTGCCTGTGGTATTTCTAGGCTCAGGATGAAAGCTTCCCGTGGCTCTACCATTCAGGGATCTCGAGGTGGCGGCCCCATTCCCACAGCTCCAGTAGGTAGTGCCCCAGTGGGGACTCTGTGTGGAGGCTTCAATCCCACATTTCCTATTGGCACTGCCCTAGTGGACTTTTGGTTTCTTTCTGATTCAGTCTTGGAAGGTGGTGTGTTTGCAGGAATTTATCCGTTTTCTCTAGGTTTTCTAGTTTATGCTCACAAAGATATTCTGAGGATCTTTTTTTATGTCGGTGGTATCCTTTGCAATGTCTCATTTGTCATTTTTGACTGTGCTTATTTGAATCTTCTTTTTTTCTTGCATAATCTAACTAGCAATCTATCATTTTTATGTGTACTTGCAAAGAACCAACTTTTTAATTTTGCTGATTCCTTGTATGGTTTTTTTGGTCCCGATTTCATTAACTTATTCTCTAACTTTTGTTATTTCCTTCTACTAGCTTTGGGTTTGGTTTGTTCTTTTTTAGTGTGTTTGGCTATTTTAGCTTGTTAATTTGAGATCTTTCTCTCTTTTTATGTAGGCATTTAGTGTTATAAACTCTCCTCTTAACATTGTTTTTTCTGTATCCCAGACGTTTTGGTATGTTACGTTTCTATTTTCATTTGTTTCAGGAATTTCTTTAAATTTCTGCCTTAATTCTGTTATTTACACAAAAGTCATTAAGGAGCAGATTGTTTAGTTTCCATGTACCTCTGTGGTTCTGAGAGTTCTTGATATTGACTTCTAATTTTATTCCACAGTGGTCTGAGAAGATACTTAATATAGTTATGACTTTTAAAAATTTATTGAGGCTTATTTTATGACTGAGCATGTGGTCAATTTTAGGGAATGTTCCATGTGCAAATGAGAAAAATGTACATTCTGTGGTTTCTGGGTAGAGTATTCTGTAGATATCTATTAGGTCTGTTTGGTCAAGAGCCCAATTTGAGTCCACAGTTTCATTGTTAGTTTTCTGCCTAATAATCTGCCTAACTAATAATCTGCTTACTACTGTCGGTGGGGTGTTGAAGTCCTCCATGATTATTGTACAGCTGTGTATCTCTTTTCTTAGGTCTAGTAATATTTATTCTAAAAATCCGGTTGCTTCAATGTAGGCTGCATATATATTTGAGACAGTTAAGTCTTCTTGTTGAATTGAACACTTTATCATTATATAATGCCATTCTTTGTATTTTTTTTGTACTGTTGTTAGTTTAATGTCTGTTTTATCTGATACAAGAATAGCAATACCTCTCTGTTTTTGTTTTTCATTTATGTGATGAATCTTTTTCTATCCATTTACTTTGAGCCTGTTGGTATCATTACACATGAGATGGGTCTCTCAAAGGCAGCAGAAGTGTCTTGTTTTTTTATTCAGTTTGCCACTCTGTGTCTTTTAAGTGGAGCATTTCAGCCATTTGCACTCAAGCTTAATATTGATGTGTTAGGTTTTCTTCCTTTTATAGCATTAGCTAGTTACCTTGTAGTCTCAATTGTTTAATTGCTTTATAGGTTCCGTACATTTTGTATTCATGTATGCTTTTATGGTAGCAAGTATCATTCTTTTATTTTCACTAGTGAAACTCCTTTAAACATTTCTTTTAGAGTCAGTCTGGAGGTAATGACTTCCCTTAACATTTTCTCGTCTGGAAATACCTTATTTTCCTTTCTTTATGAAGCTCAGTCTGGCAGGTTATGAAATTCTTGCGTGGCTGGGTGCAGTGGCTCATGCCTGTAACCCTAGCACTTTGGGAGGCCGAGGCAGGCAGATCACCTGAGGTCAGGAGTTCAAGACCAGCCTGGCCAATATGAAGAAACTCCATCTCTATTAAAAATTAGAATTTGCCAGGCGTGGTGGCGGGCATCTGTAATCTCAGCTACTGGGGAGGCTGAGGCAGGAGAATTGCTTGAACCCAGGAAGCGGAGGTTGCAGTGAGCTGAGATCACACCACTGCACTCCAGCCTGGGTGGCAAAGTGAGACTCTGTCTCCAAAAAAAAGAAATTATTGGATGGCATTTTTTTTTTCTTTAAGAAGGCTAACGCTAGGCCCCAATCTTTTCTAGGTTGCAGGGTTTCTGCTGATAAGTCTGTTGTTAATCTAATTTACTTCATAGGTAATTTGGCCCTTTCTTTGAGCTGCCTTTAATATATTTTCTTTTGCATTGACCACGGCTATTCTAATGACTGTGGATGCCTTAGGAATGGGCATCTTGTTTACTATGCCACAGGTGTTCTCTGAATTTCTTATATCTGAATATCAACCTTTCTAGCAAGACTAGCGAAATTTTCCTAAATTATTCCCTTAAATATACTTTCCTAGTTGGTTGCTTTTTATTCTTCTGTTGTAGTAATGCCAATAAGTTATAAGTTTGGTCACTTTACATAATCTCATATTTCTTAAGGGCTTTGTTTTTCAGTTCTTTTTTCTTTTATTTTTGTCTGACTGGGTTACTTTGAAAGACCAGTTTTCAAAATCTAAAATTATTTCTTCTGCTTAGTCTAGTTTATTGTTAAAGATTCCAACTGTGTTTTGAAATTCCATTAGTGAATGTTTTAATTCCAGAAGCTCTATTTGTTTTTTTCTTAATCCAGTTATTTATTTTTCCATATTTCAAATTGTACTTAATGATTGTTTTGCACATAAAATTAAAGTATACATGATTAATGCTTTAAAGGAACTAAGCACCCACCAGACTCAAGAAAAAGTGATGCCCTATGATACATCTGAAAAAAATTTAACCTTTCTATTAATTACAGTTATGCAAATTAAGATAATATGTATTTTTGTCTAGCAAAATAAAATATAAGTATCAGTTTTGGTGAAGCAAAAGCATAATGGACATTAATTTGCCGATTGGTGCTGAAAGTATAAATTGATTCAACATTTTGCAGGGATGTTAGTCAATAAGTGTGAAAATTATATACTAATATCTCTTTACACAGTAATTAAAGTGCTAGGACTTTTTGAAAAGAAAACATGTCTCAATGTGCCCAGATTTGTTTCTGTGAAATGTTTATAAAAAATATTGTTCATTGAAAGCAATACAATATTTAACAATAGAGAGAGTAGGCCTGTAAATCATGGAATTTATTCAACAGGGGATGCCTGAAGAGGGTCTAAAAATAATCTATATGTTTAAATAAATAAATTAAAAGAAATTTATTTTAAAATCCTACATTTAATTATATTAAAAATTATCAATTTACGTGATAGGATTATTGGTAAATTTGAATTTTTTTAGCATTTGTGTTCCTTTATGTGCCAATTTTTCTATTACTGTCTTTTACTCCTTTTGTAGATAAAATATACTGTTTTAACATAAAATAAATGTCATTCATAATTTCTTATACAGTAAGAACATTTTTTTGAGACAGGTTCTTGCTCTGTCACCCAGGCTGGAGTGCAATCATAGCTCACTGCAGCCTCAGCTTCCCAAGATCAAGCTATCCTCCCACCTCAACCTCCCAAGTGTCTGGGACCATGGCTGTGCACCACCATACCTGGCTAACTTTTAAAGAAAGATTATTGTAGAGCCAGTGTCTCACTGTGTTGCCCAGGCCAGTCTCAAACTCCTGGGTTCAAACAGTCCTCCTCCCTCAGCCTCCACAAAGTGTTGGGATTACAGGCGTAAGCCAATGCACACAGGCAGAGCTTTTTTTAAGAAAAGTATGCAATATATTTGGTCTTTAAAAAATGTTTTTGTTTGAAGAGCAAGGTACTCATGCAGGAAAATAATCCAATTTATGGTGCAGTTTAATTTAAAATGAAATCACTTGGCATTATTAAAAAATAAAATTTTGCCCAGGCACAGTGGCTTACTCCTGTAATCCCAGCATTTTGGGAGGCCAAGGCAGGTGGATCACCTGAGGTCAGGAGTTTGCGACCAGGCTAACATGATGAAACCCCATCTCTACTAAACACACACACACACACACACACACACAAATAGCCGGCTGTGGTGGCGCATGCCTGTAATTGGAGCTACTTGGGAGGCTGAGACAGGAGAAATCACTTGTACCTGGGAGACGGAGGTTGCAGTGAGCCGAGATCGCGCCATTGCACTCCAGCCTGGGCAACAAGAGTGAAACTCTGTTTTTAAAAAAATTGAAATTAAAATAAATAAAATTTCGAGTGTCCATTTGTTAACAAGAAAATAATTTAGAAAAACATTATTCTAATGCAATCTACAATTGTGTAGAATCACTGTAGAATATACCACAGCATACTGTTGAGTTTTATTTGCTATTAAGATTAAGTGGGGCCGCACGGCCAGACAGGCCCTCCTCCTGAGGCCGGGCAGGCTGCACGCCTGCAATCCTGCCCCTGTGGTCCTGGGGAAGCCCGGACCAGCTCAGGAGAACCCGCGAGCCCAGCGGCGCCTGCCCTGGGCTGGAGCCCTGCTTGCCGGCGCACCGGCTGGGAGCGGCTTCTGGGAGCCGGGCGGCCCCCGCGGTGCAGGCGCGCTGCTAATGGCCTTGCGAGGCTCACTGGGTCTGAGAGGTCAGAGGCTGCGAGTGTCGCTGCTGAAGGCTGTGGTGGACCCGGCTGGATTGCGGATTCTGGGCTAGATCGCAGATTTGGGATCACGGATTGGGGATTGGATCGCGGATTGGGGGTTGGATCGGGGATTTGGAGATGGATCGGGGATTTGGGGCTGGATTGGGGATTTGGGGCTGGGTTGGGGGCAGTGAAAAGGTGACAGGGAGTTGCCGCGGCTCAGGAGCCGGTGGTCGGGTGTCTGAGAAGACTACAGGCGCCCGCCACCACGCCCAGCTAATGTTTGTATTTTTAGTAGAGACGGGGTTTCACCGTGTTGGCCAGGCTGGTCTCAAACTCCTGACCTCGTGATCTGCCCGCTTCGGCCTCCCAAAGTGCTGGGATTACAGGCGTGAGCCACTGCGCCCCGCTATCACTTCCTTTCTTATCTGTGTACCTTATCTGTATACCCGGCCTTATCACTACTATTATGGGGTTTTTTTTTATTTTTTGTTGTTATCGTTTTTTTTTTTTTTTTGAGATGGAGTCTCGCTCTGTCGCCCAGGCTGGAGGTCAGTGGCGGAGCAGTGTTCTCCTCAGCACAGACCCGGGCGGGCCAGGGTCTCCACGAGGGCGGAGCGGCGTTCTGCTCAGCACAGACCCGGGGGACACTGCGAAGGCAGAGCCGCGTTCTCCTCAGCACAGACCTTGGGGGCACTGCCTCGCTTTGGGACAACTCCGGGCTGCATCCACGGTGAATAAAATCCTTCCTGTTTGCAGCCCTGAATAATCAGGGTCAGAGACCAGTTAGAAGGGTTCAGTGTGGAAAACGGGAAACCAAAAGCCCCTCTGAATCCTGCCCACCGAGGTTCTCCCCAGCCAAGGCGAGGCGGCCACAGTGCAAGATTCACACCGCAGCCTCGGAAGACAAATGCGGCATTCCTAATGCAGACATGACACCCAAAGTATGACACCCCCATTGCTCATGTAACAAGCACCTGTAATGCTAATGCACTGCCTCAATACAAAAATATTAATATAAGATCCGCAATCCCCTCGCTGCCCTGCAGTCCTAAGACAGCGATCATAATAATCAACATTGACATAGTCAATACAAACGTAGTAACGAACCTAGGGTTAAGTTGGTGTTAGGGTTAGGGGTTAGGGGTTAAGTTTAGGGTTAGGGGTTGGAAATAAGGGCTGGGGTCAGAGTTAGGGGTTAGGAGTCAACGTTTAGAGTTAGGGGTTAAGAGAGGTTAGTGGTTTGGGATTAGGGGTTAGGGTTGGGTTAGGGTGAGGGTTGTGGTTAGGGGTTAGGGTTACAGGTTAGGGTTAGGATCAGGGGTTGGGGTCAGGGTTAGGGGTCAGGGTCAGGGATCAGGGTCAGGGTCAGGGGTCCCACTCTGTGGGTTGTCTATTTACTCTGCTGACTGTTCCCTTTGCCATGCTAAAGCTCTTTAGTTTAATTAAGTCCCAGCTATTTATCTTTGTTTTTATTGCATTTGCATTTGGCTTCTTGGTCATGAAATCCTTGCCTATGCCAATGTCTAGAAGGGTTTATCCAGTGTTACCTTCTAGAATTTTTATAGTTCAGGAATTAGGTTTAAGTTCTTAATCCATCTTGAGTAGATTTTTGTATAAGGTGAGAGATGAGAATCCAGTTTTATTCCCCTACATGTGGCTCGCCAATTATCCCAACATCATCATGTGTTGAAAAGGTGTCCTTTCCCCACTTTATGTTTTTGTGTACTTTGTCGAAGATCAGTTGGCTGTAAATATTTGGGTTAATTTCTGGGTTCTCTCTTCTGTTCCATTGGTCTATGTTCCTATTTTTAAACCAGTACCATGCTGTTTTGGTAACTATGGCCTTATTGTACAGTTTGAAATCAAGTAGTGTGATGCCTCCAGGTTTGTTCTTTTTGCTTAGCCTTGGTTTGGCTACATGGCTCTCTTTTGGTTCCATATTAATTTTAGAATTGTTTTTGTAATTCTGTGAAGAATGACGGTGGTATTCAGATGGGGATTGCATTGAATTTGTAGATTGCTTTTAACAGAATGGTAAATTTCACAATATTGGTTCTACCCATCCATGAGCATGGGGATGCATTTCCATTTGTTTGTATCGTCTATGATTTCTTTTCTTTCTTGTGTTTTTTTTTTTTCCAGAGGGAGTTTCAGTCTTGTCGCTGAGGTGGGAGTGCAATGGTGTGATCTCGGCTCACTACAACTTCTGCCTCCCAGGTTCAAGCGATTCTCCTGCTTCAGCTTCCCGAGTAGCTGGGATTATAGGCATGCGCCACCGTGCTTGGCTCCATCCATGATTTCTTTCAGCAGTGTTTTGTAATTTTCATTGTAGAGGTCTTTTGATTCCTTTGCTAGGTATATTCCTAAGTTTTGTTTTTTGTTTGTTTGTTTGTTGCAGCTATTGTAAAAGGGGTTGAGTTCTTGATGTGATTCTCTGCTTGGTAGCTGTTGATGTATAGAAGAGCTGCTGCCTTGTGTCTGTTAATCTTGTATCTGGAAACTTTGCTGAATTCTTTTATCAGTTCTAGGAGCTTTCTAGAGGAGTCCGTAGGGTTTTCAAGGCGAAAGATCATATCGTCAGCAACCAGTGACAGTCTGACTTCCTCTTTACCGATTTGGATTTCCTCTATTTCCTTCTTTTGTCTGATTGCTCTGGCTAGGACTTCCAGTACTTTGTTGAAGAGGAGTAGTGAGAGTAGGCTCCTCGTCTTGTTTCAGTTCTCAAAGGGAATGCTTTCACCTTTTCCCCATTCAGTGTTATGTTGGCTGTGGGTTTGTCATAGATGGCTTTTATTACATTAAGGTATGTCCCTTGTATGCCTATTTTGCTGAGAGCTTTAATCATAAAGCAATGCTAGATTTTGTCAAATGCTTTTTCTGCATCTGTTGATATAATCGTGTGAGTTTTTTAAATTCTGTTTATTTGGTGTATCACATTTATTGATTTGCATATGTTAAACCATTCCTGTATCACTGGTATGAAACCCACTTGATCATGTTGGATTATCTTTTTGATATGTTGTCAGATTCAGTTAGATAGTATTTTGTTAAGGATTTTGGCATCTGTGTTCATCAAGGATATTGGTCTGTAGTTTTCTTTTTTGGTTATGTCCTTTCATGGTTTTGGTATTAGGGTGATGCTGGCTTCATAGAATGAATCAGGGAGGGTTTCTTCTTTCTCTGTCTTGTGGAATAGTGTGAAAGGATTGGTATCATTTCTTCTTTGAATGAAGGAAGACATTCTTTGAAGTCTGGTAGAGTTCTGCTGTGAATCTGTCTGGTCTTCGGCTTTTTTTGTTGTCAATTTTAAAATTACCATTTCAATCTTGCTGCTTGCTTTATTGGTCTGCTTGGGGTATCTAATTCTTCCTGATTTAAGCTAGGAGGGTTGTATTTTTCCAGGAATTTATCCAACTCTTCTAGGTTTTCTAGTTTATGTGCCAAAAGGTGTTCATAGTACCCTTGAATAACCTTTAATATTTCAGTGGTGTCAGTTGTAATATCCCCTGTTTCATTTCTTAGTGAGGTTATTTGGATTTTCTCTCTTCTTGGTTAATCTTGCTAATGGTCTATGAATTTTATTTATCTTTTCAAATAACCAACTTTTTCTTTTATGTTTTGTATTTTTTGTTGTTGTTGTTGTGTCAATTTCATTTAGTTCTGCTCTGATCTTGGTTATTTCCTTTGTTTGCTGGGATTGGGTTTGGCTTGTTCCTGTTTCTCTAGTTCCCTGAGATGTGAACTTAGATTGTCTGTTTGTGCTCTTTCAGACTTTTTGACGTCGGTGTTTAGGGCTACAAACTTTCCCCTTAGCATTGCCTTTGCTGTTTCCCAGAGGTCTTGATAGGTTGTGTCATCCAGTTTGAAGAAATTTTTTACATTTCCATCTTGATTTTGTTTTTCACCCAATGCTCATTCAGGAGCAGGTTATTTAATTTCCATGTATTTGCATGGTTTTGAAGATTCCTTTTGGAGTCGATTTTCAGTTTTATTCCACTGTGATCTGAGAGAGTGCGTGATACAATTTCAGTTTTCTTCAATTTACTGAGACTCGTTTTATGACCTATCATATGGTCTATCTTGGAGAAAATTCCATGTGCTGTGGAATAGAATGTGTATTCTGTGGTTGTTGGATGAAATGTTCTGTATGTATCTGTTAAGTCCATTTGTTCCAAAGTGTAGTTTAAATCCAGTGTTTCTTTGTTGACTTTCTCTCTTGATGACCTGTCTAGTGCTGTCAGTGGAGTATTGAAGTCCCCCACTATTATCGTGTTGCTGTCTATCTCATTTCTTATGTCTACTAGTAATTGTTTTATAAATTTGTGAGCTCCGGTGTTAGGTTCATGTATGTTTGGGATTGTCATATTTTTCTGTTGGATGAGACCTTTACCATTATATACTGTCTGTCCTTGTCTACTTTAGCTACTGTTGCTTTAAAGTTTGTTTTGTCTCATATGAGAATAGCTACCGCTGCTCGCTTTTGGTGTCCATTTGCATGAAATGCCTTTTTCTATTCCATAATCATTCTGATGCAAAAACAATTGTAACTCTCCTTCTAGTGCCTACATTTCCTATGAGCCCCAGTTGTGCATAGCAGAAAATACGGAAGCATCTAGGAAAACCTAGGGGCAGGAGGGGCTGGGAGGGAATAAGGCCTTTCAAGGTGTTTAAAGAAGCGACAAAGATGAAGAAGCAGGCATAGTTTCTGAAGACATTTTTTGGTCTTTGTTGTTGTTTGCATTTACCTAATTAGTTCTCAACTGCAGAGGCACATTAGAATATTCTGGGGAATTTTTAAAATACGACTGCATGGGCCACCTGTCATATACACTGATGTAATTGGCTTGAGTTGGGGCCTAGGTTTCTCTCTCTCTCTCTCTCTCTCTCTCTGTTTCTCTCTCTCTCTCTCTCTCTATATATATATATATATATCCTGTTTTGTATATATCTAAGTATCTGTAGATATATACAGAACAGGGGATACCAGTGTGTACCTACCATTGAAATCAATTGTTTTCAAGTCTTTTTAGGTCTTATTCTCAGATGGTCTTGGGTAAATGGTGGCTGATTGCCTTCAGCATCTAGAATAAAACACTCTATGGCCCAGAGGAATTCCAGCTGGCATCTATGATCTTTTTCTCTTGAGGTAGAGCAGCTGAAGGGAGGATTATCTTCATGTTGAGTCTGATGGCAGGGTAATTTGCTTCATGTGGAGGCAAAGGGATATTGTTAGTTTTCCAGCTACATTGGGAGTTCTAAGTAGCCACATCTCAGGCTAATAGGAAGTCCAGATTGGTTCAAACCTTTTCTTAATTATCCTGTGTAGGAATGGACCACGCAGTATCCCTCAAGGAAGAATCAAGAGTGTTTCCACAGAGAATATACATATTTCATCTCTTTCTCTGCTGAATGGATCCCCACTGAAAGCCATGAATTAATTACTCTCATTAGACCCTGTAGAATCCCAGTTTATGGCAGTGACATTAAAAACATCTAGTTCATGACTTGGATTAGGCAGCCTGTAAAATGACTTCCAGTGATCCCTGCTTTCTGGTATGTATGCCCTTGTATAATACCCTCCTCATGAGTGTAGGCAGAGGTAACATCACTTTTGAAACTAGGTTATATATATTAAAACAAACAAACAAACCTGTGGCTTCCATTTTGGGTACTTTATCTCACACTCTCTGATTTCTTGCTCCGTGGGAAACAGACTGTAATGTTGTAAGCAATGCTATGGAGAGGTCCATGTGGTAAGGAAGTGATAGGTCCTGATAAGAGCCAGTGAGGATCTAAGGTGGATCCCTTTCTGAGTTGAATATTGAGATAGATGACTACAGCCCTGGTCTACACCTTGATTGCAGCCTCATGAGGAATTCTGACCAAAAACACTGTGCTGAACCACGTCCAGGCTCCTGAGCCACATAAACTATGAGAAAACAAATATTTGTTTCAAGCCATTAAGTTTTAATTTGTTACACAGCAATAGATAACTAACACCTTTGTTACAGAGCAATAGATAACTAACACATGGAAGGATTCATCAAGAGAAGCGTTTTTCATAAGTGAAATGTTATTTTCATCTCACATTTCAATTATTAGAAAATAAAAGAAAATAAATTTGGATAGGCTCTCATAAATTCAATGATAAGAACTTGGAAAATGCAACCACATGATAACCAGGAAGTAAAAGGAAAACATAAGAGGCATCTTCCCAGACGAGAGTAAATATCTGGTTCCCTGAGAAGTGTAGTTTGAGAATGGAGAAATCAGATGTTACTGGAAAGAGGCTAGGACTGTATTATTTCTTGCTTCCTGTCAAGTCTTTTCAACTCAAGAGAAAGTAAATTTTCTTGACAAACCATTCAAAATTAAAGGATAGGTGGGAGTACATGTGTCCCTGAAGGAACAAGTGACCTTCATTGAAAGCAGCAGCTTGGTTGAATAAATACTGTACAGAAGTGGAATAAAGAGTAGCTGACAACAATGCTGAAATAGTTACACATGAAGTTTTAATGAGCTATTTCATATTAAGATACATATTGAGAATTCAAACCAGAGAGACCAGTTAATTGATATTTTCCCAACTCTGTTTTAGGGTGATCATAGAAATGATACCCACAAGTTAGTCACAGTGGCCTGCATCCATTTTGATATATCAGTGACGTATTCTGATTGGCCAGTAATCACCCATACTGACTGTTAAATATTTTTGTTATCACTCCTATGCATGGTGAATTTGAGTTCTGGTTTTCTTTAGCCTTGTGTTATTTATGTGTAAAGTTGGATCATGGAAGGCAAAGAATCTCTCGTGTGTCATTCACGCTCAAGTAAATGGCAGTGGGATAGGGATGTAAATGAAACTGCATGATAAGCCCTGCAAGTCATTCTGATGTATCGATTTTGCTTACTGGTGTTTAATTGCAGACATTGTCATATTAACGCAACCACTAATACATTATGGAGTAAGATGCAAAAATCACATGAGTCTTAACAGAAAAGAAATGTGATTTCTGTGGTGGGCCCCTTCTGCATTATTCTCTAACTTCTTGTTTTATACCTCTACTGTTAGAGAAATTTCAGTAGAAAATCGTGAGGGGCACTGTTTTAGAGTTTTTGTTGTTATAGCAATGCTTTTACTACAGCTAGGTCCCCTTGTACATCTTTATGTTCTTTGGCAGTCTAGAGAATCAGAAGAGCAAACTCTATGAGATAGAAACTCTAAGAATTTACCTCCAGCATCCCTTCTCTTCTGTCATTAAATTGAATTCATAGCCAACTCAAAGATTGACAATTTATACTATGGTTTTTATATTTTTATATTATAATTTATATTATGGCTTATGTCAAAATGTTTTGTTCACTGCTTTGAAAGTATCTTTTGTTTACTTTTGTTATCATTTCATATTTTAATTTTTTCCTTTCTAATTGTTAGAAACTCATGTATTTAATTTTATCTTTCAAAGAACATTTTTAAAAGGCTTACTCTGCTTATATGTATATTTTGCACAAAGCTTTCCATTCATAAACAAAAGGTGAATAGGAATCAGAATTGAAAACTACATAATTTCTTTTCTCCTTTTGAGTCAAATCATCACAGTATAGATTAGTCATTGTGTATGAAGTGCATTGCCAAGACATAGTCACATTTGTGTACAAATGTAAAGGCTATATCTCAATAGAAATAAAAAAACAAAAAAATGCAGAAGACCATTAGCTAATAATACTAATAATCTAGTATAGAAAGCATGTGCCAACTGATCTAGACTCTTGTGACAGTTGTATATCTACTCAGCTGCTTGACCTTAGGTGTATCAAAATCTCGATTTCCTAGACTACAAATGAGTAAGAGGGATGGAGGCCCCTTACAGTTTTAAGATTCTGGAATTCTAAGTGGGTGTAACTGGAGCAAATTTTATTTTCTAAAATTTGCATAATAAATTTTAAAATAGGAGAAAAACTAATAATTAAAGTACATATTTCTGGAAGTCTTTTTTAGGTGACTTATACTACCAGGAATGGATTTACCACTAAATATTGGTTTTGCCTAATTCAGCATTGCTATGTAATTTGATGGAAGTATAACTCCATAGACAAAGAGATTTGGTCCTAACATAGCTTGTATTTTATATGTATATACACTATTTCTATTTAAATTTCTGTGTAGTCATGTTTTACCCTTTTAAAATGAAGATTAGTTTTATTATGTATTTTCTTTTGTCTATAAACATTCAGTGAATTCACACTGAAAACTGATTATGAACAGATAGTCTGCTAGGCACTAAGGAAACACATATGAAAAACTAAGTCCTCCTCTGCCCTCAATATGCTCACAAGACTACAGTTACTGAAGCCTGACCTCAAAACCTAGCTAACAAAGTCCTTGAATCAGGTGATAGTTCAGAATACCATTCATGCTCTCTCCCAAGAGTATATCTGAGGAAGGGCAGTTCTTTCTAGTTTTCTACATCCTGGTCGTATAGGTCAACCACAGGAAAATTAAATGAATCTATTGGTTTGTTGACCTAGCCTTTTCATATAAGCCTCATCTATAAATGTATTACCAAATACTATTTATGTAAAGGGACTTGAATGACAAATATTTTGAAATTAAAACCACAATGGTTAGCATAGCTTTTAAATTAGATAAATGTTGACCTCCCATTGGTGAACATATAAAGTGCTACCAAGATCTGCCAATGAAAGACTTTGGAAGTGGAAATTCATCTTTTTAATAATCCTGTTATCTGTAAGCTGACCTCAAGCCTTCATGACATTCAAGGCCCCTTATTCCTAACTGTATCTTCTGTTTTGGGCATTGTGCTCTTGCCATCTAACAGGAAAACAACTTTCAGTGCTGCCACCTTTTGAACAGCAGAGATTTCTAGAGATTAGAAAATTACTAAATTTAAATATACATAGTTTTAAAATATGATACTTTTCTACCTATGCATTCAAATATATTCTAACTTTTAAATCCTGTAAATACTTATATTTGTAATGATTTTACTTATATGATCCAATTAATTGGCAAGAATATGTGGTGAAAGATTTTTTACATGTTTGTATTGTTCTGTGTGAGACATCTACTGTAAGCATTGCTTCAGGTTCTCATTTTTGTCTGCCTTCCAGGATTTGCTGGCCCAAGTGCTGTGTGCTAGACTTAGTCTCGGTCACAGAGGGGAGGGAAACTTGCAGTTGAGCCAGACAGTTTTGTTATTCCTTTAAAATTAAAAGCATATGAAACAGATACAGCTTATTAAGGTTTTTTTAATAAATAAAATAAACTTAAATAACAAAATAATAAAGTTCAAAAACAACTTAAAATATAGTTTAATGCTGTAACCATAGGAAAAAAGCATGATTATTTGTGGGAAGAACATTATTAAAAGCCATATTCCCAAATACGAATTATACAAAGATAGATTATGTTACTTGAAAAAAACTTAAAGATTTCTCAATTTTACTTTGAGAAATTATAAAATGTTATTTTGTGGCAAGTAAGATGAAGTACAGTATTATCATCAATCACTGTTGCTATCTTATATACAAGATTTTTGGAAACATCCTTTTAGCAATACCCTTTCCACTTGAGCAGCATTAGAAATTTTGTTCTTGTTAATAGGTATAAGCATGTTCTAATCCTGTACTTTTGTTAAATTATCTATTTTATTGACTTTCGTAATAGATTTTTTTGAGAATATTCTTTTTTTCTGATTAGAGTTTAAGTAGATTATAATTTTTCACTAGAAAGCATTTAAAATGCTGCTCATTTTCTATAGTTAGTGTGGCTTGATTATCTGACAAATCCTGCCAGCAGCCTGTAGGTCTGATATACCTTATATAACATCATCTGCATTATTATTATTATAGCAGCCATTTTATAAGCAGATAGGAATATTTAAATAATCATTATCAGATAATCAAATCTAACATACTCTTAAGGGTAAATTAATTTAAGAAAAAAATTACTATTACTAACATCATGATTGTACAACCAGTTTTACAATTTTGTACAACCTTTAGTTACTAAATCTGATTTTTGTGTATACTTTTCAAATCTTTCTTTAATGCAGTGTCTTAAAACAAACATAAATGCACAAGTCAAGCTTGATCAGTTTTTCAGTAGTTTTCCAGCCTTTCTTGATTACTAAAAAATAAAAGGAAAGAAAATTTTGAGAAGAAAGAAAACAGTCCACTTAAAGAAATCTCCCTACTGGAACTGGTTCTTTATATACCATATGCAATTAAGTTATTGCCATAGGAAGAAAGTGGGCTGTTTTTTGTTCTTTCTTCGTTTTTTTTCCTCTTACAGGAATCCCCTTTTGATTTAAGGCAACAAACATTTCCCCTCCATTGTGTGTCCATTTAGCTGCTGCATATGTGTTGTAATGGTTTTCCAGAATTAGTTCTTTGAAGTTACAATCTTCATTGCATTCTTTCTGTTCAAACAAACAAACAAACACACAAACATTATCCAAATGATTTTTAGAGAGGCTCAATTAAACGAAGAGTAAGCAGCAATATTTGGTAGAATTGAAACATACACAACTTTTTTTAACCCTCAGATTGAGCAGGCCTAATGTGGTTTATTAGCTAGACTTATGTAGTATATTTGCATAAAAAGGTATCTTAAATTTGAAATAAAGACACCACATAATGCACAGCTAGTGTGAAATATGTGTAGCTTTTTGGAAGTTCATGTCAACTATTCTTTAAAATTAGGACCTATTTCCCCCTAAGTAACAGGCCTCAAATTACTCTTCCCACATCACTCATTCTTTAACCACTGGAAATTTGGTAGAATTAGCAGAACCTCTGCCTCCCTCAGGTGAGAGACTTGTTTCACAACTTTTCTTTATTTACTTGTACACTGTCTTCAGTGGTAATGGAAGATAAAAGGTTAATTTGTTTGTTCATCCATGCAACCATTTGTTCATTCAATTAAACCTGTATCATTATATAATTAGCCTGTTCCAGGCATTATGCTGAGCTGTGGGAATACAAAGGAAAGCCAATTATATTTTATTACAGTGGGATGAACTGTTACATATTTTGCATTGTAGTGAAGTGGGAACAATGTGAATAATTACAGTTCAAAGCCCATGATTGTGAGATTGATGTTGATGAATGAACTAAACATTTCAAGATTTTTTCCCAAGAATTTTCATGTCAGCAATGTGCAAATTGGGTGAACTTTAGCAAAAAGAGCTTTAATACTGGCAAATGGAAATTTTGGATTTTAAATATCTAAAATGCACATGGAATGTTAGAGCTGGAAGGCTCCTTAGAGGTCAGCTAATTCAACTCATTTTACAGATGAAGAAACCAGAATCCAAAGAACAAGCCATTTGTCCAAAGTCACACAGAAAACATTTTTTCTTAACATTTGAGTATAAAGTGTTTTAATAAAATCATTAAATTATACAGTTGGAGATAGATTAAGTCCATGTTTACTTTTCAGAATGGTGAGATATTTCAACAAAAATGAGTTTTAAAAATTAAGCCTAAGCTATCAATTATCAATACCTTTGCATAGAGTTTTCCTTCCTCGTTCATTGCAAGATAGAATTCACTTTCCACCCCTTTGATTGCCACAATCCGAACTGCCACTGTCCTGATTTCCATGATATCTGCAAGGAATCACAGAAAGACATGTCAAGTATTCGTTCAGCTTTGCAAATGATCCACGAATGGCCATTTGTTCTTATTTCTGTTTTAATCGGAAGTCTTTAAAATTTTTAATGTGATTATTTACTCAGCCCAAGACCCCCGACCCACAAGAGATACACACAAACACCAGAATAGTCATTATATAAGGCAAGTGCAAACTGACGGTTTTTTATTTTGTGGAAAATGTGCCTGTATCGAATAAATAGTTACATATTTGAGTTCAGCTTTTTATTCTCTAGAATTAAATTTCTAATTTACTATAATAATAATAGCTAATGTTTATTGAACGCATACCACATGCCAAGGATTATTGCATTGCTCTTATGTATTAACTCATTTACTCATAACCACAGATTGAGGCAGGTAGTCTTGTTATCCCAGTTTTACAGATCAGGAAACTGAAGCACAGAGAAACTAAGAAATTTGCCCAAATTCTTATACCTGATAAGTAGCAGAACTGGAATTTGAACCCACACATTCTGGCACTTAATCATTATATAATTACTTTTCTATTTGGATAAACTTTATCTTAAAAATTATGGCCAACAGAATAGCTCTTGAATATACTGAAAGTGAAGAAAATTCTAATTAAAGCAATTGTAAATGATGGTAAACAGAGCCTACTGCCTTAAAATAAAAGGTTGTTTTAAACTGATAGTATTTTGATACATGAAAAGACCATTTAAAACAAAATTATGAATCCTGTTTATATAATACTTCATAACTTTATACCTTTGTAATTAACTTTTAAATCTTTGTTGAAATAGTATTTACAAAACGTGTTTACACAAGAATGGTAACTTACCATTTTCCTTTATTATATATATCTTCCTTAAATCCTGTGTTTTAATGACACACTAAATAAAGTAAAATCTCAAGAAATTTATTAAAATGATGTAAGAATTAAAATTTTAGTGTACTTTTATGCAATTTGGTATTAATTACATTTTCTACATGAAGGTACAGTGCTGAGACATCCTTTTACCTATGTCTAACACAGTGCAAAGAAAAGTCAAAGTGTCAATTTTCTGTGTGATTGGGCCTTCAAAAGCTATTTTCTAAAATATTGACTTAAAGAAAAAGCTAATTGTTTTGCCCCATACCTTTACTTCATTCTCTTATTTATTTTTTTGACTTCATTTTTGCTACCTGGATAATAAAATTTCTATTCATGTCATTGGGATTTAATGTAGCCCAGCTAATATTTCTCATTTGCCTCACATATATGTTGCATATAGAAGCCCTTTTCCCAATATCCTATACTTAACACTAGTCAGAGCTCGTCCAGTTGAGAGTTTCACAGCTACTCCTCCAGAAATTGGGTTTGATTAAGAAAATGTAAATGAATGGATATTAATCTTTTTATATATTTATTAAGCATTATCACAATGCATACAACCCTACTGTAGTTTTAGGACACAAATTAAGAAAAACAGCCCTGGTTTCTGATACCAGAAGTTAAAACCTAATAGAAACAGCAAACACGTCCATATATTTTGAAGAATTTTGAAGAACACAGGCCTGAATAGGCCAGAGAAAATTTTACTAATTGCTTACAAGCACATGAAGGATTATGACGTTGATGCATTCATGTAACGTTCAACAGATCTTCACTGAGAGCCAATTCTATGCTAGGCTCAATTCACAGACAAGCCTTGCCCTTTTAGGGCACTCTATTTGGTAACTACAACTTCATTGCATTAAAGGAAGCACAAAGGGAAATAACATGCAGAAGAATACTATTAGGTTAAATTTGTACTAATACAATGAAAAATACTGAAGAAATTCATTGATTCAGCATATTTGCAATACCTCCAAAATGGAATGAATGTATCAGTTAGGTTGGTGCAAAAGTAATTGTAGTTTTGCCATTACTTTTATGACAAAAACTGTAATTACCTTTGCACCAAACTAATATTTAAAGGACATATGGAATAGTTGGTTTCTAAAGATCTTAGCATTGTAAAATATCATTAAAAAGTCAATATTTTCTTTTCCTTCAAGTCTCTTTACTCCTGCCATTCCTCCCTGTATTTAATATATTTTCTTTTAGATAAAAAGAGAATGCTGATGCACAAGCTTAGAGTGTCTTTCTTGATCAGTTATTAGGGACTAGAATCTGTAAAGTTTGCTGGCTTTTCTTTTACAGAACAATTGTAAAACATAAATGTTGACTGATAGAGTTAGTATTAATTATGATAGGCAGACGTCTTCCCTTTTTGGTCCTGTCATGACAATAAGTTCATATTGTCCCACTCCCAAAACATTTTCCTCTATCCCCTGCCTGTCTATTGCCCACTATTTCTTTACTGCACTTTACAAGAGGTGATGGCTGGATGTGGTAGCTCACATCTGTAATCCCAGCACTTTGGGAGGCCGAGTCAGGCAGATCACTTGAGGTCAGGAGTTCAATACTAACCTGGCCAACATGGCGAAAAATACAAAAAATTATCCGGGTGTGGTAGCGGGTGCCTGTAATCCCAGCTACTCAGGAGGCTGAGGCAGGAGAATTGCTTGAACCCAGAAGGCGGAGGCTGCAGTGAGCCAAAACGGTGCCACTGCCCTCTAGCCTAGGCAACAGAGTGAGACTCTGTCTCACCAAAAAAAAAAAAAAAAGAAAAATTAGTTGGGCATGGCGGTGAATTCCTATAATTCTAGCTACTTGAGAGGCTGAGGCAGGAGAATCACTTGAACTTGGGAGGCAGAGGTTGCAATGAGCCGAGGTCACACCACAGCACTCCAGTCTGGGTGGAGTGAGGCTCTGTCTCAAAATAATAAATAAATAAATAAATAAATAAATAAATAAATAAATAAATAAATGAAAATAAGGTGGTGAACATTTTTAATCATATCTCTCCACATATTAGGGTTAAGGATACCACAAATTCTCTGTAAAGATTCTACGTTTAGCTGAGATGAGAATAGACTTATATTCTTAATTGCTTGACATATTTAAAAAATACCATTCACACTGGGAAATCAACATATCTAAAAGACAATTGCTTGGGGAGAGCATTAAGCAGTGTTGGCAGAATCAGTACCTTATCAACCCTATTTTCTAGTCTATTTTGTTCCATGTCCTACGACCCTCTTTTATTCAAGAAAAGCTCAAGAATAAGGAAATTAACATTATCACTCATTTGTTCAGTTGCAGTGTGGGGAGTAATGTTCCTTTCAATATGCACAAATATTTATAGAAGTGTTAAATATGGGCCGGGCGCAGTGGCTCACGCCTGTAATCCCAGCACTTTGGGAGGCCAACGCGGGCGGATCACCTGAGGTCAGGAGTTCAAGACCAGCCTGGCAAATATGGTGAAACCCCATCTCTACTAAAAATACAAAAATTAGCCAGGCATGATGCTGGGTGTCTGTAATCCCAGTTACTCGGGAGGCTGAGTCAGGAGAATCATCTGAACCTGGGAGGCGGAAGTTGCAGTGAGCTGAGATTTCACCATTGCACTCCAGCCTGGACAACAAGAGCTAGACTCTATCTCACCAAAAAAAAAAAAAAAAAAAAAAAGAAAAAAGTATTAACTATGAAATCCTACCCCTCCAAATCAGAAGCCACGAAGTTGCTCAGAAAACATAATAGAAAAATATGTAATATGCAGATATTGTTAGTTACCAATATGAGTTAATTATACTTGGTCTTTTTGTCTACAGTGTATCTGTTGCCTCACATAAAACAAATAGAAGAGGCTGTCTTTCTTTGTGGATTTCCATTTGTGCTTAAGAGAAGTTTGTTCACATAAGTAGCACTCAGTAAATTTATTCCCAGAGATTTAAAGCATATACATAGATGCATCAAATTGTTGGCATAATGTCCATGATAACATAATGGCAGAGTTCAAAAATATAAATAAAAGAGAGAGAGAGAATCAGCTCATGCAATAGAACATGAAAAACCAGGCAATATGTCAAGCACATTGACCATTTAGCCTTGTCAGCAATATTGTCAACAATAGCATAAATTTATTATTTAGGATGTCACCCTTACACACTAGAGACTATGCCCTAAATAGCTTCCCTATTTTTTATCATCTGGTTCAATAATTCATGAATTTATCTAAACTTTTTGTCGGTTTATTATTTAAACCTGTGTCACACTTGGAATGAAAAGTGGGGAACTTTGATCTAAATTGCAATTACTTTTTTAAAAAATTCTGTAAGACCTTTCAGAATTTTAGGTGTCCCTCTAATCTTGTATTTCAGAAATTGATACTAATTCTTTTTTTAATTACCAATAGCTTTGTGATTTTAAAGTGCTTTAACTTTCCTGTTTGAAAAATTACTTTTTAGTGTCTCACTACACAGAATCCGTGTCCACCAATCTCAGCATCATTAATATTTCTTTTTCCTGAAACCGTTAAAGCTTTATGTTTAAAGTTTTGAAGGGGTATATATTAATATGGCTGTGCTAGCGTGATAACTAAATATTATTTTCAAGTTGCAAAAAAAAGTGGAGGCAGCGGTTTGATAGTTAACCAATCAGAACATTTAATCTTGTCCTTGATCAAATATACCCTCTTCGGCATGTTAAAACTAAGAACTAGTATCAACAAAGAAAAAAACATTTACATTTAAATACATTTTATGATTTTCTGTCAAGCCTGGATTGTTGAGTGGGAAATCTTAACCATTATATATTTATATTATGTTTAAGGCTATAGATTCCATTCATTTTACATCACTAAAATACACCGACATATACATATATGCAAAAAATATATCAATATATCCAACATATACAAAAAAAACACTGAAAACACAACAATAAGGAAAAAAAACCTAGTTAAAAAGTGGGCAAAATCTGGACACCTCACTACAGATACACAAAGGGCAAATAAGCAGATGAAAATATGCTCAATAACATAGATCATCAAGGAATTGCAACATGGATGCAGCCGGAAGCCATTATCCTAAGCAAATTAACACAGGAACAGAAAACTAAATACTGCATGTTTTCACTTATAACTGGGAGCTAAACACTGGGTACTTAGGGACATAAAGATGGCAACAACTGACACTGGGGACTACTGGCGGGGAGTAGATGAGGGAAGGGTTGAAAAACCATTAGGTACTATGCGCAGTACCTGAGTGATGGGAGCAATCATACCTCAAACCTCAGTATCACACAATATACCCAGGTAACAGACCTGCACATGAACCCCCTGAATCTAAAATAAAAGTTGAAATTATTTAAAAAGGAATTGAAAATTAAAACAACAATGAGATACCTCTATACAACTATTAGCATGACTAAACTCCAAAAAACTGACAGTGCTGTATGCTGGCAAGGATGCGAAGCAACCAAAACTCTTTCATTACTAGTGGGAATGCAAAATGGTGCAGTCACATGGGAAGACAGTTTGGCAGTTTCTTAAAAACTAAACATGCTATATAATCCAGCAGTCATGCCCCCAGGTATTTGCCCAATTGAATTGAAAACTTACGTCCATACAAAATCCTGAACATGACTATTTATAGAAGCTTTATTCGTATCATCTAAAACCAGATGCAACCAACATATCCAATAGGTAAATGGATGAACAAACTATGGTACACGTATACATTGGAATATTATTTAGCAATGAAAGGTATTGAGCTGTGAAGCCACAAAAAGACAAGGGGAACCTTAAGTACATATTGCTAAGTGAAAGAAACCAGTCTGAAAAAGCCACATACTGTATGATTCCAGCCATATGACATTCTGGCAAAGACAAAACTTTAGAGGCAGTAAGATCAGTGGTTGCAAGGGCCTTGAGGAGAGCAGAAGAAGGATGAAAAGCTCAATCACAGGGGATTTTTAAATCAGTGAAACTATTCTGCGTAATACTGTAATAGTGGATACACGATATACATTTGTCAGAACTCATAGAACTATACAAAGCAAAGCGGGGACGTTAGTATAAATTGATGGTATAAATAAATATTGGCTCATCTATTGTAATAAATGTGCCACATTAATGCAAGATATTTATAATGGAGGAACTGTGGGGGGAAATGGAGATTGTTTATAGGAACTCTATTATCTGCTCAATTTTTTTTTTTTTTTTTTTTTTTTGATACAGAGTCTCGCTCTGTCGCCCAGGCTGGAGTGCAGTGGTGCGATCTCGGCTCACTACAAGCTCCACCTCCTGGGTTCACGCCATTCTCCTGCCTCACCCTCCCCAGCAGCTGGGACTACAGGCGCCCGCCGCCACGCCCAGCTAATGTTTTTGTATTTTTAGTAGAGACAGGGTTTCACCGTGTTAGCCAGGATGGCCTCGATCTCCTGACCTTGTGATCCACCCGCCTCAGCCTCCCAAAGTGCTGGGATTACAGGCGTGAGCCACCGCGCCCGGCCCTATCTTTTTATTTTAATAAAATAACTACCTAATTTATGACAGGATAGTAGCATCTGGTGTTCTCTGAGGTTCTTTGATTTGTGGGCAGGTGTCTGTTGCTGAATTTTAAAAGTTCTCAGCCATCCCTTTTTTCTTTTCACATTCTGGGTGAATGCAGTTTTCATAGAAGGTGCTAGATTTGTGCAACCCTAAAGATAGGTGACTCCTCTGACTCACAGATCCCTGGGAGCCTCTCCCGAACAGAGTTTCTTTATCCACACACCCCACTTCCCATACCCACTCTCCCACATAGGTGTTCTGGCCACCAGTAATCTCTGAAGGATGGAAGATGAAGAGACATGACTTTTACCTGAGTCTCTACTCCTCCCAAGAGAATGAATGTTCCTGGAAACTTCACCAACAGAAAATCAGGGGATATCAATATATGTAAGCACTCATTACTCATGTAATGGAGGCCTTGGCAAAATGTGACACTTAAATTTCTGCTCAGGGAGAGTAGAAAATAGGCACAGAGAATAGAGAGACTGGTAAAGAATGAAGGCTCAAAGGTGATTGAGTTGTGTTAAAGGCACGTCTTGATCAGGCTTTGCTTTATTTTTCTCTTGTGGAATATGAAAGTGGGTGTTACAATTAAATATATTTCTTGATTTCCTAAAATGTTATAGGCTGTTTCCAATTTTTGTTATTTTTGGAGTTTCTTAAATCGAAATTTGATTCAGGATAATTAAAAAATATAATGTTAATGTTAAGATGGAAAGTAGGTCAAAAGGCAATCACGTTAAACAAGAGGATAATTGGAGATAGGACCTTGAACACGAAAGTAATCTTAAATTCTTGACTATTATGATACAGTTTGCATAAAGAACTGAGATTTCTTCAGAAAACTATAGTGAAATGGGACACTACAAATCAAATATAAATTTAAAAATGAACGCATTTATTCAATACATATCCATAGATTATTCTGGATTAAATGTACACATTTTAAGAATAAAGTTTTAAATTTGAAAATGAAAGACTGTTTCCCATCTAAACAGACCATTGGCTTCAAGATACTTACAACTGTGTTAAATCATCTTCCATTGGTTATAGTTGGTTATGGCATCGGCATCCCCAAATCTGGCTGACCCATACTACGTTTTTCCTAAATCTCTTTTTTCTTCTGTATCTTGCTAAGTCTGCTGGTTCATCCTCCCAATTTCCTGTATTTAAAACCCCAGTGCCACGTTTGACCTTGTCCTTTCTCTTCTGCTGTTCACGTCTTCTGTCTCTCACATTCATTCCAACCTACACATCCCAGTGGCCTATTCCTATTTAAGCACCCAACCCCCTCTCTCCTGAATGAATGCAGAAAGCTTTCTCATCTCTGGACTCATAACACAACAGTTATTATTACACACGACTGTCAGACGTGTGGAGTTCTTGAACCATAGTTCTCTGGTGTCATCATTCATTTTAAAAATTTTGGTTGGCTCCCTATTACCTAGAAAATAAACTTTAGTGTCCTTTGCTCAACATGTGAGGCCCTCCACAATCTAATTTCACACGCTCCAAAACCTTATTTCTACCTACTCTCTTCCAAGGACCCTGAACCCCACATTCCAGGCAAATCCAGTTATGGAACACTTGCAAAGGCCATCAGAAGTCACTGCAAAACCAATCCGGTCTGACTCCTATGTTGTTTAGTGCTCTATCCCCTTTGTCTGAAATGGCTTTCCCTCCACCTCTATTTTTGTTTACCGGCACCTTCCACAGCTTTCAGCATTCAGTTTGTCATGAAGGCAGCTGTTACAGACTGGACTAGAAAACTGTGAGCTGAATTGGTGGTTTCCAAATCAGTATCACACTTGATTCCCACCTCCAGAAATTTTGATAGAGGGGGCCTGGAGTAGAGCCAATGAGTCTTACACACACAGACACACACACACACACACACACACACACACCCCAAAAGAAACCCACACCCCAAAACAAACACACACTTACCCTAATGACTATCTAGGTGCCAGCCCTAGCCTAGGCCAGGCTGGTGGAACATGCTGGATTAAAAACAACAGGACACTGAGAAAGTATTTGCTACACAGACATATGGGATTTGACCATGTGTTATTTACAGATAACCTAACTCACTGGAGTAAAACCTATCTTAAATTGGCATATGGTATAGGATATGTTGTAGCATTTTATTAGTGAACATTTGTAAGGTTTTATTTGTGAAAACTGATAAGACTGTATTTGTGACCATCACAAGGAAAACTGATAAAACTGTATTTGTGACCATCTCAAGGAAGGCCTGTCCTATGCCAGGCTCACCTGCCAAGCTGGCTGCAGTCCCTTCCTCTCTTGACCTCACGTTGCCCCTAAAGGCGTCTCTGTTATTATATTCATGACTTTCCATTCTCTAATACTGTGTACTGATCATTTCAACACATGCCTTATTCTCTGAATAGACTGAAGGATTCATTAAGTATCTGAAAAGCAAATGCTGATGAACTTGCCTAAAATAAAAGGCATGAACCATGCAAGTTTCTAACATAGATTGTAGCAGCCACCCCAGATGATTGCAATCGCCTCCCCATTGATCTCCCAGCTGACTCATTCTATGTATTTGTAACTCAGCAACCAGAGTGAGCCTTTAAAAATTATCAGAGAGCGCCACTCCTCTTAGTAAAGCACTACCCCACCCCAGTCACGTAGCTTTCTGATTCACAGGAGTAAAAGCCAAAGTCCTTATAATGGCCTAAAAATCGTACATAATCTGTTCCTTTTCAGATTTCATTCACTACCATCTTCCCCCTTCTCTCTCTGTTCCAGTTACAACAGCTGGCTGCCCCCCTCAAACACAACTAGCACGTTCCTGCCCCAGGGCCTTTGCACCTGCTTTTTCCTCTTAGTGCAACAAGCTTGCTCCAGATATCTGAAAGGCTGACTATCTTGCCACCTTCAGATGTGTGTTCTAATGTCTCTTTATCAATGAGAGCTTCTTTGTCCACCCTGGGCATCTTCTTGCCCTTCCCTGCTTTATTCTTCCCCATGGCAGTTACTCACATTGGACACTAAACACTTGTTTCCTTAGCTAGGCATTCTTCTCCTACCCTCACAACAGTAGGAATGTCCTAAGGTTCTGAGAAGACTCCTGTGCTAGGTTTCCAGACTCCTGTCCTCTCACATTTGGTGCTCATGCACCTCTTGGTCATTAGTGCACTCCAGAGGTTAGGACCTAGAGTATGTGGCTGTCCTTCAGAGGAGGGAAAGAGATTGCTTGGGAGCAGAGAAGGGAGCTTTGGCCTCGCAGTGCAGGACCCCTGTGCCCACAGGCCTCTGTGTGTTGACAGCAATGCTCTTGGTGTCCACCTGCACTGCCCTCTGGTGTTCAGTCAAAATCAAGCAAATAGTTACGAACTGCTATAGGGGATTGTTACCAGGTCCTGAGTCTGAGTGTTGGAAACACAAACCCAGAAGCAAACAAATCTGCCCAACACCCCTGACATGTGGGTTTCACAGAAAATACTGAGGTCAGAGTAGCGTGTTAAATGATACCACAGTGATGACACAATCATAAAAATCTACACTGTGGACTCTGTCCTAGTTTCTTTAACGAATTGCATGAAAAAAAAGATGGAAGGGGAAGAATAAGAATGAAGAATGCTTTAGAGACTCTGCAATCCATCGTAATATCCGTACAAGGATTCTGCTCTTTTAAAAAAAGAAAAATGGTGTGAAAAAATATGTAGGACTGGCCAGGCAGCGTGGCTCACACCTGTAATCCCAACACTTTGGGAGGCCGAGGTGGGTGGATCACTTGAGGTCAGGAGATCAATCCTGGCCGACAAGCCTGACCAACATGCCAATATGGTGAAACCCCGTCTCTACTAAAAATACAAAAAATTAACCAGGCATGGTGGTGGGCACCTGTAATCCCAGCTAATTGGGAAGCTGAGGCAAAAGAATCGCTTGAACCCAGGAGGCGGAGGTTGCAGTGAGCCGAGATCTTGCCACTGCATTCCAGCCTGGGTGACAGGGCGAGACTCTATCTCAAAAAAAAAAAAAAGTAAGACAATCAGGGAAATTTGAACAGCGACTGGATTTTGGGTAAAAGTAAGTAATTCTGGCTAATTTTTAGATGTATTATTTTAAAAAGGGGATCCTTACCCTTTGGAGGTGGATACCTCCAAATATTCATGGATGAAATGACAGGATGCCAGAAATGCTCTTCAATTAATCTATGTCAGGGAAGTGGGATCAGAGGAATCAGGACTGTCTAAAACTGAAGCTGGGTATTAGGTCAATGAGTTAATTATACTATTCATTCATTATGCTATTTATTTCCTTTTGTATATTCTTTAAATTTTTCATAATAGTAATAAAGATATGTTGAACATGGTAAAGATGGAAAATGTACAGAGATAGAAGAAATATTCTTATTTTTTATTTCATACAATTCTATAGTTTCACATTGTTTTACTGTATTTATGCATTAATTCTATAACTGTAAAACATGCTATTAATAATTAAACTGACCTTATGAAAATTCTTGGAGAGTGAAAACTTTGAAACTCATGTGCTAGGTACATCATTAAAATATATCATTCAGGCGACACCTGATGACTCACATCTATAACCCCAGTAATTTGGGAGATGAAGATAGGAGGCTCCCTTAAGCCCAGGAGTTTGAGACCAGCCCTGGCTATATAGCGAGAGCCTGTTTCTACAAAAAAAAAAAAATTATTATTAATTAGCCAGGCATGGTGGCATGCACCTGTAGTTCCAGCTACTCAGGAGGCTAAGGTCAGAGGATAGCTTGAGCATGAAAGTTCAAGACTGTAGTGAGCCATGGTCATGCCACTGCACTCCAGCCTGGGAAACAGGGTAAAACCATGTCTCAATAAACAAACAAATAAATACATAAATACATAATAAAGTATTCCATTCAACATTTTTACCTTAGTAATGCTCAACGTTTGGTTTTTACTTATTTCCTTTTATGTTGTATTTTCTAGACCAAATTCACATATAGTATAAAGCAGAAGAAACTAAAGATTAAATTCATTGTTCGTAATTGTATTCAGTTTCCTGTTTTCATCATCGTTTGTTTACAAATTTTTTTTTTTTTCTTTTTTGAGACAGAGTCTCGCTCTGTCACCCAGGCTGGAGTGCAGTGGCTGGATAGCTCACTGAAAGCTCCGCCTCCCAGGTTCATGCCATTCTCCTGCCTCAGCCTCCGGAGTAGCTGGGACTACAGGCGCCCACCACCATGTCTGGCTAATGTTTTGTATTTTTAGTAGAGACGGGGTTTCACCATGTTAGCCAGGATGGTCTCAATCTCCTGATCTCGTGATCCGCCTGCCTCGGCCTCCCAAAGTGCTGGGATTACAGGTGTGAGCCACTGCCCCGGTCTGTTTAGGAATATTTTTAAAGAATTATTGCACTTCTGTTCGGATAGAAAAACAAAAATGCATTTTAAGAATATATATTTATATGTATGAAAATATAAAATTTTGAAAAGTTGAATATTTCGAGCCAGTTATGTAGATGTCCTTGTCCTTCTCTGAGCTGCTGACTCACGTTCCATGAAGCGGGATGGGTCTCACAGGGCCTGTCAGGATGCAGGCTGTGATGTGAAGGCCCCTCGACACTCACAGGATTGGACGGGTTTGTGAAGGAATTTGGAGTGAGCCTTAGTTAGTTCCTTACCATTTCCTTTGAGCAACATCAGTGCTTTTGACATTTTGCACTGCCGTATAAAACTAAGTGCATGCAGAGATGTATGTTTCTGAACAAATCACAAAATTGACAAGCAACTGCCATGCATTGTTTTTTGTATCATAGCTAACTGATAAAGTACAGACTGCAACATTTACTTATTCAAATACCTTTAAACATCTGGTATTTTTTTTTTTACCTGTACTTCCCAGGAATTTGATGTCAGATGCATTTTCTATTATTTCCATATCTATTGAAATGAACTCAAATAAAAAAAGGGGATGTTTCATTACACACTTATTAATGTGTAATTTAAGATTAATGTGTAATCTTGTAATTCCCATAATCCTCATGTGTCAAGGGCGGGACCAGATGGACATGATTGAATCATAGGGGTGGTTTTCTCCACGCTGTTCTCGTGATAGTGAGTTCTCACAAGATCTGATGGTTTTATAAGGGGCTTCTTCCTTCACTCAAAACTCATTGTTTCTGCTGCCACCCTGTGAAGAGGTGCCTTCGGCCATGATTGTAAGTTTCCTGAGGCATGCCCAGCCATGTCAAACTATGAGTCAATTAAACTTTTCTTTATAAATTACCCAGTCTTGAGTAGTTCTTCATAACAGCATGAAAACAGACTAATACAGTAAATTGGTACCACAGACATAGGGTGCTGTTATAAGGATACCCTAAAATGTGGAAGTGACTTTGGAACTGGGCAACAGGCAGAGGTTGGAATAGTTTGGAGAGTTCAGAAGAAGACAGTAAAGGCTGGGTGTGGTGGCTCATCCCTGTAATCCCAGGACTTTGGGAGACCGAGGCAGGTGGATGACCTGAGGTCAGGAGTTTGAGACCAGCCTGGCCAACATGGTGAAACCCCATCTCTACTAAAAATATAAAACTAGCTGGGCATCGTGGTGCATGCCTGTAATCCCAGCTACTTGGGAGGCTGAGGCAGGAGAATGGCTTGAACATGGGAGGTGGAGGTTGCAGTGAGCAGAGATTGTACCACTGCATTCCAGCTTGGGCAACAAGAGCGAAACTCCATCTCAAAAACAAAAAAAAAGAAGACAGAAGAATGTGGGGAAGTGTGGAACTTCCTAGAGACTTGGAGGGCTTGGAAGACAAGAAGATGTGGGAAAGTTTGGGACTTCCTAGAGACTTGAATGGCTTCTACCAAAATGCTGACAGTGACATGGAAAATGAAGTCCAGGCTGAGGTGGTCTCAGATGGAGATGGGGAACTTGTTGGGAACTCGGATAAAGGTGATTCTTTCTATGCTTTAGCAAAGAGACTGCAACACTTTGCCCCTGACCCGGAGAGCTGTGGAACTTTGAACTTGAGAGAGATGATTTAGGGTATCTCGTGGCAGAAATTTCTAAGCAGCAAAGTGTTCAAGAGGAAGCAGAGCATAAAAGTTTAGAAAACTTGCAGCCTGACAAGGCGATAGAAAAGAAAAACCCATTTTCTTGGGAGAAATTCAAGCCAGCTGCGGAAATTTGCAGAACAAGGAGTGGAATATTAATTGCCAAGACAATGAGGGAAATGTCTCCAGGGCATGTCAGAGACCTTCTTGGAAGCCCCTCCCATCATAGGCCTGGAAACCTAGGAGGGAAAAATGGTTTCATGGGCCCAGGACCCCCTGTTCTGTGCAGCTTTGAGACATGGTGCCCTGTCTCCCAGCTGCTTCAGCTCCAGCCACAGTTAAAAGGGGCCAAGGTACAGCTCAGGCCATTGCTTCAGAGGGTCCAAGCTCCAAGCCTTGGAGGCTTCCATGTGGTGTTGAGCCTGTGGGTTCACAGAAGTCAAGAATTGAGGTTTGGGAACCTTCACCTGGATTTCAGAAGATGTATGGAAATGCCTGGATACCCAGGCAGAAGTTTGCTGCAGGGGCAAAGCCCTCATGGAGAACCTCTGCTAGGACAGTGCAGAAGGGAAATGTGGGGTTGGAGCCCCCACACAGAGTCCTCACTGGGGTACTACCTAGTGGAACTGTGAGAAGAGGGTTACCGTCCTCCAGACCCCAGCATGGTAGCTCCACTGACAACTTTCATTGTGCCCCTGGAAAAGCCACAGACACTCAATGCCAGCCCATGAAAGCAGCCAGGAGGGAGGTTGTACCCTGCAAAGCCACAGGGGTGGAGCTGCCCATGGCCATGGGAGCCTATTTCTTGCATCAGTGTGACCTGGATGTGAGACCTGGAATCAAAGGAGAACATTTTGGAACTTTTAAGGTTTAATGACTGCCCTATTGTTTTTCAGACTTGCATAGGGCCTGTAGCCCCTTTGTTTTGGCCAATTTCTCCCATTTGGAATGGGTGTATTTACAGGCACAATGCCTGTGCCTCCATTGTATCTAGGAAGTAACTAACTTGCTTTTGATTTTACAGGCTCATAGGTGGAAGGGACTTGACTCAGATGAAACTCTGGACTTGGACATTTGGGTTAATGCTGTAATGAGCTAAGACTTTGGGGAAGTGTAGGAAAGGTATGATTGTTTTGAAATGTGAGGACATGAGACTTGGAGTGGGGCCAGGGACAGAGTGATATGATTTAGCTCTGTGTCCCCACCCAGATCGCATCTTGAATTGCAGTTTCCATAATCCCCAAGTGTAAAGGGTAGGATCGGGTGGACATAATTGAATCATGGGGTAGTTGTCCCCATGCTGTTCTCATGATGATGGGTGAGTTCTCATGAGATCTGATCATTTCATAAGGGGCTTCCCCTTTGCTCAAAACTCATTATTTCTGCTGCCACCCTGTGAAGAGGTGCCTTCTGCCATGATTGTAAGTTTCCTGAGGCTTCCCTAGCCATGTGGAACTGTGAATCAATTAAACCTCTTTTCTTTATAAATTACCCAGTCTTGGATATTTCTTCATAGCAGCATGAGAATGGACTAATACAACATGTGAGTGCATTTCCAGTTAATAAATAGGTAATATTTTCTGTGCTTTCTGCTATGGTAATGAATTGCATTACAACTTCACTAAAGAGAGAAATCACTCACAATTTGAGACCTAAACCAAGAGCTGAAGAAAGTGCAAAGAGACCTACAATAATTCCTATAAGTTATTTCCAATGGAAGGCCTCTGTGAATGTAGTACTGTAATACAAAAAACCTATGGAATAAAAAGAATGCATTCTCTGAGTAATGTTATGCAGTTTAACCCCTCTCTGCATATTTTTGTCACCTGTCATCTGTAATGTAGGGATAATACAATTAATGTTATTGTCATGATTACATGAGTGAGATGAGTGAGGAATTTTTTTTGTTTTTTGTTTGTTTTGAGACGGAGTCTGGCTCTGTCGCTAGGCTGGAGTCCTGTGGCGCGATCTTGGCTCACTGCAACCTCCAACTCCCCGGTTCAAGCGATTCTCCTGCCTCAGCCTTCTGAGTAGCTGGGACTATAGGCACAGACCACCACACTAGGCTAATTTTTGTATTTTTAATAGATACGGAGTTTCACCATGTTGTCCAGGATGGTCTCAATCTCCTGACCTCGTGTTCTGCCTGCCTCGGCCTACCAGAGTGCTGGGATTACAGGCATGAGCCACCGTGCCTGGCCAAGTGAGGCATTTTAAACAGTGCATGGTTCCAAGTAATGGCTCAGAAAAGTTAGCTATTAGAATTGTAATGGTTGTTAGTGATGTTTGCCATTTTCTTTAAGAATTTCACACTTGTATCAAAAAACAGTATTAAAAGAACTATACAATCATTTAATATATAAAAAGGATAATTCTTTGTAGTTTAAGCCATAAAAGTTGCATCCAAACATAGATTTAAATAACCTCTTGTCCCCACCTTTAATAGTCTTTCAAAATATCGCATGTGCTTTTTATATTGTGAAAAGAAATAAATTAAATAGTCATACTTACAGGATTAAAAGTTATTTTCATGTACTTTGGAATTTGTTCATATTAGTTACACTTCAAGTTAATATTACATGTAATATTAAATGTACTTAATATTAAAAGTGCATTTAAAATACCTGAATGAAAATAAATTTTCATAATCAAATAAATCCCAGCACTGATTCAAGAGAATTATACCACCATGCTCATACTAAGAAGACACTGAATCAAAGCAGAAGCACATGCCTTAATCGTTGATAAGTGAAGCCTTCAGTGAGTATCAAAAATAAAAGATAGCAAAAACAGAATAATTACTACACTAATCATAGATGATTGGCAAAGGTAAACATAACAAATTTCTAGGAAGGAGCTGCTTCGAAGAGTGATCTTTATGCGGGAAAACTCCAGCCTGGTGCCTTTGGGATCACTGATTTCCCTTGCTGGGAGTACTTGTGGTGAAACTAATAAAATCACTGAGATGCCACAAGAAAAATAACTTGGGAAGAAGCTGACCACCGAGTTACAGATTCATGGGAAAGACATCAGGAGGTCATTTCCCTCATTTCCTTGCCTTGAGATTAATACTCAAGTCATCAACGCTAAATAAATATTTCCTGAAAATAAAGTATTTCTAGGAAAAAAATCATAACTTTGAGAATCCTCATGTTTGTATAATTGAATCAAGGACAGATGTGACTAACTTCAGAAGTCTGTTGTTCTTCCTATATTCAGTCCAGCAAACTCTCAGCAAAGCCCCCAGTGTATGAAGAATATGAAAAAGGAGTTCTGCTAGTAGAATTTGGGACTGAGAGTCCAGAGTTCTGATCTTTTGGCCTGTGCCTTCTAATGCCCTTTCACCCCACTTCATCTAAGGCAACCCTAGAAATTGTCAAAGAAAAACAGCAGTGCTGGATACTTGCTAAAGGCAATGAGACCTATTTTACTCAGACTATTTCAGCAGGAGGGAGAGACTTCAGTATAAACTAAGCTCAACTCCAAGTAAGACAAAGGAGGCTGATGTTTTTAAAAATAGAACAAATGGGAAATAAAAAGAAACTATGGAAAAGTAAAAAGAGGGGAATTAAAAAAGGGACTGAGGACTACGTGAAAATGCAAATTATAAAAGGGGGTAAGAGTCTGGCGCGGTGGCTCACGCCTGTAGTCCCAGCACTTTGGGAGGCCGAGGCGGGCAGATCACGAGGTCAGGAGATCGAGACCATCCTGGCTAACACGGTGAAACCCCGTTTCTACTAAAAACACACAAAAAGTTGGCTGGACATGGTGGCGGGCTCCTGTACTCCCAGCTACTCAGGAGGCTGAGGCAGGAGAATGGCGTGAACCTGGGAGGGGGAGCTTGCAGTGAGCTGAGATCACGCCACTGCACTCCAGCCTGGGGGAGAGAGGGAGACTCCGTCTCAAAAAAAAAAAAAAAAGCGGGGGGTAAGTAGAGAATTACTGGAAATGATTTGACACCATCAGTTACGACAATATACATTATGTAGTTTGGCAGCATTGTATTTTCTTGAGCAAAGACTCAGCGCAGGGCCTGGGGTTAACTACTCCAAGTGGAAGCCAGGCTAATGTTAGGTCAAGTCTCTTAGCACAGTGTTTAGGCAAATCCTTTTTGCTTCAGGGAAGTTCACAGTCCCTCCTCTTGTTCAAGAGAAAGAATGAATTTCTTTCTCGTAGAATAAATATAGTTGTTGCACTCCAAAGTCCTCAAAAGAAAAAAGTTCAGCCATTGTTTATCATCATTGTGCAATTCAGGAAGAGTCAAGGTGGTAAATGCAACAATCGAGGAGGTTTGGTGTACTATCAATGGTGGCACAATTGTCTCATAAGAATAGAGATGCACTTGGTGGGTCATGCCTGTAATCCCAACACTTTGGGACGCTGAGGTGGGTGGATCACGAGGTCAAGAGATCGAGACCATCTTGGCCAACATGGTGAAACCTCATCTGTACTAAAAATACAAAAATTAGCTGCGCATGGTGGCACACGCCTGTAGTCCCAGCTACTCAGGAGACTGAGGCAGGAGAATCGCTTGAACCAGGAGGGGGAGGTTGCAGTGAGTAGAGATAGTGCCATTGTTCTCCAGCCTGGTGACAGAGTGAGACTCTATCTGGAAAAGAAAAAAAAAAAGAAGAATAGTGGTGTACTTAAGAGACAAAGAATATTGCCATTAAGGATGTTTTTAAGAAGCCAAGTGCAAGATCAAAAAAGACAAAGGAGAGCATTACATAATGGTAAAGAGTTCAATTCAACAAGAAGATCTAACTATCCTAAATATATGTGCACCCAATACAGGAGCACCCAGATTCATAAAGCAAGTTCTTAGAGACTTACAAAGAGACACGGAGTCTCACACAATAACAGTGGGAGATTTCAACACTCCACTAACAGTTATTAGACAGATCACCAAGGCAGAAAATTAAAAAACATATTCAGGACCTGAACTCAACATTAGATCAAATGTATCTGATTGACTTCTACAGAACTCTCTACTCAAAAACAACAGAATATACATTCTTCTCATCACCACATGGCACATACTCTAAAATCAGCCACATAATTGGACATAAAACAACGCTTAGCAAATGTAAAAGAACCGAATTCTTACCAAACACACTCTTGGACAACAGTGCAGTAAAAATAAAAGTTGAGACTAAGAAAATCACTCAAAACCATACAATTACATGGAAATTAAACAACATGTTCCTGAATGACTTTTGGGTAAATAATGAAATTAAGGCAGAAATCAAGAAGTTCTTTGAAAATAATGTGAACAAAGATACAACATACCAGAATCTCTGGGACACAGGTAAGGCAATGATAAGAGGGAAATTCATAGCACTACCTGCCCACATCAAAAAGTTAGAAAAATCTCAAAAAGTTAGAAAGATCTCAAATTAACAACGTAATATCGCAACTAAAAGAATTACAGAAGCAATAACAAATCAACCCCAAAGCTAGCAGAAAACAAGACATAACCAAAATTGGAGCTGAATGGAAGAAAATCAAAGACACAAAAATAATTCAAAAGATTGTTGAATCCAGGATTTTTTTTGAAAAAATTAATAAGATAGGCCAACACCTAGAATAATAAAGAAAAAAAGAGAGAAGGTCCAAATAAACACTACTAAAATTTTGAGGCCCGGTGTGGTGGCTCATACCTGTAATCCCAGCACTTTGGGAGACTGAAGCGGGTAGATCACTTGAGGCCAGGAGTTTGAGAGCAGCCTGACAAACGTGGTGAAACCCTCTCTACTAAAAATACAAAAATTAGCTGGGCATGGTGGCACACAACTGTAGTCCCAACTACTCAGGAGGCGGAGGCACAAGAATTGCTTGAACCCAGGAGGCAGAGCCTGCAGTGAGCCAAGATGGTGCCACTGTACGCCAGCCTGGATGACAAAGCAAGACTCTGTCTCAAATAAAAAAAAAAAAAAAAACAGAAAGGAAAATGTTAACACTGACTGCACAAAAATAAAAATAATCAAATAACCACTAAAAACTACTATGAACACCTCAATGCACACAAACTAGAAAACCTTGAAAAGATGGATAAATTCCTGGACACATACACCCACCCAAGACTAAGCCAGGAAGAAATTGATTGCCTGAACAGACCAGCAACAAGCTCCAAAATTGAACCAGTAACAAATAGCCTACCAACCAAAAAAAGCCCAGGACCTGATGGATTCATAGCTGAATTCTACCAGATGTACAAAGAACTGGTACCATTCCTAGGGAAAGTACCCCCCGAAAAATTGAGAAGGAGTGACTCCTCTTTAGCACATTCTATGAGGCCACCATCATCCTGATACTAAAACCTGGCAGAGCCACAACAACCAAAAAGAAAACTTCAGGCCAATATCCTTGATGAACATCAATGCAAAAATCCTCAGCAAAATACTTGCAAACCAAATCCAGCAGCACATCAAAAAGCTAATCCACCATGATCAAATAGGCTTCATTCCTGGGATGCAAGGTTGGTTCTACATATGCAAATCAATAAATGTGATTTCGTCACATAAACAGAACTGAAGACAAAAACCACATGATTATCTCAATCAATGCAGAAAAAAAGCTCTTGATAAAATTTAACCCCCTTTCATGTTAACAACTCTCAACAAAGTAGGTATTGAAGGAATATACCTCAAAATAATAAGAGACATCTATGACACATCCACAGCCAATATCACTTTGAATGGGCAAAAGCTGGAAGCTTTTTGCCCTTGAAAACTGGCACAAAACAAGTCTGCCCTCTCTCACCACTCCTATTCAAAATAGTTGTGAAATTCCTAGCCAGAGCAATCATGAAAGAGAAAGAAATAAAGAGCATCTAGATAGGAAAAGAAGAAGTCAAACTATCTCTGTTTGCAGATGACATGATGTTATATCCAGAAGCCTCATACCTTCAGCCCAAAAGCTCCTTTAGCTGATAAACAGCTAACCAGGGAGGTGTAGAATTCTCTACAATGAGAATTACAAAACACTGCTCAAAGACATCAGAGATGACACAAACAAATGAAAAAATATCACAGGCTCATGGATAGGAAGAATCAACATAATTAAAATGGTCATAATGCCCAAAGCAATTTACAGATTCAATACTATTCATATCAAACTACCAATGACATTCTTCACAAAACTAGGAAAACTATTTTAAAATTAATATAGAACCAAAAAAATAAGGCCTGAATAGCCAAGACAATCCTAAGTAAAGAGGAGAAAAGCTGGAGGCATTATGTTACCCAATTTCAAACTATGTTACAGGGCTACAGTAACAAAAACAACATGGTAGTGGTACAAAAACAGGCAAATAAACCAACAGAACAGAATCAAGAGCCCAGAATAAGATTGCACACCTATGACCACCTGATCTTCAACAAAGCTGACAAAAGCAAGCAATGGGGAAACAATTCCCTATTTGATAAATGGTGCTGGGATAACTGGCTAGCCATATGCAGAAAACTGAAGCATCCACTCTTCCTTACACCACCCTTCCTTACACCAAATACATAAATCAACTCAAAATGGATTAAAGACATAGTGTAAAACCCAAAACTATGAAAACCCATGAAGACAAACTAGGCAATACAATCCTGGACATAGGAATAGGCAAAGATTTCATGACAAAGACGCCAAAAGCAATTGCAACGAAAGCAAACAATGACAAGGGGGATCCAATTTACTTAAGAGCTTCTGCACAACAAAAGAAACTATGGACAGAGTTAACAGACAACCTACAGATTGGGAGAAAATATTTGCAAACTATGCATCCGACAAAGGTGTAATATCCAGCATTTATAAGGAACTTAAACAAATTTACAAGAGAAAAACAAACAACTCCATTAACAAGTGAGCAAAGAACATGAACAGAAACTTTTCAAAGGAAGACACGCATCCAACAAGCATATGAAAAAAACTTCAATATCTATCACTAATCATTAGAGAAATGCACATCAAAACCATAGTGACATACTGTCTCATACCAGTCAGAAAGGCTATTGTTAAAAAGTCAAAAAATAGCAGATGCTGGTGAGAATGCAGAGAAAAAGGAACACTTAGACACATTGGTGGGATGTAAATTAGTTTAACCATTGTGGAAAGCAATATGGTGATTCCTCAAAGAGCTAAAAGCAGAACTGCTATTTAACTCAGTAATCCCAGTACTGGGTATATACCCAGAGGAATATAAACCAGTCTACCATAAAGACACTTGCACATGTAAATGTTCATCGCAGCAATATTCACAATAGCAAAGACATGGAATCAGCCTAAATGCCCATCAATGACAGATTGGATAAAGAAAATGTGGTACATATACACCATGGAGTACCATGCAGCTGTAAAAAAGAATGAGATTATGTCGTTTGCAGGAACATGGCTAGAGCTGGAGGCTATTATCCTCAGCAACTAACGCAGGAACAGAAAACCAAATACTGCATGTTCTTACTTGTAAGTGAAGGCTAAATGATGAGAACTTATTAACACAAAGAGGGAAACAGCAGACACTGGGGTCTGCTTGAGCATGCAGTGTGGGAGGTGGGAGAGGAGTGGAAACAGTAACTGTTGGGTACTGGGCTTAATTCCTGGGTGATTAAATAACCTGTACAACAAGACCCCATGACATGAGTTTACCTTTGTAACAAATCTTCACATGTACCCCTGACCTTACAATAAAAGTTAAAAGAAAAAAAAAAAAGCCAAGTCCCTTAAAAAGTCTCCTAAGCCATTTGGCTGGGGAAACCATTTTCTCCTTAGAGACTAAGCCTGTCTGGAGGGGCGTGAGCTATGTTGGCTGCTTCTCAGGCACGTGCTGCCACGACTTCTTGATTCATTTCTCTTTATCATTCATGAATGAAAAGCATTGGGAACTCACCAGTGCACAAGCACCTTCTTGAAAACCCAGTATGTAGTCTAAGGCGAGCTAGTTTTGTAAAGTCATTTTAGAAGCTCCAATACCTCATGGATTTATGAAACAAAAGCTTATATTAAGTTTGAGATGAACTCTACTAATTATTTTTTAAATTATTATTTCAATAGCTTAAGGGGTACAAATAGTTTTTGGTTATATGAATAAATTGTATAGTGGAGAAGTCTGGGCTTTTACTGTATCTGTCACCAAATAATTTACAGTGTACCCAAGAGGTGATTTTTTTTATCCCTCTCCCTTCCTCTCTGAGCCTCCAATGTCCATTATGCCCCTCTGTATACCTTGTGTACCCATAGCTTAGCTCCCACTTATATGTAAGAACATGCAGTATTTGGTTTTTCCATTCCTGAGTTACTTCACTTATGGTAATGGCCTCCAGTTCCAAGTTGCTGCAAAAGACATTTGTGTGCGTGTGTGGCTAAGTAGTATTCCTTTTTGTTGTTGTTGTTGAGATGGAGTCTCGCTCTGTTGCCCAGCCTGGAGTGCAGTGGTGTGATCTCAGCTAACTGCGACCTCTACCTCCCGGGTTCAAGCAATTCTCTGCCTCAGCCTCCCGAGGAGCTGGGATTACATGTGCCCGCCACCATGCCCAGCTAATTTTTGTATTTTCAGTAGAGATGGGGTTTCACCATCTTGGCCAGGCTGGTCTTGAACTCCTGACCTCATGATCCACCTGCCTCGGCCTCCCCAACTGCTGGGATTACAGGCGTGAGCCACCTGGCTGGGCCTGTAGTATTCCATTTTTTATATGTACCACATTTTCCTTATCCACTCCTCCGTTGATTGGCACTCAGCTTGATTCCGTATCTCTGCTATCGTGAATTGTGCTGTGATAAACATCCATGTGCAAGTGTTCTTTATATATAATGACTTCTTTTCCTTGGGTAGATACCAGTAGTGGGATTGCTGATTGAATAGTAGATCTACATTTAGTTCCTTGAGAAATCTCCACATCGTTTTTCACAGAGGTTGTACTAATTTACATTCCCACCAACAGTGTATGAGCATTCTCTTTCACCACATCTGTGCCAACATCTGTTTTTGTTTGTTTGTTTGTTTGTGTTTTAACCTTTTGGCTAGGGTAAGACAATTCTGACTAGATGGTATCTCACTGTGATTTTAATTTGAATTTCCATGATGATTAGTGATGTTGAGCATTTGTTCATATATTTGTTGGCCGTTTCCATATCTTCTTTTGAGAAATATCTGTTCATGTCATTTGCCCACTTTTTAGTAGGATTATGTGTTTTTTTTCTTGCTAATTTGTTGGAGTTCCTTTTAGATTATGGATACTAGTCCTTCGTCAGATGTATCTTACAGCATAGGAGTTGGCTGACCTGGTGACAAAGGGTAGAATATCAAGAACAGAGCACCCTGTAAGTTTGGCCTGAGCAAGTGGCTCTCCCCGGACCTGTTTAAGGCTGTTTGTCATCCAGCCATTATCCATTCACAAGTTTCAGGCTCAGCAATTGTAGGAGCACTCATGTTTCTAATTTTTCCATTGGGAAATTTTTCATACATTTCCATTTGAGGGACAGCATAAGCCACATCGCAGCAGCCAGCCCAATGGGCTGGAAGTACTTTGTATGGTTTTATGACCACATACTAAATAATGTCCCTTGAGGGCATACTAGTGTTGGTTATTGCCTCTAGTGGTTGTAACAGAGGCTAGAGGAGCTAACCTGGAATAGACTCCAAAGAGACAGTTACAAACATCATCTTCTAAATGGCTGGGTACTTTGGTACCATTTAGCCAGCAATTTTTTGCCCAGTCTTTCAGTTCACCAAAATATTGATCCGGGGTAAAATAATTTCCTATGATACTGGTATTGCGTGGGTATTGCAGACAATGCTGTCCTTAATGGGAGTTTGGCCCTTACAAAGAATGTCTGTTTCTTGAAAATAGGTTTCATCTTTTCACAAGGACACAGAGCATTTACTGTGTTCCACAGGGTGACTATATTTATTAGACTGATTTCTAGTAAAACACCACGTTTCTTAGGTTAAAGAGGCCACATCATACTCCCAGTCACAAGGGCTTTTAAGAAATAACCCAATATCTTTCTAAAAGGGAGACCTAAATGGCTGTATATTTGTAATGTTTTCTGCCAAGGCCATCTAAAGCATAAGGGAGACAATTATTAAGGGAATACGAGTTTTAGGATAGAGTGGGAATGGGCATAGACCCGGCAATTACTTTGGTTAATTTCATTGGCTACTTTGTCAGCTAAGAGACCGAGGGAATTACGGTCATGAGAGGAAAGCACGGGATAGGGTAAGATAAGGAGGAAACAGGGGAATCATGACAGGGCTGCTGAGGCTGGAGATGGAGTATATATGTTGTAAGTAGGACACATCACTAGGATAAAGATGGGACGTTGTAGAGGACACAGGAGTAGTAGCAGAATAAGTAGACCCAAAATTGAAGTCAGAGACAAAGAAGGGGAATCGGAGTGAATCTTGTTTCAGGATCTTTGGCAGAAGCGGACTGCTTCATCATATCATTTACTTGCTCCGTAGTTCTTAGGATGGATGTCTGTCTCCAGCTGTTGGCTACTTTTAGAGGTTCTTTTCTTTTCTTTCCTTTCCTTTTTTTTTTTTTTTTTTTTTTTTTTTTTTGAGACCGAGTCTTGCTCTGTCACCCAGGCTGAAGTGCAGTGGTGCAATCTCTGCTCGCTGCAAAGTTTGGAGGTTCTTTTTTTTTCTTTTCTTTTCTTTTTGAGATTGAGTCTCGCTCTGTTCCCAAGGCTGGAGTGCAGTGGCTCAATCTCGGCTCACTGCAAGCTCCGCCTCCCGGGTTCACGCCATTCTCCTGCCTCAGCCTCCCGAGTAGCTGGGACTACAGGAGCCCGCCAATTAGCGCCCGGCTAATTTTTTCGTATTTTTAGTAGAGACGGGGTTTCACCTGATGGTCTCTATCTGCTGACCTCGTGATCCGCCCGCCTCGGCCTCCGAAAGTGCTGGGATTACAGGCGTGAGCCACCGCACCTGGCCTGGAGGTTGTTCATAGAGTCTCAGCGTGAGTCTCTGGTTAGAGTGCCTTCCAATTGAAATAGATTTTGTATTTTTTCAACTAAAAGACATGCACCCAAGTTCAAACACTCTGTAATTTGTTAGCAGTGTTAGCAATGAGTGAAACAATAAAAGGTCCCCTCCCTCTGGGTTCAAGGTTAGTTTTCTGATGTTGGTGTTTTTTCAAAATGCCAGATCACTTACTTATGAAGCAAGTAAGGACTGATCAGGGAGTTTAAAGATACAAGAAGCCTCAATTGTGGAGTATAGTGGGGCTGTGTGTATTTAATTAATCCCTGACAATATCTGAGGTTGTTGAACTGAGTTAGTTTGGAATCTTCTGCTAGTTTGCATTAGTAGGGTATTCTCATGGGTATCCCGTAATGATTCAAAGAGGATCGTTTGTGTGAAGGTAGGGCCAAGGATCTGAGAGTCAGTGTGATGGGTAATATCTGTGGCCATGGCAAGTTCTTTCTTCAGACAGTTTAGCCAGTTCAGCTTGAGGATGCTGTTGGCTCTTTGTATAGAACTTTATCACTGAGGATGGTAAGTCCAGTGGAATATTTGGCTGGTGTGTGTAACCTTTCCTATTTCCTGAATAATTTTGCCAGTGAAATGTGATCCTCTGTCACTAGAGGCAGTAGAGGGGATAACCCATGTGGGGAAGATTCACTCTTAATAAACCTTGGCAACCGATGTCCTTGAGGAGTTTCAACAGGGAAAGCCTCCCATTCTATTTTCCAGTGAAGGAAGCCTATTTTCCAGTGAAGGAAGGATGTAGAGGGAGCCACTTCCCTTTTTTGCCCCACCTTTATGCTTTTTGGAGGATTATGTTGTTGGTAGATGCAGCAAATGGCAACAGCTTGGTCCAAATAAAATCTAAAGAGTCCAAGCCATATTGTTTTGTTTAATATATACTACATGTTATCCTTTCTGTGGTAAATCTGGATGAGCAAATTGTACACAATGACTTGGGAGACAGACTTAGGAGTTATCAAATGGCCATCTGGGTATTTCTGAAGTCCACTAAAGTGGATCAAACATTCACCTTTTTCTCATCCAATTCTTTCTGACTCTGAAATTGTTATCTGGGCTGTGTGAATTTTACATTTCCTTTAGAGGCATTGTAAAGACATTGCTTCTGTCAATTTATTTAAAGAGGGTAAATAATCCTAGCAGGACTGTGGGTATTTGAAATGAAGCCCAGGTATCTAGTCACAAGGTTTGGAGACTTCCTGGATTTCTTAGGCGGCCAAGGAAGAGGATGCTAGCTTAGCACCTTTATCAGCCAATTTATTTCCCTGAGCCTCATCTGAGTATTTTATACTATATCCCTCAGCTTTAACTGTAACAACTAGCTGGGGCAATAGCAATGACTCTAGAAGTTCTGCTATTTGGGGTTTACTTTTGACTGGGGACAAGTTGCTGTCATGAATCCTCTCTGTTTTCAAAACATACCAAAATCATGCACTACACCAAAGACCCAGTGTCTGTCACTGTAGGTGCTAATCTTAATTCCCTCTGCCTTATATAAGCCTGAATGAGAACAGTTAATTTAGCCACTTTGGCTGATTTAACGTGTGGCAAAGCTTGGCATTCAAGAGTTTTGTGTAGATGAGTGATGGCATATCCAGGCTGGAAGGTCCCAACCTCCTTCCAGAAGTAGGAGCGATTGACATAGAGCATCAGGTCGACTTAGGAGAGAAGGGTTTCTGACATATCTAACCTAAATGAGACAGTGATCTGGTTTCAGTAGCACCATTGTGTGTGTGTGCTGAGGGGTTCCCTTAGTGGACAAAATGTACAGGGTAGCAAGGGATTTTTGGCAGCAAAGGATTGTGATTGGGTGGGGAGGCATAGTGATATTTCATGAGAAGTAAGTCGAGAAGCAAACGAGTGCTGTGTGTTTTCATTAAGTAATAGGGTCAACACAGCATGGGAACATACACATCAAGTGGGCGGCCTAACACTAAATCAGAAGTAGCCTGGATGAGTTGGAAGTCATGGCCACTGTTTGTAGGCCAGGAGGATATGCTTCAGCACTGGCTGGTTTTATGGGAAAACAGAGAGAAAGACATGGCTGAGTCTCATGGTGCTCAGAGAAGGCCACAGCCTTGGGGTGCCGTGGTGACCACAAACACTTCCCCCATCCCATACCAATCTTTAAGAGCCTTTTCCTTCTTAAAGACCTGTCACTTAGCAAAGAGCTTTCAATGAACCCTCCCCTCTGGGCCACTTGTTGGATTGCAGCCAATCAGTGATGGAGGGCTGGACACAACTGTGGGATGCTGTGATTTGGTTTAGCCCTTGGGTCTAGAGTGCTCTGGGGTCCACTGTACTTCTGGGATAAAACGCCAAGGCCATGACTCTCTTGCTCATTTACAAACAAAAAATTGAGGGCTAGCTAAACAAGGACAGGGTGGAAGCAGCTTTCTGTAAGACACACCCACCAGTGTGCCCTGTCAGTTTACCATTGCCATGGCAACACTCAGGCATTACCACCACTTTCAGCAGCAATGACCTGATGACCCAAAAGTTACCACCCTTTTCCTAGCAATTTCTGCACAAACCACCCCTGAATCTACATGTAATTAAAAGTAGGTATACATATGACAGCAAAACTGGGCTCAGCTGCTACTCTCGGCACCCTGCCTATGGGGCAACCCTGGGAGCAGTCACTGAGCTGTGACCCTGCAGGAGCTGTAACAGTGCTGCTTTGATAAAGGTGTTTTCTTCCACCTTACCACTGGCTCGCCCTTGAATCCTTTCCTGGGTGAAGCCAAGAACCCTTGCAGGCTAAGCACCACTTTGGGGTTCGCCTACCTTGCATCAGCATCAGGTTTTTTTTTTAAACTTGTAAAATAGTTTTTGTGACTCTGTCATGTATTTTGCAGTCATGAACTAACATTTTTTCCCTCAATTGTCAGTTGCAGTTTCCTCAAAGATCATTATAAATACTCCTTAACCTACAAAGTTTGGCAGTCACAGCCTACTCTTTGAGGAACAGCCTGACTCACCATCAAGTGGCTCCTCAGGTGGTTTTACTTCCCATGTTTCCCATGTGAGGTACTAAGCCTCAGTGATTCCTGGCAAAACTTGTATTCTCTGTTAGTATTGCGCTAACTTTGGAGTGAGTTTCTTTTGGTGAGTAATAATTTTAGTCAATGATACTACTGATTATTTTATCTTTTTTTAGGCTTATGATGAATACCTGATTTATGATTAGTATGTTTTTCACTTTTACACATTTCAAGGAAGGAAACAAGAACAGACAGAAACACAACATACTTCATGAAACCACATTTTAGCATCCTGGCCGAGTATTCATCACTCAGCAAGATAGAGAGACATAAACTATTTCTAGCAAGAATACTTCATAAATGATGAATAGAAGAAAAATAGAAGTCCTAAAAATCTTGCAGAACTGTCTTAATTTACTAATATATTTACACTGTATCCTAAGTCACTCTCTAGCTTCTTGCTCTAAGCATATGAAATGTAAGAGCTAATGGGAACCCCAGTGCCTGTATAAATAACAAGAACCAGCATGTCTTTATTTATGGCAGGGAATACTCTACAACCTGGGACAGATGCCACTCTGCTTCAGTTTGGGGAAGCTCCTCACTTTACCATCCTGACGTTGAATAAATGATTCAAAGGCAACCTGATGCAACCTGAGCCACTGGATGGCTTCTGTAAATAAAGTTATCTCACCTGCCATTCATTACAGAGAAAACAAGAAATAAGGCACTACATGTCATATTTGTCTAGATCCTATACATATTTAGGTTCACATTAAAATGAAGAGAAAACAACATAGGCTGAGAATCAGAAAACCTGAACTCTGTCCCAGCTCAGCTACTGACCAAAGAGAATTAATGAATCGCTTTAAATGTCAGTTTCTTCATTAAGCATCGTAGAGAATGTCAAAACCAAGTTTACAAATACTGTCATTCCAAAACCACACAACTCAAATATAAATAATCTTTATAAGGTAACAAAAATGTACATAATACTTTACATAAACATTTTTAGAATAACTTTATTATAACTCGATAAGCAAAATAATCCAAACCTTTATACATTTCTACAAGGATAGTCATGTATGTCAATTTTTGGGTTTCCTCTCGTGCCTATTTTGTCTCCTGAGCCGGCCCCTTTCCAGCTGACACATGTGCTCCGTGTTCTCCCACAATAGCCTGATCTGGCCTGAGTCCACGCCCCTGTGAGCCTCCTTTCTTTGCTTACAACAGCAGCCTGCCTGATGTCAGTTATGGACTATTCTTTTTTTCAGCCTCGTTTCAGGGTCCCCTGCCTCTTAGAGCTGCTGCTGTAGCTTAGCTAGAGACCCGCTGCTGTTGCATCATGGAAAAGTGCCACATATGTGCACATGTGAAAGAATACGCAGACCTTCATGTTGTGTTTTAGTTTTAGAAAAAGTCAGAAGTAGCTTCACTTGATTTCAGCTTGTAAAGACATAGGAGGGAGGCAACTGGGAATCACCATTGCAAAAAGCAAACATCAAAAATCACATTAAAATGCTGAAGTGTTGTGGAGCACAAACCTAGCTTTATTGGATCAAGCATTTGTGAGAGTTCTTCTACTTGCTTTGTTATGCTTTCTATCAGACAGGGCTCATTCTCTGTCTTTTTTTTAACATATTCATTTATTTCCTTTGGTCTGTTTAGATTATTATCACATCTTATGTTTTAAAACTAGCAAAATATTATGTGTAAGTCATGAAGACAGTGTAAGAAATAATAAAATGAACACTGATGTACACATTACCTGCCTAAGAATAAAAAACTACCCGTATTTTTAGAGTCCTTAACACTGTCCTGTTAATGAGTCCCATTTCTTATCTTTATAATTTTGCCAAAATAAATGCATTAGTAAAGGACATTGAGCATTATTGTTTCACATATTTTTCAGTTTAAACAAATGGAATCACACTGAATATATTTTTCTGAAATTGCTTTTTAGTTCAATATTTAATTTGTAAAATTCATTCTTATGATATGTTTGTCTGTACTTTCTGTGCATTGATTTAGAGTATTCCATCACAGGATAATACTATAATGAGCATTCCATTTTATTAGATTGGGGTTATCCATTTTTTTCTATTACAAAACTAGATGTCCTTTTCTTGTATGAGTCTCCTGGACATAAAAGGTAGATTTTCTCTAAGGTATAAACCCAACATTCAAATAATTGTGTCAAAAGATTTGTATACTGTTGGTTTTACTACGTTAAAATGAACTGTTTTCCAATTTATGCTCCCATGAGAAGTTAAAGGTTCTGGTAGATCTATATTCTCAACAATACTTAATAGTATCAAACGTTTTAACGTTAGTCAACTTGGTTTCTCATTTGAATTGTAATCTGCATTTTTTAGAAGTACTGAATCAAGGTAAGAATCAAGTAATGAAAGACTATTATTTTAGTAAATAAAAATGCTGTAAAGACAATAAAGCAAATGAATGTAATCAAAAGTGGAGACGGGCTACTTCATTCTGATAGTCAAAGATGGCCTTGCTGGTCATCTGAGTTGAGAGGTGGCTAGTAAGACGAGAAGAGATGTTAAGTAGCTGTGGAAGGGGCCTGCTGGTACAGGGCATGCTCCAAAGCCCTGAAAAGAGGCAAACATTCTTTCCCTCTAAATACCTGAACTAAGTAAAAACAGTCCTGGCTTTGCACATTTGAATATGCACAGGTTTAATTAACATAGTTTAGTTAAATAGCACTAGTCTCCCAACAACCTGGTTACAATTTCGGTTACCACCATATGCTAACTGTGAGCAACTGCATAAAATCCAAACTTCATTCCCAGCTCTTAATTCCACAAATGCCTGTGTGAGTAAATAACAGACAAGCATCATGATCAGGGACTGTATTAATCTTGTGGGGATGCTGCAACAAAGTACAAAAAACCGGGTTGCTTAAAACAACAGAAATGTATTGACTCGTAGTTGTGGAGGCTAGAAGTCAAAAAGCAATGTGTTGGTAGGTTCATGCTCTCTGCTGGCTCTAGGGGAGAATCCTTCTTCCCCTCTCCTTCCTGTTTGGGTTTGCCAGCCATCCTTGGTGTTGTTTGACCTACAGATATGTCACTGCATTTTCTCAGTGTGTCTTCACATCGTCTTTTGTGTGTGTGTGTCTGGAGCTGTATCCAAATTCTCCTTCACTATAAGACACCAGTTAGTCTATTGGATTAGGACCCACCCTAATGACCTCATTTTAACTTGAGAACCTCTGTAAATGTGCTATTTCCAAATAAGCTGATATTATTTGGAGATATTGGGGATTAGGATTTGAAACATATCTTTTTTGGGGAACACAATTCACTTCCTTCAAAGCCTGCCAGTGACTGATCAATGTGCATCAGCTAGTTTGCACACAGACAGCAAAGTCTGCAATCGTGTTGATTCCTTGTCTCCCAGTGAGAAACCCATGTGACATTTATAAATATGAATAATCAGAAGAAAAAACTTGTCAACAACCATTGATGTGCAGCAAAGAAATAAAAAATGTGATAACCCTGGAAGTGGATTCAAATACAATGTAAATGGAATCATAGAATTGGCTCACCACAGGAAACGCGGCAAGAGGAACTCGGTGCAACGCAGTGTTCTGACATAAATGAGGAACGCAGCTGTGATTAAAAGGATGAAGAAGCCCCAGAGGAAGTGATGCCGGCAAAGACAGCAACAAACTTCATATTAAAGGAACTCTTGTAGATATTGCATGACGTTGACAATGTTAGATGCTGTTCCGAAAACAGCACGACAGTTCACCAAGGCATAGAAACACTGCTGGCTCCTTATCATAAGCTATACGACAAGAGGGAGGCAAGCACTTTTCAAACTGGGCTTGATACACGTCTATAAATAAATAAAGCACTTTAATTGGCTGTTGTTTAATGTTTTAAATTACAGTGTATAAACTAAGTACTGGCCAGGCGTGATGGCTCACTCCTGTAATCCCAGCACTTTGCAAGGCCAAGGTGGACAGATCATGAGGTCAGGAGATCAAGACGATCCTGGGTAACACGGTGAAACCCCACCTTTACTAAAAATACAAAAAATCAGCCAGGCGTAGTGTCACGTGCCTATAGTCCCAGCCACTTGGGACGCTGAGGCAGGAGAATAGCTTGAACCCAGGAGGTGGAGGTTGCAGTGAGCTGAGATCACGCCACTGCATTCCAGCCTGGGCGACAGAGCAAGATTCCATCTCAAAAAAAAAAAAGTACTAACTTCACTATGTTTCATTTCCTTATACATTTATAACCAACAGTAAGAGATTTTTAATGTTTTGGCCAAAATTTTTAAATGACACAGAACAGTCGATGTTTCACATGGATTGTTTAGGTCACTTTACAGATCTTCAGCTTGCATAGTGATTTGTATGGCCCTGCACTGCTGTGCAAAGAGAGGACTGTCTGTGTTCTTAACCAGTAAGAAGGAGGGCAAGAAAGAGGTTCTCAGCCAGATATTGCGTATGTAATAAAATGATGGGAGAGGGAATAACACTTTAGATATGAAATGTACCATGTGGGGAAGCTATTTGAACAACAACAAAATAGCTTAATTTAACCCGATGGAGTACACTCAGCCACCTTCTAGATGTCCCTGCTTATTCTTCAAATCTTCTCTTTTGTGGCCCCAAAGAATGATTCACTCTCTGGAGTGAAAAATAACCGTTGCTTTCTTTGCCTGGAACTTTAAACTGAGTTGTACTGTATCATCCAAACCTACTCAATCCTCTCTTTTCCATTAATCAGTGAGGTCCAAAGGAGCCAAAGACAAATCTCTCCTGTTTTTCTTAGAAATGTAAAGATGTTGCATCTGTAACCACAGGCTGCTTTTAATCCTAAAAGTCAGCGTGATAATGAAATCCAGTGATTAATTTCTGTCTTCTAATCAATAAGTAGACATATCAATTTATAGTATGTTAGAAAGCCTCAACTTCACTGAAACAAAAAGCAAGAGGCTCTGCAAATGTTGGAGTGTGCTAAAGGAAAAGCATGGACTGATGTTTGGGGAAAGGTTGGTCAATGTGATGAGGCCATCTGTGTTTGCTAATAGTGCTTATCAAAATTAGGTTCCTACGCAGAGACAGAGACCAGGAGACAATCCTGTATCCTTCTTGATCCTTATAGTCCAAAGGGATGGCTCCCAAGTCTTTCAGAAAGACATTTCCATGTTGTAGGAGATTTAAAGGGGCAGAGAAAGGGTTTATAACTCCAGGTTATCTGTCTTTTTTTTTTTTTTTTATCCAGACAGAATCTCACTCTGAGCACAATCTCGGCTCACTGCAACCTCCGCCTCCCAGGTTCAAGAGATTCTCCTGCCTCAGCTTGCTGAGTAGCTGGGATTGCGTGTGTGTGCCATGACGCCCAGCTAATTTTTCTCTTTTTAGTAGAGACAGGGTTTCACCATGTTGGCCAAAATGTTCCCGATCTCTTGACCTCGTGATCTGCCCTCCTCGGCCTCCAAAAGTGCTGGGATAACAGGTGTGAGCCACCACGCCTGGCCATTGCAGGTTTTCTAAAGTTAAACCTCTTAGAAATGGGAGGTCAGGGACCTATAGTCAAGTTTTGGGTGGGACAAACAGTAAATTCTTTTGGCAGAATTGAATGTTCCCAGGCAGGTGCTTTAGAGGGGTATGGGGCATCGTAGGGACGTGGCTCGGAGCTGATAGACACTGTGTTGGAATTTGGCCAAGTCTCTTAGTGTATGTATGAGGAGGAGGGATGTGCAGAAGAAGTTGTTTGTGCCAAGAATTTATGGTTTTCACAGGTTAAGACAGTGGTGCCTGGGATCATCTGCAAGGCATGAGTCAAATGTTGACACAATGATTGTTTGCAGACTCATCTGAGGGCTTAGGCAGATATGGACCTGTTGATACTGAAGTTTCTGAAGGTAGAGGAAGAAAACATAATGTCTCAATAATATCTGAAGTAGGGGTAGGAAAACAGAGATTTAAGGAGGTGAGATCCCTTAAGGCCTCAGAAAGAAGCTTCACTTCTTGCGCCTCCCTTCAGAGTAAATGGGTCATTAAATTAGTTCTTTGTAACCAACCTGGGAATGATGGTGAAGAAGGGAATAATGAGAGGAAAAACTTTAAATAAGAATGCCTGAGAGATAATACTAGGTCAGTGGGAGAGAAAGAAATTTCCAAGAAGTTGTCATGGGAAAGGGCTCACGAATAATAAATAAAAAATTAGTTATTAATAATATAAATTAATATATGAAAAATAAATAAGACATCTGCCAACAGCCACACTTACAGCACTAGATGGATTTTAACTGAATTAAAACTTGAGTTTTTAATGAATTTTCTACAATCCAAAATTTATTTGTTTAATTTTTGTAACAAAACACCATTTCTTTACTTTTTGCAAAAGTAAAAGTAAAGTGCTATTTGTACTTTTTAAATAAAAACTAATTTTAAAGAAAAAAATAATTAGCTGGACGTGGTGGCAGGAGCCTGTAATCCCAGCTACTGGGGAGGCTGAGGCAGGAGAATTGCACAGGTTGCAGTGAGCCCAGATGGCCCCACTTCATCCAGCTTGGGTGACAGAGCGAGACTCTGTCTCAAGCTTCTTCAGTACTCACATGTAAACTTCTACTTTCCCCTTCAGATTACAGCAACCATCATGCCAAAGCTATACACTCTCAGGGAATCCCTGTGGATTTCACTGATGACCACTTTACCAACTATTATAAAAATCAAGGCCAGGGGTTCTCAAACTCTCAACATTTGTGTGCTCATCTCCCCTTCACCCAGAGACTCCCCAGGGCTGCTGGGCCACGCTTTGTTTGGTTTGACTGGAACATAGCTCGAAAGGGATGGAAATTTCCAAGAGGTGTTAAGAGACACATAAATATTTCAAAGATTAAAATGAAAGAAATAAAGAAATGGACATTTGTGAGCTTTGGTCATGAGAATGCAGGCCTCGCAGTACTTAACTACTTCCAAACCCCTGTCCAAAGAGAGGACCAAACTCTAGTGAGGCTTCCGGCAGCACAAGGGTGTCCCGCGGATGACCCCAGCCCTCTTAAAATGACTGCCTGAAAAAGCTCACTTGCAAAGAAAATTTACTGTTTGTTTCAGGCAAAACCTGGTGATGGGCAGGTAGAGCCCCGAATCCCCTCTTAGAACCTTAGAAAGCTTGCAATTATAAATTTTTCTCCACCTTTGAAGTGTAAATCTACATCCCAGAATTGTCTCCTCAAAGACCTGAGAGTTCTCTCTTTGAAATGCAAACATTCAGGAAGCTAACTCTTGCTCTTGTTGCCAGTTCCTGAGGGAGGGGAAAGGCCTAGCTTTGGCGAGCACCTTGTTCCAGCTTGCACCTCTGACTCTTTTATTGCCATGAAAATCAACATGTAGACTTTTTTCAAACCCAATGACAGCCCATTACAATGGAGGCCATAGCAATGGAGGTCTCTACATGCAAAAAAAATGGTGGGACAGTTTCCTGATAACAGGTCAACTTTATTCCAAGGATAAGCATGTCATGAAATTATTGGATGGCAGATTATGCTTATCTATGGTCTTCCTTTTTCTCCTTGGTCTCATCCCAATAACTTACAGATCCTTTAAAGGCAAAGGCCAAATATTCAGCTAAGTTAGGCATACTTTAGATGCCAATATCAATTTTAGCTATATGGGAGATCCTACTTAAGATATTGAGGACGATCATGTGTGTACAGGGCAAAAAAGATGGGACAAAGAGATAAGAAGGGGATGGGAAATCACACCCTCCCTCCGCACCACAGACCATGACCTGGGGCAGGTCCTCTAACACCAAACCCACCCAGGCCCCATCTAACAGTATGCCGCATTCTACATGACCTCAGAGTTCTTTCGGAATTCCAGCTGAAAAGCTGAAAAGCAATACTATATAGTTGTGGTTTCCAGCTGGCCCATGTTAGTATGTATAGCTTTTCTTCCTCGCCATGAAAGCACTATGGGAGAACGAAGCCCGATGCTGGGCATGCTTTGCCAGGTGGGTGCTGCTGAATCACAGACCTCAGCAACTGTGTTCCGCCTCCACAGAGGCCGGAGATGTTTGTTTCCCCAGTGTGTTCATATATTTCAGCCAGTTTCATGCACTTTGCCCTCTCAGTTTGCTTCACTTTCTGGCTCAGTGAACCTGACCTGCAAGTCTCCCTGCAGTTTCCCTCAGCAAGTGCTCACTGGGCAGCCCCAACATGTGAGAAACGGCTGTAGGGTGCACAGAGGTGAACTAAATTACTAAAAACTATTACTTTACTAAAATGCTTCCTGGATTCCAAAACTCACCAACTGGGAGAAAGGTCAGACACACACGGAGACAACTCATCTACACAAATGATCATCAGTGATTTAAAGAAGGTACAGCAGAGCGAGACTCCGTCTCAAAAAAAAAAGAAAAAGAACGTACAGGAGATCATGGAATAAGAACAAGAAGAGATTACTTTCCAGGGCTCTCAGAAAGTTTCTAAAAAGAGGTGCCATTGACCCTGACCTTAGCATTGTGATGGAGACATTACAGAGCTGGTAGGAAGGAGAAGAAGAAGGAACGGCTGGAACACACTTGGGGTGAAATGAGCAGCATTTCAGTGTGGGAGCTGCAGACTCAGTTTTGGTGGAAGAGTTAAGAGCCAGGATCTTGTCAGGAATAATTCTGTGTCCAAGTGCAGAATCGTGGTTTGCTCCACTACTGCCAGTAACTCCATTTCTCAATCATGATGGTGATGCTTTTTTTTTTTTTGGCTCCCAATCCCAGAGAGTGGCCATACTGAAGTCACATTACAACAATTAACTTTTCAACTATTAGATGATTAATTTTTACCAAGTAGCAAGAACAGCTGTTTGGCACGTAGCAGTGTGGCATGAGTATCTTGTAAATGAATTAAACAAAATATCTCTCCAACACACACACAGTCATTCTTGCTGCATGTCAGCCTCCACTTCTCCCTCCATTATTTGATGCTGTGAAGCTGAGGCAGCCAGCTTGAGCGAAAGCTTTCAGATCTCACTCCAACAAAGAGCTTTGATTGATTCATTTAGTATAAGGTGTTTTATCTGGCTAGAGAAATCCAAGCTGAGTTTTATTAATTACTAAGAAAAGTATGCAATAGATTAATCTTTGATCAAAACTATGTGTGAAGTAGAAACATATTACACATATGGAGAGCAGTTTTATGGAATAAAAACAATCTATGTGTGGCATAACTGACATTGTCTTTATATTTTTGGGGGGGTGTGTGAGGACGGAGTCTCACTCTGTCGCCAGGCTGGAGTGCAGTGGCACAATCTTGGCTCACTGCAATCTCCACCTCCTTGGTTCAAGCAATTCTCCTGCTGCAGCCTCCTGAGTAGTTGGGATTACAGGTGCCTGCTGCCATGCCCAGCTAATTTTTGTATTTTTAGTAGAGACGGAGTTTCACCATGTTGTCGAGGATGGTTTCAATCTCCTGAATTCATGATCCTCCTGCCTCGGCCTCTCAAACTGCTGGGATTACAGGCGTGAACCACCTTGCCTGGCCTATACATAATTTTTAAAACAGATACAGAATATATAGATAGCTTAACAATTATAAAATTGTATTTATCAAGTAGGTCACGAGGTAAACATTTTACGCTATGCAAAAGGGAGCAAACCTCCGAATTTGTCATGCAGGGTCACTAGTGGAACTCACAGCAACAGGTCTGATAAAGCAGAGGAGGGAACCGGGCTTCCGTGTGCTTTAGAGAGAGTGAAACATGAGGAGTCACAGGCAGAGAAAACTGTTTTTCAGAAAGAAAAGAAAGGGGACATGACAGCCCAGCAGTAGGGTGAAGAGGGCCTCTCCGTGGGTGCCGCTGGCTTGAGCTGCTGTAAGTGGCTGTGCCGGGAACAGAGGATCTGTATAGGAGAATGGGGAAGGGAGTGCTGGAACCGGGGGTGGGCAGGAGCAGCAGTCTGGAGACCAGAATGACCTAGGGTTTCCTCTCATGCTCCCATTCCCAGTGTTTCATGTGTGTAAAGTAGCAAGCATGCATATACTGCTTAGAGGCATCTACACTTAACATACTACACTCATATACAACACTTGCATCGTACAAAGTACACATAGTAGGTGTGGCATGTAATAAGTTACCCTCCTATATTTTCTTCTAAAAGATTTTTAAATATTTGCATCTCAAATTTAAGTCCTTTGTCCATTTAGATCTGGCCTTTGTGTGATAGCGATCCATTTTTGGGATAGAGATCCATTCTGATATTTTCCCATATGGATACCAACTGCTCATACCATGGATTATATAGACCCTTTCTGACTGTTCTGTAATGTTAGCCAGGGCATACATCAAGATTTCACACAAGCATACACTTTCACAATAGCAATTCCTGCTGTGGTAATTATAACTTCACAGTAAATCTGGTACGTGATAGACTCACATAAGCTCCACCTCCCACCTTCACACACTTTAGTCTTCTATGGGATTGTCTTAGTTATACTGGGCCCTTTTATCTTCCGTATAAGCTTTGGAAGCAGTTTAGTGACAATGGTACTCTTGTCTTTTTCTTGATTTTAAAAGGAGTGATTTCGATATTTTTAATCACAAAACATGATAGGTGCTGTAGGTTATTTGTTGACTCCTTTTATCAGGTTAAGGAAATTACCCTTTATTCATAGGTGGAAATATCATGAATTATTTAATTTTTGTAAAATAATTTTATAGGCCTTTTGAGACAATCATATAACTTTTGTCTTTAATTCATTGATAAGGAGATGATTTCAGTAGATTTTCTAACATTGAACTAAATTTGTATTACTAACCGAGCTTGTTCATGGTTTTTATACTTTGCTAGGTATACTTCCTAGTATTTTGTTTACAATATTTGTCTCTGTGTGCATGGATGAGGTACACAATAGCAAGGTTACCCTAGTCTCAAATGAATTGAAGAATGGCCTCTTTTTTCTCCCCTCGCAAATAATTAGTGTAACATTGGAACTACTTGTGACATCATCTGGGCATCCTGTTTTCTTTGTAGAATTATTAATTATCAACTCAATTACTTTAATGGTATGATTTCCATCCAGATTTTCTAATTATTTGAGTCAACTTTAATAAGTTAAATGTATCCAAAAATTTGTTAATCTCACTTATTTACAAATGCATATATTTAATTGTCTTATTACTTAATGAAATAGATCATAAATATAAAAGTGTGTATGTACAGCTTAAGAAGAATATAAAATGAGCATATGTGTCCTTCCTTCAGGTTATGAAATAGAATATTTCCAGTATCTTAGAAACTCCCATTGCCCTTCTACAATGCCACTCACTCCTTCCACAAGAGGTAACCACTATCCCTAACTTCCTGTTAATCATTCCATTGCTTGTCATTACAGACTTGTATATTGTTTAGTTTTGCACATTTGACTTTTTAAATAAGTGAAACTATGTATTGTTTCTTATGATCAGATATGCATACACACAAACATGTATATGTATGTATATATACACACATACACACATTATTTTTAAGAGCAGTTCAAAGTTCACAGCAAAACTGAGCAGCAGGTATAGATTTCCCATATACTCCCTGTCCCCCACACATGCATAGCCTCCCCCATAATAAACATCCCCCACCAGAGTGGTGCATTTGTTACAATTAAAGAACCTACATGATACATCTTATAGTTTGCATTAAGGTTCACACTTGGGCTTGGACAAATTTACAATGACAAGTATTCACTATTAAAATATCATACACGTACTTTCACTGCCTTAAGCATCCTCTGTGCTCTGGTTATTCATCCCTCTCTTCCTCCTAACTCCTGGGAACCACTGATTTTTTTTTCTATTTCTATAGTATTACCTTTTCCAGAAGGTCATAAAGTTGGAAGTGACATATGTGGCCTTTTTAGATTGGCTTCTTTCATTCTGCAGTATGCATGTAAGCTTCCACTGTGTCTTTTCATGGCTTGACAGCCATTTATTTTATCATTGAATGGTATTCAGTTGTCTGGATGTAATACAGTTTGTTTAATTATTCACCTACTGAAGGTAATCTTGCTTGTCTCCAAATTTTTGCAATTATAAATAAAACGTCCATAAACATCTGTGTGCAGGTTTCTGTGTGGACATAAGTTTTCAACTCCTTTGGGTATATACCAAGAAACAAGATTGCGGGGTCGTATAATAAGAGTAGATTTAGTTTTCTAAGATGCCACAAAACTATTCTCCATTTTGTATTTCCATCAGCACTGAATGAGAGTTCCTGTTGCTTCACATCCTCATCAGCATTTGGTGTTGTCAGAGTTCTGGATTTTTGCCATTCTAATATGCATGCAGTAGTATCTCATTGCAGTGCTGTGTTTGAGAATGTGAGTAGCTGCAGTTCATTCACTCTTAGTGCTGCGAGGTACTCTATTATTGGAATATATGATCATTTAGTTACCTATTCCACAATCTACCCATATTGAGAGATAACTGGATTGTTTCCAGGTTTTTAAAATTGTGAACATTCTCATATATCCCTAGGTAAACAAATGCAAGAATTTTTCTGGGGCCTGTAACAGGCTGACTAGATTGCACTAGGTTGTAGTGAAGCCGCTGGGTCAGAGGGTACATGCATGATCAGCTGTATGAGCTAACATCCGTTTTCCAAATGGCTGTCCTTCTACTTGCATGGGATGAATGCTTCCACGGTTCTTTATCCTTGCCAATACTACACCTTTCAGAACTTCCAAAAAATTTTGTCAATATGTGTGAAAGGGTATCTAATTGTTAATTTTCATTTTCATGATTATTATTAGGTTGAGCACTTTTTCACATGCTTATGGGCTATTTATGCTAACTTCTTGAGGTGTTATTTTTCACTTATTAATTTATAGGAGAGCTTTATATATTCTGGATACTAAACCTGTCTAGGTAACATGTGTTGCAAATATCTCTGCCAAGTTTTGCATATTTTTTTCTCATTGCGGTATCCAATAAACAGAAGTCTTAAATTTTTATGTGATCAAGTTAGTTTTTACTCTTGCCGTTTGTTCTTCTTCCCTATGTAAAGATAAAAGAGATGCTCCACAGTTTTTTTCTAAGAATGTTGAGAAGGTATCTTTATCCATTAAAATATATTTTTAGGTTTGGTCTATGGGATTAAGTTTCAATTTCCTTTTTTCCCCCTTATGGAGACCAGTGGTCCCAGTGTTGCTTATTGTAAAATTTACTATCTTCACTTAACCACAATAAAAGCTGTGTTACAAAATATGTTTCCAAGTATGTGTGAAAAATATATTTATCTTTATGATTCTACTCAGATTAATTAGCTCTCAGGACTGCTGTGTCCAGAGTTGATTCCTTCTGGTGGGTTCGTGGTGTTGCTGACTTGAAGAATGAAGCCGCCGACCTTCACGGTGAGTGTTTTCGCTCTTAAAGATGGCAAGGACCCGAAGAGTGAGCAGTAGCAAGGTTTATTGGGAAGAGCTAAAGAACAAAGCTTCCACAACGGGGAAGAGCACCCACGCAGGTTGCTGCTGCTGGGGTGGGGGTGGGGGGGTGGCCAGGTTTTATTCCCTTATTTGTCACGTTTCTATCCTATCAGAGTGCCCTTTTTTCAATCCTCCCTGTGATTGACTACTTTTAGAATCCTGCCGATTGATGCGTTTTTACAGAGCTTGCTGATTGGTGTGTTTTACAGAGCGCTGATTGGTGTGTTTTACAGAGCATGGATTGGTGCGTTTTACAGAGCGCTGATTGGTACATTTCACAGAACTCGTGAGACAGGTAAGTTCCTGATTGGTGCATTTTACTATCCTCTGGTAAGACAGGAAATTTCCCCAAGTCCCCACTCGACCCAGGAAGTCTGGCTGGCCTCAGCTCTTGCTACCAGAGGCTAATTTCCACCCTGGTATTTCTCAGGCCCATAGATAGTGTGAATTCAAACCCAAACCAATATGGCTATTGTTTTGTATTTAGAAATTATCATACGTTTTTTATTTTTCATTTTTTTGTCTACCCTATTGGGACCAAGACAAGCACATATTTTCACTTTCTTATGGGGGTGGGATTTTCCTAGCCCAGGCACTTAACGTGCTTCTTTTTAGAAATCCTAGATTTATGCAGGAGGCATTTTAGCCTATATTCCTTCCTGCATGGGCATCAGTCTCTGTTTCCTGAATTAGGTGCTCATGGGTCTGGGCCAGTAGGTCCTGGGAGACACCGCAGGGCAAATGCCAGATGAGACACTCACACCTCTGGATTCAGACTTTTTTTGCTCTTCTAGATATCTGAAAATTTGCCTTACTTTGACTCAGCCCATGCATTAAAGCAGATGCTTTTAAATATTTTATGATGCATGTTTTAGGAAAGGGTCTGTCTGGGTATTTCTTCTTTCGATTTTCATTTTTCATTCAGTTCTTCTTTCACACTATCCTAAGCATTAATCAACTCGCCATTTATGTCAGTACAAAACTTCACTATCCTGTTCATTATCACCATTTCATTTTGTTCTGCATAGGCCAGACTATTTATCTAAAAATGTTTAAAGAAATCTAAGGCCTTAAAGGATTCTTTCTCAAGGACTCTACTGTTTGTATTTAGAGAAATGCTCATTTGTTCCACTGTTTTACTTTCTTCTTGGGTCACGCTCTTTGATGACTGCGATCTTACAGAGGATGACAAAAGAGGGCCCACCCTGAGACAGTAATACCTGCTTGCCCCTTTGGATTTTATTAGTGTTATCAAAATATTAATAAAATGTCAAAAACAAATTACTATCATTAGAATGTGTGCCTCACTTAAAAATTTCTCTCTCTAATAAGAAGTTTTTGTTTCCTAGTTCCTTTGGTACCCTAATGTTTAGGTAAATATTCTCTGAGGAAAGGATGTGGAAGTCATAGCAAAATATATGCTGGACTTGAATGAAAATATCTGTTTCATAAAAGTTAAGCAGGCAACCAAAATTTACCTTTTTTAACCTAAATTATCTAAACATGTATTTACATTTCTGCTTCATTGAAAGATATTTGACATTAAATGTCCCTGAGACAGATTTTGGAATGCCCTCTCCTTCTAAAATATATTTTTTATCTTTTGTGGACTAAACAGTTAGTTAAAAATGAACTTAATGATTGCTAATTACTAAGTTATCTAAACAGTTATTTAAAAATGAACTTAATGATTGCTACTTAGTTATTTATAATGCATTTCAAAATTAACTTTATCATCTAAACCTTTTAACACAAATGTATTAAATTATGAAACAGGGAATTGGCTATTTTTGTTCAAATGTTTATTCTCATCAAACTTAAAATATCACTCAGCTATATGATTAAAAATGAAGGCTTCAGTCATTAAATTATTTCCCAGTTATTTGCGATATTTCTCCATATTAAAGGAACAAACAGTGCCCTTCGAATCTGTTGATAGTTCTATTGATAGTGGCCATCACAAGTTACACATTATCAATAAGGTCAAGGCACAAATAAAATTTCTCCCTTGCTTTTCACTCAAAAACTACAAGTATAGTTCTTTGATAAGATGTCCCAATCATGATTTGTGATGCCAATCATAGAAGGAAAGAGGATGTTGAGAAACAATAAAATAGCTACTTTAAAATGTTCTGTGCCTGAACATTTTGATGGCAATATTGGTCATATTATAAATTTGAAAATATAAATTTTAATCTAGATTGACTTTATTCTACTAGTGATTTTAAGAGCTTTATCCAAGAGAAACACTTACATTTTTATTCCTAATGTTTCTTTAAAAATGTGAAACTCCTTTTTTTTTTTATAATTTTAAAAATTCCTAGATAAGCAGAACATAGAGCCAACTGTTATGTTCTGGTTGTTTTTAATAGGTATATTTATGTTATCCCCCAAATTATAATTTATTAATGTCTAACTTCAGTTAGATGAGTTGATTACTTTTCATACACCATTGACTAAAGGAAACCTAATTTTACACGTAATTCAAGGGGATCTGTGAGTAAGAACATTTTTAAATTAAAGCAACACATGTGCATGGAAAATCATTCAAACAGTTTGATGGCAAAAAAATCAGTGGAAACCAGAAACTTTTTTTTTCCTTCCACAGACCTTGGTCCTGTTTTTCAGAGTTAGGCAGGTTTTATCATACTCTTTTTTTTACTATATGCTATTCTCTTGAACTGTAAATAATATTATATAATCACCTAATTTGTTTTATCAGTTTTAAGTAATATCCCTTGACTTTTTATGAACGATAGAGAATATAGCTCATTTACCCTACTTTCTTTTCTTTTTTCTTTTTTCTTTTTTTTTTTTTTTTTTGAGACGGAGTCTCACTCTCTCACCCAGGCTGGAGTGCAGTGGCGCTATCTCGGCTCACTGCAAGCTCCGCCTCCCGGGTTCACGCCATTCTCCTCCGTCAGCCTCCTGAGTAGCTGGGACTACAGGCGCCAGCCACCACGCCCGGCTAATTTTTTGTATTTTTAGTAGAGACAGGGTTTCACCGTGTTAGCCAGGATGGTCTTGGTCTCCTGACCTCGTGATCCGCCCGCCTTGGCCTCCCAAAGTGCTGGGATTACAGGCGTGAGCCACTGCACCTAGCCCATTTACCCCACTTTCTTCTTCTAAAACTATATTTCCAATTTAGTCTTTAATATATAATTTTAAGGGATTTTTAAAAATTTGCTTCCTCTAAATAATATACTTACAGTGCTTAATTCTTTGCTTAAATAATATATTGTTTAAATATACAGTCCATCCAATTTGAACACCACTGATTGGCTCAGTAGGATGTGGAGATTAGTGTACAACTTCCCTCCCCTCCAACAGTCCCTGTCATAGCTTTCGACTTGTATCAAATATGGTTCTATACTTATATTTTCACATTTTATGTAAATTACATCCTATTTTGTAATTATAATAAAGTCTGTGCTTTGTTCATAGGTTAATTTTGATCATGGAATCTCAGGTGAATTGACAGCATCATTATTATGTTTTCTTTTTTTTTCAAACCACAGTCGCAGGTGGCATGATTTGATTTGTGTGAAGGCAATGAAATGATACACAGATACACCGAAGCCTCCCAAAAGAATCCTGGTTCCAAGATTCAAGAAGATGGATTAATGTTTTTCCATTAATTGTTGGAATTTATGCCATTTTTTTACTATGTGCCATCAATTTTAAAGCACTTCTGAAAAGAGATAACAATCTACAATAGCTGGCATTTTAAATTCATAAAAATATAGTATTTTCTTCTATTTTTATACATTTATGATGCATTATTTCTTATTTCCCAGGAATTTTACTACCTTTGTTTTGAATGATTAAAAAGGAAACATAGCACCTTTTTTCAACACATCACCAAGATAGCCTAGTTAATATTCTTCTCTTTCTGAAGTAGTTGAATTGGGAGAGACAGCTTGCCAGGCCTGCTGCCACTTGTCAGCATCGCATCCCTACATTCAACCACACTTGCATCTAACGACCGTCTCTTTCATTAAATTTCTTTTGCACCTTTTCTTCCTGAATGAGTGCATGATAGTTAATTTTCCTGTGCACTTGCATGTCTCAAGAAGGTTTTAATTCTTTTTGTATTGCATTAATATTTAAGTTAAGTTTATAATTGCAAAATGATTTATACTCACAACATTGAAGACTCCTTTGTTTTGTTACATCCTGTCAAAATGATGAGAAGACAGATCATCCTTTAGGGAAAAATTGGTTTTGATTGGCATCAGCCTTTCCAACAGCAATGCTGGAGACAAGAATAAAATGAAGTAATATTTTTCAAGGATTAAAAGGAAACAATTTTTAATCCTTGAATTATTTGCAGCCAAAATATTTTAAATATGAAAGCACAGAAAAAGACATTATAAAGTAAGGCCTCAAAAGTTTTATTTCAAATAAATCCCTTTGAAAATGCCTAGAGGACATACTCCACTAAGAAGAGAAATACACCGTGGTGTTAGAATTGAGGGTTCCAGAATCAATGGTAGTGGTGTTTATCATACCCTAAAAAATACATGAAAACATAACATATTGAAAACAACTCCGAGTAAACTTCAGAAAGTACCACCTTAGACAAAGTGCTGTCTTAACAGAGAAAGCAAACCAGAGGTGGCAAGAGGAGGCTAGAGTACTTATTTGGTTTGCTGAGATGATATTAATTTTGACACATGGAGGAAATTGAGAAAATTAACATAAGTAATGACATAACCACCATTACAATGTTAAAAATTTCCAGATTTCAAACAAATGAAAAATTTTTGATCTATAGAGTGAGAGGTACAAATAGGAAAAAAGACACAGTAAAGTATGAAAAATCATAAATGAGATAACAGAAAGAAGTCATAATGGAACAATAATTACATAAATCAAAGGTTAAGATTGTTAGGTAAAATTTTTAAGTGTCAAAAAACACAATATAACCTATCGAAAATAAATTAGTGGAAAAAATGTAGCAGGAAAATATGAATAAAAAGAGCTAGGTCCAATTTTTGATAAAAATTTGAATTCAAGTTGATAATATCCTAAAGAAGGAAAAGTCTGTAGGCCAATAGAAGAAATAGCAGATGCAGAGGTGTGCTCACAAACATGAGTGCTCATGACACTAGTCATACAAACTCAAATTCCCATTACAGTTGTATACAAACATGATGGCCGACAAGAAGGAAGTTCCTTTAAGCCCACTTGGAGCATTAAGACAAATTTACCATGTGAATCCCTAATTGAACTCTGAGTTACTTCTGTGAAGGAATGAAGAATGATATCATAAATGAATTTCATATAGCACTCCAAGCTCCCCCTCTATATGGTTCAGGATAGACTTGAGTATCCACGGTTCTGGAGTGCAAGGGAGGAGAAAGGAAAGGTGCATTCAGACAAAAAAAAAGTGTACAGAACACACCACGGATATCAGAAGAGGCTGCTCATGGCAAGGCGTGGTGGCTCGTACCTGTAATCCCAGCAGTATGGGAGGCCGAGGTGGGTGGATCACCTGAGCTCAGGGGTTCAGGACCAGCGTGGGCAGCAAGGCGAAACCCCATCTCTACCAAAAATACAACAAAATTAGTTAGGCATAGTGGCACATGGCTGTGGTTCCAGTTACTTGGGAGGCTGAGGTGAGAGGATTGCTTGAGCCTGGGAGGCAGAGGTTGCAGTGAGCCCAGATCGTGCCTCTGCACTCCAGCCTGGGCAACAAAGTGAGACCCCGTCTCAAAACAGAACAAAACAAAACAAAAAAAGAGACTGATCAAGACCAGACTCGGCTCCTAGGCCTTGAACTCCAGTCCCACCTCACACCCTAAGGTTCCTAAAGAATCAGTAACTTAGTTCACCCTACCCCACTCCTGGCTTCCAGATGTAGCACACCTTTCTAAACTTGTGCAAACAATGAGGACTATCTATTTTGACAAAATAAGAAGAAATGGAGTCAAGGCAACATATAACAGATATTTTTGCCAGTTTTATTGATTAACAAAGAAAAATTGTATATAGTTAAGGTGTGCAGTGTGATATTTTGATATACATATACATTGTGAAGTGATGATTACCACAATCAAGCTAACATATTCATCACCTCACCTGGTTACCTTTTTATTTGTGTTTGTGTGGTGGAGAATATTTGAGATCTACTCTTTCAGCAAATTTCAAGTATACATTATTATTGACTTTAGTCACTATGCTGTACGTTAGATCTCCAGAACTTATTCATCTTATAACTGAAAGTTTGTACCTTGTGACAAACATTTTTTCTTTTCCCCCAACTCCCAGGCCCTGGTAAGCACTATTTTACTCTCTTACCATGAGTTTGACATTTTTTAAGTATGCATATAAGTGAAATCATGCAGGATATTTCTGTGTGTGTTCCTGGCTTATTTTACTTACCATAATAAACTCCAGGTTTGTCCATCTTGTTACAAATGGCAGTATTTCCTCATTTTTAAAGGCTGAATGATATTCCATTACATATGTGTGTGTGTGTGTGTGTGTGTGTGTAATACATTTAAAACATCCATCTGTCAATGGACACAGGTAGTTTCCATATCTTGGCTGTGTACATAACACTGCAATGAACATGTAAGTATACATATCTCTTTGAGATAGTGATTTTCTTTACTTTGGATATATACCCAGATGGGGATTGCTGGATTATATGGGAGTTCCATTTTTAATTTTTTGAGGAAACTCCATACTGTTGTCACTAATGGCTGTACCAATTTACGTTCCCATCAACTATCAACTAAGCACAAGGGTTTCTTTTTCTCAATATCCGCAGCAACATTTGTTACCTTTTTACTGTTACAATAGCCATCCTAATAGATGTGAAGTGATATCTCATTGTGCATTTTCCTGATGATTAGTGATGGCAAACATCCTTTTATTAGTATATACCTATTGTCAATCGTATGTCTTTTAGAAATGTATCTCTTCAGGTCTGATATGCTTTGGCTGTGTCCCCACCCAAATCTCATGTTGAATTGTAGCTCCCATAATTCCCATGTGTTATCGGAGGGACCCAGTAGGAGACAGTTGAATCATGGGAGCAGTTTTCCCCATACTGTTTTTGTGGTAGTAAATAAGCCTCACAAGTTCCGATTGTTTTATAAGCGATTTCCTTTTTCACTTGGCTTTCATCCTGTCTTGCCTGCTGCTGTGTAATATGTGCCTTTAGCCTCCCACCATAAGTAAGGCCTCCCCAGCCTCATGGAACTGTGAGTCCATTAAACCTCTTTTTCTTTATAAATCACACTGTCTTTGGTATGCCTTTATGAGCAGCATGAAAACAGATGAATACAGTAAATTGGTACTGGTAGAGTGGCGTGCTGCTGTAAAGTTATCCAAAAATGTGGAACCAACTTCGGAACTGGGTAAGAGGCAGAGGTTGGAACAGTTTGGAGGGCTCACAGAAAGACAGAAAAACATGAGAAAATTTGGAACTCCCTAGAGACTTGTTGAGTAGCTTTGACCAAAATGCTAATAATGATATGGACAATGAAATTCAGGCTGAGGTTGTCTGAGACGGAGATGAGGAACTTGTTGGGAACTGGAGTAAAGGTAAATCTTGCTATGTTTTAGCAAGGAGACTGGCAGCATTTTGCCCCTGCCCTAGAGATTTGTGGAAATTTGAACGTGAAGGAGATGATTTAGGGTAGCTGGCAGAATAAATTTCTAAGCAGCAAAGCATTCAAGAGGTGACTTGGGTGCTGTTAAAAGCATTCAGCTTTAAAAGGAAACAGCATAAAACTTTGGAAAATTTGCAGCCAAACGATGTGATAGACAAGAAAAACCAATTTTCTGAGGAGAAATTCAAGCCAGCTGCAGAAATTTGCATAAGCAACAAGGACCCAAATGTTCATCCCCAAGACAATGGGGAAAATATCTCCAGGACATGTCAGAGACCTTTGTGGCAGTCCCTCCCATCACAGGCCAGGAGGCCTAAAAGGAAAAAATGGTTTCCTGGGCTGGATTCAGAGGCCCCCTGCTGTGTGCCACTTTGAGACTTGATGCCCTGCATCCCAGCCACTTTAGCCATGGCTAAAAGGGGCCAAGGTACAGCGTGGACTGTGGCTACAGAGGGCGCAAGCCCCAAACCTTGGCAGTTTCACATGGTGTTGAGTCTGTGGGTGCACAGAAGTCAAGAACTGAGGTTTGGGAACCTCTGCCTAGATTTCAGAGGATGTATGGAAACACCTAGATGTCCAGGCAGCATTTTGCTGTGGGGTGCGGGGGGCCCTCATGGAAAACCTCTGCTAGGACAGTGCAGAAGGGAAATGTAGGGTTGAAGCCCCCACAGAGTCCCCACTCGGGTATTGCCTACTGGAGCTGTGAGAAGTAGGCCACCGTCCTCTGGACACCAGAATGGTAGATACACCAACAGCTTGACCATGCACACAGGAAGGCCACAGACAATGCCAGCTCATGAAAGCAACCAGGAGGGGGGATATGTCCTGCAAAGCCACAGGGGTGGAGCTGCCCAAGGCCGTGGGAGCCCACCTCTTGCATAAGTGTGACCTGGATGTGAGACATGGAGTCAAGGGAGTGCATTTTGGCACTTTAAGATTTGACTGGACTACTGAGTTTTGGATTTGGGGCCTGTAGCCTCTTTGTTTTGGCCAATTTCAACCATTTGGAACAGGTATATTTACCCCCTCCCTGTACCTCCATTGTATCTGGAAAGTAACTGACTTGCTTTTGACTTTATGGGCTCATAGCTGGAAGGGACTTGCCTTGTCTCAGATAAGACTTTGGAGAGTGGACTTTTGAGTTAATGCTGAAATGAGTTAAGATGTTGGGGGACTGTTGGGAAGGCGTAATTTGCTTTCAAATGTGAAGACATGGGATTTGGGAGGAGCCAGGGCAGAATGATATGATTTGGCTGTGTCCCTACCCAAATCTCATCTTGAATTGTAGTTCCCATAATTCCCACATGTTGTGGGAGGGACCTGGCAGAAGACAATTGAATCATGGGGGCAGTTTCTCCCATACTTTTCTCGTGGTAGTAAATAAATCTCACAAGATCTGATTGCTTTATAAGGGGTTTCCCGTTTTGCTTGGCTTTCATCCTGCCTTGCTGGCTGTCATGTAAGACCTGCCTTTCACCTTCCAACTGTGATCATGAGGCCTCCCCACCTATGTTGAACTGTGAGTCCATTAAACCTCTTTTTCCTTTATAAATAACCCAGTCTCAGGTATGTCTTTATCAGCAGCATGAAAACAGACTAATACAAGGTCCTTTGGAATCATCTGAGTTCCTAATTTATTTGGATATTAACTTCTTATCAGATATATAGCATGTAAATATTTTCTCCCATTCTTTAGGTTGTCTTTTCATTGTATTGATTGTCTCCTTTGCTGTGCTGAATCTTTTGATTTAGTCCCATTTGTCTAGTTTTGCTTTTGTTGTCTATACTTTTGGTGTCAAATCTGAAAATTTATTACCAATACCAGTGTCAAGGAGCTTTTCTCCTATATTTATGTCTAAGAGTTTTACAATATTGCTCCTAGGTTGAGGTCTTTTATCAATTTTGAGTCAATTTTTGTATGTAGGGTCAGATAAGGGTTCAGTTTCATTCTTCTGCATGTGGATATCCAGTTTTCCCAACACCATTTATTAAAGAGACTAAACTTTTATCATTGTGTATTCTTGGCACCAATGCTGAAGATCAATTGATTGTAAAGGCATGGATTTGTTTCTGTGCTCTCTATTCTTTTCCCTTGGCCTACATGTCTGTTTTTATGCCAGTACCGTACTATTTTAATTACTATAGCTTTATAATTTAGTTTGGAATAAGGTAATGTGATGCTTCCACTTTTGTTTTTTCTGCTCAATGATGTTTTGACTGTTTGGGGTCTGTTGCACACAGATTTTAGAATTGCTTTTTTCCATTTCTTTGAAAAATGCCACTGAAATTTTGATAGGGGTTGCATTATATCTGTAGATCACACTGAGTAATAGAGATTCTTTTATCTTCAAATTCTTTCATCAGTGTTTTATAGTTTTTGGTATATAGAAATTTTACTTTCTGATTTAAATTTATTCCTAAGTTAATTTTTTGATGCTATTGTAAATGAGATTGTGTTCTTTCAGATGGACTCTCGCTCTGTCACCTAGGCTGGAGTGCAGTGGCGTGATCTCAGCTCACTGCAAGCTCTGCCTCCCAGGTTCACACCATTCTCCTGCCTCAGCCTCCCAAGTACAGGTGGCTGCCACCATGCCCGGCTAATTTTTTGTATTTTTAGTAGAGATGGGGTTTCACTGTGTTAGCCAGGATGGTCTCGATCTCCTAACCTCATGATCCACCTGCCTCAGCTTCCCAAATTGCTGGGATTACAGGCGTGAGCCACCGCGCACAGCCCGAGATTGTTTTCTTAAATTCTTTCTGGGATAGTTCACTGTTAGTATATAGAAATGCAACAGGTTGTTTTTTTTTTTTTTTTTAATGTCAATTATGTGTTCTGTAAATTTGCTGAATTTGTTTCTTAATTTTAACAAGTTTTCTTTTTGGAGCCTTTAGAATTTTCTCTGTATAAGATCATGTCATCTTGAAATAGACACACTTTCACTTCTTTTCCAATTTGGATGCCTTTTATTTCTTTTTCTTACCTAATTGCTCTGGCTAAGACTTACAGACTTTTTCAGAAACCCCCCAGAGTAATCTAGGGGAGTCCACTGTCACTAGATCTGCTTTATAAGAAACCCTAAAGGGAGTTCCTCAAACTGAAATGCAATAAGACTAATTAGTATCATGAAACCATATGTAGTTATAAAAAGTCACTGGTAACTATACAGTCAAATTCAAAATACTCTTAATACTGTAATGATGCAGTATAATCACTTTAACTTTTAAAAGGTTAAAAGACAAAAAATACTACAAATAAATATAATTACAAAATATACAAAGAAAGAAACTCTGACATCAAAAAACATAAGTGGAGGGGAGTAAAGTGTAGGGTTTTTTTATATGATTGAAGTTAAGTTGTTATCAACTTAAAATAGACCATTATAACTACAATCATGCATTTCTTAATGCAGATATGTTCTGAATAATGCAATTTTGTCATGGTGTGAATATCATAGAGTATACTTACACAAAATTAGATAATACTAGCTAACACACACCCAGGCTATATGGTATAACCTATTGTTTCCAGGCTACAAATCTGTACAGCACTGTACTATACTGAATGCTATAGGCAACTGTAATACAATCATAAGCATTTGTATATCTAATGTATCTAAACATATGAAAGGTACAATAAAAATGTTATAACCTTATGGGACCACCGTTGTATATGTGGCCCATCATTGGCCAAAACATCCTTGTGTGGCACACGATAGCATACAATGTTTTATGTAAGCCTCATGATAATCACAAAGACAAACATGTAACAGATACACAAATGAGAATTTTACCACATGTTTAAAAAAGAATTAATACAAAGGCACAGCAAAGAATCAAAGTATACCACTACAGAAAATAATGAAAGTAATCAAATCATGCACAGCAAGAGAGAAATAAAAGAACAAAAAAACTACAAAATGCCTATCAATAGTTACTTTAAATATCAGTGGACCAAATTAGTGAAACAAAAGACACAGAGTGGCTGAATGGATAGTATAACAAGAACCAAATATATGCCACCTATAAGAGACTCACTTCACCTTTAGAGACACACATAGACTGAAAGAGAGGGAACAAAAAAAGACAAAGAGTAGCTATTCTTACAACAAACAAAATAGATTTTAAGTCAAAAACTGTAACAAGAGACAAAGAAAGTCATTATAGAATGATACAAGGGTCAATTCATCAAGAGGATATAACTACTGCAAATATATATTCTCCCAACATTGGAGCACCTAATTATATAAAGCAAATATTAACAAATCTGAAGAGAGAAGTGGACAACAATAATACAATAACAGTAGGGGACTTCCATATCCCACTTTCAACAATGGATTAATCATTCAGACAGATAATCATTAAAGAAACAGCTGACGTGAACTACACTATAGATCAAATGGACCAGACATATACATGACATTCCTTTCCAAAACAGCAAAATACACATTCTTCTCGAGCATACACAGTACATTCTCCAACATAGGTCATATATTAGGCCAGAAAACAAGTCTTAGCAAATTTGAGAATATTGAGATCTCACCAAGTATTCTTTTTGACTACAGTGGCATGAAACTGAAAATTAAAAACAGGAGAAAACTTAGAAAAGTGACAAATATGTGGAAATCAACCAACACACTCCTCAATAACCAGTAGATCAAAGAAAACATCAAAAAAGAAATAAAATAACTTGAGACAAACTAAAATGAAAGCACGACATACTAAAACTTATGAGATGAAGCAAAAGCCATTCTAAGAGAGGGAAGTTTATACAGATAAGTGCTAAATAAAGAAAAAAGATCTCAAATAAACCTCAAAAAATAGAAAAAAAAATCAAGCCCAAAATTAGAAGAAGGAAATAACAAAGATCATAGCAGAAATAAATGAAATAGACTAGAAAAACAATAGAAAAGATCAATGAAATGAAGAGCTGATTTTTTGAAAAGATAATAAAAATTGACCAACCTATTACTAGGCTAAGAAAAAAGAAATCTCAAGTAAATAAAATTAGAACAAAAAAGGAGATATTAAAATTGGTACCATAGAAATACAAAGGATAATAATAGTCTAAACAACTATGTGTCAACAAATTGTTTAACTTAGAATAGAGAAATTTCTAGAAACATACATCCACTAAGACTGAAACATGAAGAAATATAAAATAAAAACAGATAAATAATGAGTAAAAATATTGAGTCAGTAGTCAAAAAGCTCCTGAAAAAGGAAAATCCAAGACCAGATAGCTTAGTGGAGAATTCTACCAAAAGTTTGAAGAAGAATTAATACCATTTCTTCACAAACACTTCCAAAAGTTGAAGAGGAGGGAACACTTCCAAACATTTTTTATGAGGCCAGCATTACCCTGATAACAAAGACAGAAAAGGACACTACAAGGATGACAGATATTTTTAAGGTACAAATGATGTATTGCTGGAATTGAAAATACAGGCTTTGTTAGTACAAATATTTGTGTGTGGATAGATGGATGTGTATTGGTGTGTGCATGCATACATATACAAGCTTACCTTGTTTTATTGCACTTCACTTTATTATGCTTCTCAGATATTGCAGTTTTTACAGGTTGAAGGTTTGTAGCAACCGTGCACCAAGCAAGTCTACCAGTGCCACTTTTCTGGTAGCATGTGCTTATTTTGCACCTCTGTGTTACATCTTTGTAATTCTTGTAGTATTTCAAATGTTTTGTTATTATTATATCTGTTATGGTGATCTGTTATCAGTGATCATTGATATTACTATTGTCATTGTTTTGGGGCATCACAAGCCATGGTCCAAAAGACAATGAGCTTAATTGATACCTATGTGTATTCGAATGGTTCCATCGATCTGCCCTTCCTCCATCTCCCCCTCTCCTCAGGTCTGTTTTCTGAGACACAGCAATATTGAAATTAGGCCAATTAATAACTCTATAAAGGCCTCTGTGTTCAAGTGAAAGTAAGAGTCACACATCTCTTATTATAAATCTAAAGTGAGAAATGATTAAGCTGAGTGAGGAAGGTATGTTAAAAGCCGAGACAGGCCAAAAGGCCCAGGCTGGTCTCGAACGCCTGACCTCAAGCAATCCACCTGCCGCAGCCTCCCAGGTAGCTGAGATTAAAGGCATGAGCCACCATGTCCAGCTTCTATGCATTATTTTAAATGGAGTATTGAAGACTCTATTACTGTAGAACTATTTCTAACTTCAATTCTGTCAATATTTGGGTCACAGGCCTTAATGTTATTACACGCTAGTCTGATGCTCATGGCCAGGACATTTTGTTTTCCTGTTGGACATAAACAATCTCACAGAATATCAACTTCAGAAGGTTAATCTGAGACCGTGATAAGTGCAAACAAAAACAAGGGCACTTTATAATGTTGTCTAAGTGCAGATAAAAAACAAGGTCTTGATGCCACCCAGAAAATACTTAATAATCATATTGCTCCTGCTTTCTGACAGCATCCAATCTAAAGTCTTCACTTTCTGAGATCCTGTCCGAAATCAACCAATTAAAGCCCAAATCGTATAACAGTTTCTCTCTAACTCCTCCCACTGAGATGACCCATAGTACCCCATTCCTTGCTGCAATGTAATTACAAGTGTGCTCCTGGTGGTCTTTAACTGAAGGGCACTGACTGGGTACTGGTGAAGTTCCCCGCAGGAACTGAGTCAGACCCCATCTCAGGGCCCTGCAGAAGATAGGTGCCTGCTCTAAGGCGTGGACCCTCGCGACAGCCCTGGCCCGTCTTGACGGGCGAGGGTTACTGTACTTGTCCCAACCGTACAGATGAGAAAGCTCAGACTCAGGGCCAGCAACCCCGGTCCCAGCGGAGCGCCCGGCACGCGCCGACACTTCAGCACCAGTCGCGGTGGCCACCACTGTGCGCGGAGATGGCTGCGACGCGTGCGCAGGTAAAGTCCATCCGTGCCTTGCCTCCCACCGGCGCCTTCCACCGCCTCTGGTTTTGTCCCCGCCAGCGGCTCCGACTCCATCGCGTCCTCTTCCAGTCTAGTGCTTTTTTCCAGATCTCGATCCCAAACTCCCTCCTGCCAGAATCTGGACCCGAATCCACCCATTGCCCATTTTCCGCTGCCGCTGGAGAGAATCTCTGAGGTCCCCAGGACAGCCTGCCTGCACGGAAGAGATGCCTCCTCAGTATGGCCGCCCCCGGAGAGGAGCGATTAAGTGCAGACCTCCATGTTGCTCTTGAGCCTGAGTGGCTTCAGGGAGCCATGTTTGTTACTGGCGGGCGCCGGCCTCACTGAGCATGTGCAGCCCTGGCCGGGCGGCCTCAAAGTTCTGACATCACAGGGCGGTTCCTGAAGTGGACGTAGTTGTAAGAGCTAGTTATTTTAGACAATGCCTCTGGGATCAGGGACTCTAATCTGGAAATAGGTAGTGGGAGAGGTCGGTGATGCTGTCTCGGGGTCAGAGACCTGAGCTATATGGGGTTAGAGAGGGGCCCTGGGCAGGCGAGTCTCTGGGGAGTGTGGTGAGAATCCTTGTGTAAGATGCTGGGAGGAGGTGGGGTCAGGGCTGGGGTCCGTGGGCCGATGGGTTGGGGGATGGCCAGCGTCAGGGATCAGTAGTAGAGATTCTATGTGCCCTGATCGCCAGTAGAGGTTTTAAATACAGAGTATTCATGAGTTTAGCAATGTTATTCGCCTCTCATAATTTAAATAATTTGAAGTTTTCCCCCAGTAACTAGTGTCTTAGAAGTCATGAAAATTTCAGAAAATGACAGGTCTTCTGAGTTCGTGATGGGAGTTGGGCAGCAGTCGCATACGAGCACCTGGAGAGTCCTTGCCAGTTCTTTGGGGATGGGGAGCTCTTAAGACTGCCCTGAGACCGCCCTTTGACCTCATTGTGGTCCTTTCTAGATTAAATGCTGTTTTCCATGACCGTCTCTGTTCTTCCCATACGCGAATGGCAGGCATCCAGATCTCCAAGAATAGAGGATTAGGAGAGACTCCACCACCTATGTCCTCACAGTTAATTATCGATTTGTGTCACTTGCCCATTTTCTCACTTCCTGTTTGTGTGTCAAGGAGTATTAATAAATCTTTGCCTATTTAAAGATACTAGCCTTGGATTTTCAAATATTGCATATTTTGACATGTAAAAATGTGTTAGTTTTATTTTTTCAACCGATCTGACCTGTATAGTTGGGCTTGAGGAAGCTTCCTCATTGTACATGTTACTATGGATTTTTTAATATTAACACAGAGTTGTATTTTTTCCATATAAATTTCTATTGAATTTCTTTTTCCATATGATAGGTGGTGAAGGTTTAGCCCAGTAAAGCAGAGAGGTTAAGAGGTTAGACTGGGGGCTCTGGAGCCAGACCTATGTAGATCTGAGTCCTGGCTCTGGCACTTGAAAGCCGTGTGACCTTGGTTAAGATACTTAGCCCCTCTCTGCCAAATGGAGAAATAAGGGCACCTACCCCGTAGGGTAGTTGTGTGAGTACACAAGTTAATACACTTCAATCACTAGCAAGAAAGTGAATGTCAAGCTGTATTTGTTCAGGCAGCCATATGGTAGCCCCACCTCATTAGTAAACTGAGGTATTGAAGTATCTTCTTTTTCTTTCAGAAAATATTTGTCAAGCACCTTCTGTGTTCTAAGAACTGTTCTAGAGCTTTGCATGCTATGGAGGTCTAGAAATTCACATTATGGTGGCAGGTGACAGACAATACAAAGAGATAAAGCAATTTCATATAGTGATAACCTAGGGAGGCGTGCTAAAAGGAGCCAAGGTGTAGTGGTGACTGGAAGGTGACCAGGGAAACCACTGTAGGGTTTCTAACTGATGAGATCTGTGACAAATCCCTGTGGTCAGCAGCAGGCATTGGATATGTAACTTTATTCTGTCCCATTGATCTTGTAGTCAACCCTGGTCTGTTCTGTATTGTTTTAATTACATAATCTTTGTAATAATCTTTAATACCTGGTGGAGTGCTCTGTTTACTTATTTCTGCATAATTAACCACCCCTAAGCTTAACTTACTCATGGTTCTGCAGGATGACTGCTCTCCATGGTTATAGGGGTTTCTGCATGGGGCCTCTCACATGTGCTACAGTCAAACATTAGCCGGGGCCACAGTCATCTGAAACTCACTTACACGGCTGACAATTGATGTTGGCTGTTGCCTGGAGAAGACATATGTGGCCTGGTGGAATGGAATGGTGACTAGATTCAAGAAAGAGCTTCCCAGGAGCAAGGCTACCAAGAGACCGAAGTAGAGGCTTCAGTTTCTTTAAAAAAAAAAAAAAAAAAATCGGGCCAGGTGCGATGGCTCACGCATGTAATCCCAGCACTTTGGGAGGCCAAGGCAGGCAGATCACAAGGTCATGAGATCGAGACCATCCTGGCCAACATAGTGAAACCCGTCTCCAATAAAAAAAAAAAATACAAAAATTAGCTGGGCATGGTGGTGTGTGACGGTAGTCCCAACTACTTGGGAGGCTGAGACAGGAGAATCTCTAGAACCTGGGAGGCGGGGGTTGCAGTGAGCTGAGATTGCACCACTGCACTCAAGACTGGCAATAGAGGGAGACTCCATCTCAAAAAAAAAAAAAATCCAATAGTAGAATTCCCAGAATGGAATTTATGTCATATTCTATGGATTGAGCAAGTTGCAAGGCAGCCAGATTCTAGGGGAAGGGAGCTATTCCTCACCTCTTGAGAAGCAATGTGTGTTGAGGAAGGGAAAGAATTGACGGTAGCTGTCTTTGACTTCTACCATACAGAGCAAGGTCTCCACACTCCTTTCTCCTGTAATAATTTTCCATTTGAAAATTTTCCTTGCAGTTCTCACACCTTTATTATTTCATATAAATTTTACAATCAATTTTTTTCTTGTCTAGATAACCATGCCATTTGGATTAAAATTGCATTACATTGCAACTTTTGAGAAACTATGGGAGGAGAATTGGCAACCTTATAATATTGAATTTGCTCATTAAGGAACATAGTTTCTCTGTTTATTTAGGTGTTATATTTTTCATAATATACATGTTGGTATTTCTACCCAGGCTTTTCTCTTTGTTTTGTCATGTAATGCATGAATGAGACTGCACTGTCTGTGTGATTGGGCAGTTGCCCAAAGTTTAAGGTGTTAACATGCATTAATTCACTTAATCACTTCTCATTTCCTCCTTCCCTCAACCCCTGACAACCATGAATCTGCTTTCTGTCTCTAGATTTGCCTATTCTGGACATTTTATATAAATGTGTCATCCAATATCTGGTCTTTTCTGACTGGCTTCTTTCACTTAGCAGGATTCTACGGTTTATTGAGGTTCATTCATTGTGTAGGCTGTATCAGTACTTCATTCCTGTTTACGGCTGACTAATGTTCCACTGTATGTACATATGTATGTATACCACACTTTGTATATCCATTTATTTACTGGAGGATATCTGGGTTATTTACAGTATATTTCAGGAGTCCCCAAGATCATCCTCCCCCTTGGTATACTGCTCTTTGTATCTTATATGACCTGTGCAGAACTATTTATCTGGAAATTAGGTGATGGTTAACTAAATATAGTTCTTCTAAAGATTCATTTTCCGTTGGTATTACATCCTGAGGAGACCTTAACTCAATCTCCCAATACATTTGATCATCAATATCACTATTACCACATGACTTATTTACATGAGGTACTCAAATCTAACCAGCCATGCCAGTGTTACCCATATTGCATGTTGTGGTAGTAGATGCAGCCCCCTGAAATAAAAGTCAAAAGATGCTGGCACATTCCTGAGGTTCTTCTCAGCCACTAACAATTGGTGTAGTTCATCATCACCTGGAATGACCAAAATGTCTCCCATGGAAATGCAGCTCAGCTCTGTAGGCTTCCATTTAACTTTGTCAGGTTCCGAGGCAGGGCTGGCTTGAGTGGTCTTGTTTCCACTTTGGCTTTGATGAATAATGCTGCTGTGAACATTCAGGTATACGTTTTTGTGTGGTTTCATTTCTTTTAAGTATATATCTTGGAGTGTAATTACTGGATCATATGATAACTCTGTTTTAATTTTTGAGAAACTACCAAAATGTTTTCCACAACAGACAAGATTTTACATTCCCTCAGCATTGAATGAAGGTTCTTATCCAGTTTCCTGTTTTTGCTGAGACTTCTTATTGTTTGTCTTTTGAATTTAGTTATCTCGTTGGGGTGAAGTGGTGTATCATTGTGTTTTGATTTGCATTTCCCTAATAATGAATGTTATTGAGCACCTTCTCACATGCTTATTGGCCATTTTTCATCTTTTTGAAGAAATGTCTATTCATCTTTTGCCCATTTTTAAATTGAGTTTTCTTTTTATTGAGTTGTAAGAGTGGTTATATCATCTGGAACATGTGTTCCTTATCAGATATAGGACTTATAAGTTTTTGTCCCATTCTGTGGTTGTCCTTATTTTCTTATGTAACCATTGTATTAGTCTGTTTTCATGCTGCTGATAAACACATACCTGAGACTGGACAATTTACAAAAGAAGGAGTTTTATTGGACTCACAGTTCCATGTGGCTGGGGAGACCACACAATCATGGTGAAAGATGAAAGGCAAGGAGGAGCAAGTCACGTCTTACATGGATGGCAGCAGGCAAAGAGAGAGCTTGTGCAGGGAAACTCTCATTTTTAAAACCATCAGATCTCCTGAGACTCATTCACTATCATGAGAATAGCACAAGAAAGGCCTGCCCCCATTATTCAGTCACCTTCCACTGGGTTTCTCCGACAACACATGAGAATTCTGGGAGTTACAACTCAAGATGAGATTTAGGTGGGGACACAGCCAAACCATGTCGACTTTGAAACAGAGAACTTTTTAATGAAATTGAACTGATCTATTTTTTGTTTTGTTGCTTGAGCTTTTGGTGACTGCTATGGTTTGAAATATGTTCCCACAAAATTCATGTTTGGAATGCTTATATTCCTGTTGGTGGGAATATAAAACCATACATCTGGTATGGAAAACAGTATGGTGATTCCTCAAGAAATTAGAAACAGAATTACCCTATGATCCAGCATTTCCACTTCTGGGTGGAATACCAAAATAATTGAAAGCAGGGTCTCAAAGAAATATCTGTACACCCGTGTTCATAGCAGCATTAGACACAATAGCCAAAAGTGGAAATAATCTAAGCATTCATTGAGGGATGAATGGAAAAACAAAATCTGACATATACATACATACAGTGGAATATTATTCAGCTTCCAAAAGGAAGAAAATTCTGACATATGCTATAACATGGATGCACCTTGAGTACATTATGCTAGGTGAAATAAGCCAGTCACAAAAACAAATACTGCATGATTCCATTTAAATGAGGGGCCTAGAATATCAACTTCATAGACAGAAGTTAGAATGGTGGTTGCCAGGGGCTGGGAGGAGGGGGTAGGGGTTAGGTTTTAATAAATATCATTTCAGTTTTACAAGATGAAGAGAGTTTTGCAGATGGGTTGTGGGCATAATTGTACAACATTATCAATGTATTTAATACCACTGAATTGTACACTTAAAATGGTTAAGATGGTAAATTTTATGTGTGTTTTAACACAATAAAAACTGAAAAAAGGGATATATGTTACCCTAAATAAAAAATTCGTATGCTGAACTCAGAACCCCCAGTACCTAAGAACATGACCTTATTTGGAAATGAGATTGTTGTTAATGTAATTAGTTAAGATGAGGTCATGCTGTAATAGGGTGGGCCCCCTAATCCAGTATGATTTGTGTCTTTATAAAAAAGGGAAATTTGTGCACAGAGATAACACAGGGGATATGCCATATGAAGATGAAGGCAGAATTCTACAAGCCCAGGAATGCCAAAGATTGCCAGCAAACCACCAGAAGCTAGGAGAGAAGTGTGGATTAGATTCTTTCTCACAGCCCTCAGAAGGAACCAGCCCTGCCAAGAACTTGATCTCAGACTTCTAGTCTCCAGAACTGTGAGACAGTGCATTTTGTTCTGTAAGTCAGCCACATGGTTTGTGGCACTTTGTTATGGCAGCCCTAGGAGATGAAGACAATATGCAACATGGTATGTCCATTATAGGACACTGTGGGCTATAAATGTGTTCTTTGGCCTGAAGAAATAAAACTTGGTGGTCCAAGTTGATGTCTTATCATCTGTTCCAGTTCTTTTATGGTATTTTTGGCATTTGAATCTAATGACTATGCAAAGCCCAGTCCAGAGAATGTGTCAGGACCCATTATAGCCTCCCAGGGATACTGGCTTCAGTCTGGTATAATCTACTTGTTAGCTATGAGTGGTGCCTTCCCACTGGGAACCTGCCCCATAGCCACCTGCGGTCTCTGTCTTCCTGCTGTCAGATAGGACAGTTCTTGTTGGCATTTGGTGCCTCTGAGGGTGGAGGAGGGACTTGTTGCTGAGCAGCCCATCCCTGCACGGCTGCAGCTCCCCTGTGTCCACTCCTTCATTAAGCCCAGGTGGCCACCTCAAGGTCACCAGGATATCCACCTACCAGATCTGATCACTGATCCTGGGAGGGGTTCTTCAGGTGGGCATTGACATGACCTACTTTAATGTGCCCTTTAAATTCCTGCAGTGCTGTGCTCCATGTGGGGATCCTTTCACAGCCCAGTTTGCCATTGCCCCTCTTCCTGGTTACATGGCCAGGCCATTGGCCACTGCCCATGAGTCAGTAAAGTAAAAACCGAAATGTAGAAGATCCTATCATTGTTCAATTCTTCCATCCCAGGAAGGAGTGCAACATGTAATTCATCTCACTGGGCTGATTTGTTCTTGCCTTTTTCAATAAGAATTTTCCCATTACTGCTCATGGTGTGCATCCAGGCCACACTGATGCAAGGGGTGGGGTCCCAAGGCCTTGGGCAGCTCTGCCCCATGGCTCTGCAGGGTACTGCCCCAGTGACTGCTTCCATGGGCTGGCATTGAGTGCCTGTGGCTTTTCCAGGCACACAGTGAAAGCTTTCAGTGGATCTACCATTCTCTGGCCTGCAGGACAGTGGCCCTCTTCTCACAGCTCCACTAGGCAGTGCCCCAGTGGGGACATTGAGTGGGGCCTCCAAACCCACATTTCACCTCCAGACTGCTTTAGTAAAGGCTCTCCATGAGGGCTCTGACCCTATAGCAGACTTCCTCCTGGACATCCAGGCATTATCATACAACCTTTACAATCTAGGTGGAAACTCCCAAGCCTCAACTCTTGCCTTCCTTGCACCTGTAAGCTTAAAACCACATGGAAGCCACAAAGGCTTCTTATGGCTGCACCCTCTGATGCAGTGGCCTGAGATGTATCTGGGGCCCTTTTAGCCACAGCTGGAGCTGGAGCAGCTGGGATTCCGGGTGACATGTCCCGAGGCTGTACACAACAGTGGGGTCCTGGGCCTAGGCCACAAAACCATTTTTCCCTCCTAATCTTTCAGGCCTGTGATGGGAAGGGCTACTGTGAAGATCTCTGAAATGTCCTGGAGGCATTTTCCCCATTGTCTTGGCTATTCACATTCTGCTCCTCTTTACTTATGCAAATTCCTGCAGCTGAGTTGAATGTCTTACCAGAAATTTGGTTTTTCTTTTCTACCACATGGTCAGGCTGCAAATTTTCCAATCTTTTATGCTCTGCTTCCCTTTTAAATATAAGTTCCAATTTCAGATCATCTCTTTGTGAATGCATATGAGCATATGCTGTTAGAAGCAGCCAAGTTACATCTTGAATGCTTTGCTGTTTAGAAATTTAGAAATTTCTTCTGCCAGATGCCCTAAATCATCTCAAGTTCGAAGTTCCACAGATCCCTAGAGTAGGAGCACAATGCCACCAATCTCCTTGCTAAAACATAGCAAGAGTGACTGCAAACTCCAGTTCCCAATAAGTTCCTCACCTCCATCTGGGACCACCTCAGCCTGGATTTCACTGTCCATATCACTATATGAGCATTTCGGTCACAACCATTCAGCAAGTCTCTAGGAAGTTCCAAACTTTTCTTCCTGTCTTC